>NW_025791797.1:0-300000 GCF_000001405.40 Homo sapiens
AGAGAGAGAAAGGAAGGAAGGAAGGAAGGAGAGAGAGAAGGAAGGGAGGGAGGGAGGAAGGAAGGGAGGGAGGGAGGGAGGGAGGAAGGATGGAAGGAAGGAAGGCAGGAAGGAAGGAAGGAAGCGGGGTGGGGGGAGAAAAATTCCCCTCCACCTCCATGCTGTGGAAGAAATAGGACCTGGCATCGGCGTTTTGGGAACCGTAGCGAGCATACTTAGGTTGAAATTAAGGTTCAGAATTCAGTTCACTCAGCCAGAGAAGATAAAAGAACCAAGATGGAGGGAAAATATTCATGTGGGCAATCACGTTTTCACTTATTTTTATTTATTTTAAAAATAGGCCGGGCACTGTGGCTCACACCTGTAATCCCAGCACTTTGGGAGGCCGAGGTGAGTAGATCACGAGGTCAGGAGATTGAGACCATCTCCTGGCCAACGTGGTGAAACCCTGTCTCTACTAAAATGCAAAAAATTAGCTGGGTGTGGTGGCGGGCGCTCGTAGTCCCAGCCACTTGGGAGATTGAGGCAGGAGAATCACTTCAACCCGGGAGGTGGAGATTGCAGTGAGCTGAGATGGCGCCAATGCAGTCCAATCTGGGCGACAGAGTGAGACTCCATCTCAAAAACAAACAAACAAAAACTGTTATCTTGGGGCCCAGAACTTAACATTCTTTTAGTCCGCTGTAGGGCTCTGGCATGAACCCTGTGTGCAAAATGCACATGATGGGGAGGCTGCCTACAACACTGGGAAGTCACCTTAAGGGATTTAAGGGAAAGGTAGACCCTAGGTTTTCTGAGACCTTAATCATTTATGGCCAGGATACTGACGTGTCTGAGAAACAGCAGGGCTGCTGCTGCCAAACAAGACGAAATTTATAAGCAAATGGGGCATTGCTATGACAGTGTCAAACACTGGGCAAATTAAGTGTATTGTTAACTATCGAATCTCAGAGGCCTTAGCCAAGCCTCTCCTTCCTTCTATCTGCTCCCCAGACTGTATTTAGTCCTTTAAGCAACACATATTTATTTGAGGAGAAAGCACTCCGAAAGCCCACAGGGTCTGAGTATCCATTTTAGCTTCTTAAATTTAGAGTAAAATATGTAATTTGCTTGCTCAGGTGTGATCTTTGATGGGTATGTTTAACTTGCCTGTGAAATGTTTGGAGGTAGGAGGTGTCCTCAGAGGTCAGTTAGCCCTGTCTCTTTTCCAGGGAAGGAATCCCCTGTGTATAAGTTTTGTTCAAGGTCAGGAAACAACCCAAATGAAAGTGGCCCAAACAGTAAAGGGATTATTTGACTTTTGAAGACCAGCAGTAGTATGGTGGGCTTCAGGGCTGGTTTGATCCAGTGGCTTGGTAAAGAAACGAAGAATGGTGTTCCTTGCTATCCTTACACTCTGACTCCACGCTCTCTGAAAGCTTTGTCTTAAATCTGGTCTCCCAGGTTTAATGCTTATTGCATCAGAAGAAATTTCCTAAATGGATGACAATGGTAACTGGTAGATAGTAAACTCCTTGGGAGCAGGCGTGATTTTTATATGACTTTGTATCCCAGCACTTAGCATCTGGGAGCCAGTAGATGCTCAATAACTGTTGAAGAGGAAGAAAAGAATGAAGGAAGGAAATAGAGAATCTCTGTTTTGTTCCTTTGCCTAGAGGGACTACTTCTAGCTTTTTGCCATTTAACGTAATTTTGGCTTTTGTTTTAAAGCAGACACTCTTTAAAGTGTTAAATAAGTGCTTTTTATCAATATTTATTTGTTTATTTTCTTTAAAGGCAGTCCCTTGATTTTGTAAAAACGGATGGAGTAAAGTAAAAATACCTGGGCGCTCTCTCCCATATTTCTATTAAATATCCATGAAGATTTATAAATAGAACAAAATCTCCATCAGCTTCAGGAACTCGGGATAAGAATTAAGCATGTGTCAGAACCTGGGAGGAGTTGGTACTGAATACAACTCCAATGGGGCTGGATTAACAGCAAATTCCTCTGTGCCTTTAAGTGTAAGAAAACCCTAAGTGAGAAACAGCCTTGGCTGGTCCCCCACCAACGGCCCGTAGCTCACTGCTTTGCCAGCAGGACTAACCATTTCCCTCCTAGCGGCGCCTTGCCTCTGGCTTTCCCGCAGCATGTAAATGGCTGCCCCTGCCAAAGAAGGGGGAGGTGGGAGGGTCAGACTGTTCTCTTCAGTAGAGGATGCCAGGGCTAAGATAAAGGAGACACCTAAAATCTACCCTTAGAGCTTCCTTGCTGCTTTACACACAGGCAGGACTTAAGCCCCAGAAGAGCATTCTGCTTTTTCTCCCTGATATTCTGAAAACAATATTCATACTTGCGAGGGAGCATTTCTCCCTAGCCGTGCTGGGTTGAGGATCTTCGAGTTGCCTAGAGAATTGGGATGGGGGCCTGCAGAGAACGAAGAACAGGAAACTTGCCCCCAGCCTCAGATGTGAAAGGCAGCAGCTGCAGCCAGCACCCATGGGGCACGAAGGAGCTCTCCCAAGGGGCCAAGGACAGACAGCCATGAACCCCAGCCACTCTCCACTCTGCGACTCTGTTTGTTAAAAAAATGGCCCACCAGGAAACAGAGAGGACACAGAAGCATTAGAAGAGATATGTGACCCTAAAGTCGCAGAGAGAAAAAAAAAGGCTTTCTCTAAAATACATCAATTGTAGTAGAATTGAAGTTCCCGGGGGCAGATTCTTTTACTGTCATTGTTTCACCCCAACCTCTAGTATTGGGTTTGACACATACTAGTAATTTTCTAAATATGTTTTGAAAAAAGAGTGCCACACAAAAACAGTTCACGAAATACCTGTTTAATATTTATTTTGTGTTTTTTGGAGAAAAGGTCTCACTCTATTACCCAGGTTTGGGTGCAATAGTGTGATCATGGCTTACTGCAGCCTTGACCTCCTGGGCTCAAAAGATCCTCCCATTTTGGCCTCCTGAGTAGCTAGAATTACAGGTGCATGCCACCACACCAGCTATTTATTTTTTTTGAGATGTGGTCTTGATATGTTGCCCAGGCTGGTCTTAAACTCCTGGCCTCAAGTGATCCTTCTGCCTCCACCTCCCAAAGTGCTGGGATTACAGATGGGAGTCACTGCACCTGGTCATTAGTCACTTACTAAACATGTTTTGAAAAAAGAGTGGCACACAAAAACAGTTCACAAAGTACTTGATTTGTATTTTTAATAAATTGCAGAAAATCATTTCCTCTAATAAAAAAGATCAGGCCACGAAAAGTAAAGAATGTCTGAAAAGGTCCAATCTTGGGACCTACCAAGCTGACCTTTTGTTAAAACGTGGGTTTTCGGCTGGCGCCGGTGGCTCACGCCTGTAATTCCAGCACTTTGGGAGGCCGAGGCGGGCAGGTCACGAGGTCAGGAGATCGAGACCATCCTGGCTAACACGGTGAAACACCATCTCTACTAAAACTACAAAAAATTAGCTGGGCGTGGTGGCAGGCGCCTGTAGTCCCAGCTACTCGGGAGGCTGAGGCAGGAGAATGGCGTGAACCCGGAAGGCAGAGCAGTGAGCCGAGATCATGCCACTGCACTCCAGCCTGGGCAACAGAGCGAGACTCCGTCTCAAAAAAAAAAAAAAATGTGGGTTTTTATTCAGTTGATCTGGGGTGAGGCCCAAGGTTCTGCATTTTTAACAAGTTTCCACAGGAAACTTAGAACCTCACACTTTGAGTAGAGAGGATTTAGCAGTCTCAAATGTAGCTCTGTGCAGGAAGCATTATTTCTTTTTTTTAGATGGAGTTTTGCTCTTGTTGCCCAGGCTGGAGTGCAATGGTGTGATCTCGGCTCACTGCAACCTCCGCCTCCCGGGTTCAAGAGATTCTCCTGCCTCAGCCTCCCGAGTAGCTGGGATTATAGGCGCCCACCACCACACCTGGCTAATTTTTTGTAGTTTTAGTGGAGACGAGGTTTCACCATGTTAGCCAGGATGGTCTCGAACTCCTGACCTCAGGTGATCCGCCCACCTGGGCCTCCCAAATTGATGGGATTACAGGTGTGAGCCACCATGCCTGGCCAGGAAGCATTATTTCTGTTCTCATCTCTCAGCACCAAGGTGGACAGCACACATCCCGTGAGATACAGAAAGTCGGAGTGATAGGCCAGTGTGGAAGCCAATTACTACAGAAATTTAAAAAAATATAGAAAATGTATATTTTCTTTAGAATACAAAGGAAATGATGTTCTCAGGCAGCCTTGCTGTTCAGAAACAAAGCTTTTCATCATGCTTTGATTAAAGGTAAGGTACTTTCTTAATCTAGATCCATCCACCGAACAGCTGGACAAACCTCAGTTTGGAAAATTATTGCCAAATGTTGTGGAATCTCCCTTGCCATGCTTGTTCTACAATTTGGTTGGAGTTCTGTACCTGGGACAGATGGATGTTTGGGAAATTACTTTACTCTACTGAACATAGCAGACCGTGGGACTTGTGCGTGATTATTACCAAAACCATCGCTAACAAACACTTTTCCAAATTATGACTCATTCCCCTGAGCTGGCTCTTCACAGCGTCTGCTTAGAATACCCGGCCTGATCACTCCTTTTGTCATCTGACTTGCAGACGGGTGCCTGATCTCCTTTGATATACTGTACATGACATCCTAACAAACCCTTCTCTTTAATCAAAGGAATCAGACATATGCCACCGTCAGAAGTCAGGGTGGGGCGAACACAGAGCAGATGTGTTCCTGCAGGTCAGATGGAATGAGGGGATTTGGAACATACACTTGGCATAATCTTTAAATTAACCAGAGGATCTAATTTTAAAATAAAACCCCACATTTTTTGCGGGGCAGAGACATCATAGCCAGCAGCTTTTAGCAGCAGCAAGAAAGCAAACGTTCTGAGGCTTTTCATAAATCCATTTAGAAGTATAGCATTATGTGTGGAAATTTTTGGGCCAGAGAGTCTTACCTTTTTAGATGTCTACAGAAGAAAGAAAACACTTCCACATTCAAAAACCAAAGGGGATATAGATCTCTGTTTTTTTTTTGGTTTTGTTTTTTTTTTGAGATGGAGTCTCGCTCTGTCACCCAGGCTAGAGTACAGTGGCCCGATCTCAGCTCACTGCAACCTTCACCTCCCGGGTTCAAGTGATTCTTCTGCCTCAGTCACCCGAGCAGCTGGGATTACAGGCGTGTGCCACCACGCCCAGCTAATTTTTGTATCTTTAGTAGAGTCAGGGTTTCACCATATTGGCCAGGCTGGTCTCAAACTCCTGACCTCCTGATCTGCCCGCCTTGGTCTCCCAAAGTCCAGGGATTACAGGCGTGAGTGACCGCACCGATCTCTGGGTTTTAAAGCAGCCTTTGAATAAAGGCAGTATACTACTTGTCTATACACAATCATTTTTAAAAATCATATTGCTGGGTGTACATTCGCAGCAGAATAAAAATAAGTCTTTTCTGTGTGTGTTTTATTTTTCACAATTCGGCAGGGCTGTTTTCTTTCCAAGGGAGAAAACGTGCTCGGCAAAGGGCCTGTAATGATGGACATGCTCAATAAGTGCTGGAATAAGATGCAGGTGTTGAGCCAGAGGTTGGACTAACTATTTAGGACAGACCTTGTAAGCCTGAGATGTCTGAGAGTCTGCGTCTGACACATCCACCTGTCTCCTCCACTCCACCTCAAGGTGCTGCATGTGGCTGAGGAAGGGCCATACTGGATGTGGTTCCCTGGGTCCACTGCCCTCCCGCACAACCTGTCTGCTCTGGACCCCAGGTGCTGCCTGCCAAGACTGTGCCAGTAGACCCCCATCCTGTCCTGTACTGGCTCTTCACCCAGACCACCATTCCTGGAAAACAACATCTGCTTCCTCCCAGTTCTTCCCTTTTGGCTGTCAGTACCAATTCTGGGAATGAAGAGACTGATTAAACTGCTCTCCCAGAATTTCTCTCCTTTATCCACAAATAGGCGCCTTATTTCCATTATTTTCACCGCTAGGAGATGGGGTAAGAAAATAGAAAGACTAGGCCAGGCGCGGTGGCTCATGCCTGTAGTCCCAGCACTTTTGGAGGCCGAGGCGGGCAGATCATGAGGTCAGGAGTTTGAGACCAGACTGGCCAACATGGTGAAACCCCATCTCTACTAAAGATATAAAAAATTAGCCGGGTGTGGTGGCGCGTGCCTGTAATCCCAGCTACTCGGGAGGCTGAGGCAGGATAATCACTTGAACTCGGAAGGTGGAGGTTGCAGTGAGCCGAGATTGCACTCCAGCCTGGGGAACAGAGCGAGACTCCATCTCAAAACAAACAAACAAACAAAAAAACAAAAAGGAAAGAAAATAGACTATCTTTGTTTATATAGATTTCAATTCTAGCTCTGCCACTTTCTGTCCAGTGACTTGGAGCAGGTCAGGCAGTTTCTCCGAGCCTCTTAGTTAGCCCCATTCTTTAAGCATCTATGCAATGTGTATTGAACTTTCACTGCATGTCAAGCACTGTGCTGGTTTGAAGGATGTGACAATGAATAAGATGTCATCCCTGCCCCCAAGGAACTTATAATCTAGTGGGGGAGATGTAAATAAACAGAAAATACCAATGCAGGGTGTAGGTGACAACAGAGTCAATATAGGACAGAAGACAGCACAAAGGAGGGGCACCTGTCCAGCCTCATCTTCCCTGAGGAGGCAGCTTCTGGTGAGGATGAAGGACCAGTAAGCATTAAGTGGATGAAGGGTGAGGTGCAGCAAACAGAGAGAGCATGCAGAGTCCAGGGACCAGCACAGTGTTCATTGTGGCTACAGCTTGCATTAGGGGAGTGCATGTGGAAAGGGAGCAAGGGAAGAGGTGAGAAATGAGGTTTTCTAGGCAATCAGGAGCCAGAGGTTGAAGGCCCATGCAAGGTTTCACATAAGGAGTTTGGACTGAAGGATCTGGAGGGGGAAATGAAAGGTCTTGATTCCTCCCCTTCTCCGTCCTGCCTCATTCACTTCCTTTTCAAGTCCTGTTGTTCCATTTCCAAAATACCATCCCAGATCCTCCAACTTCTCCATAGCCACTGCCTTCTTCCTCTAGTTGATTATAATCCAAACAAGCCAAAGCTTGGCTTCTTTGGCACAAGTGAGAGAAGATTCTGGTCTGAGCTAAAGCGGTGAGAGTGGTGTCAGGAAAAGTGGATCTATTTGAGTGCTAAGAAGATAGACTCTTCCCATACTGAGTGAGGCACTTGGGATATAGAGATGAGTAAAAACTGACACAGTCTCTGCTGTTACAGATGTTATCATCCTGTTGGGGGGACAGAGATTAACAAAATGATCACA
Organism: Homo sapiens; assembly: GCF_000001405.40. Taxonomy (NCBI): domain Eukaryota; kingdom Metazoa; phylum Chordata; class Mammalia; order Primates; family Hominidae; genus Homo; species Homo sapiens. The sequence goes on from NW_025791797.1 coordinate 7,293, forward strand.
CAAATAAAGGTAAAATTACAACAGGAACAAGTGTTATGTGGGTCTTGCCATGGTACCTGGAATCTGGTCCAATCAGGGCCTTCAACTGGAAGAGAGATCCTAGTGAAGACTCTCAGAGAATGTCAGGTTGTGCTTGAGCTGAAACCTAAGAATGAGTAGCAGTTCATTAAGCAGTTAGCTTAGGTGGGAAGGGGTGCCCATTCTGGTTAGGAGCATCAGGCAGTGAAGAGCACACTGGGCATGGGGGACTAGGAGAGGGGCAGAGAGAGCCAGGAGAGGAGGGATTGCTTGCTGCAAGCGAGCCTGGAGAGGAGGACAGGGGGAGACTGTCAGGCTTCACAGGTCATGGGAGAGAGCTTCACCTTTCCCCAAGGAGCAACCGGAAGTCCCGAAGGATGTTCAAGTAGGCAGTGTGGTGGAAGTCGGTTTGTATTTTGAAAGGCACACTTTGCTTCTGTGTTGGAGACTGGATTAATCTACTTGAATGAATGACAAAGAAAATGACATAGGAACTGAAAAATTTCCCAGAGACAGAGGGATAATGCTCACAGCTATGACCTGGTTGTTAAGACTGGAACACACAGTACGTGTCACCCAGTTATGGTAGAAAAAATGGACAGAGAAGTAGTTGGTTCAGAGGGGAAGCCTTTGCAAAATCCACTTAATGTAACAGGCAAATCAGCTGCAAAGCATTATATTCTTCTTTCCTCTCTAAGAAAAACCGAGGGGACTCACTTCTACTATATGGAAGATTGTAATTTACAGATTACAAAAGTTATTTCAAGAAAACAAAAAATGGTTTTTGCTAATATAGTAAAATGCAATGTAGATTTCCAAACACTGCTAGAATTACAAAATCTATTTGAAATTAAAACACATCCTAACAACTTAAAAGAGAAAACTGGGCCGGGCGCGGTGGCTCACTCCTGTAATCCCAGCACTTTGGGAGGCCAAGGTGGGCAGATCACAAGGTCAGGAGTTCAAGACCAGTCTGACCAACATGGTGAAACCCCATATCTACTAAAAATACAAAAATTAGCCAGGTGTGGTGGTGCGACCCTGTAATCCCAGCTACTCAGGAAGCTGAGGCAGGAGAATCTCTTGAACCCAGGAGCGGAGATTGCAGTGAGCCAAGATCGCACCACTGCAGTCCAGCCTGGGTGACAGAGTGAGACTCCATCTCCAAAAAGAAAAGAAAAGAAAACCCATTTGGAATGGAAGGAGAAGGCAGAGAAAGGGTAATAATCTTTTTCTGTTACTTTCAATCCAGAAATCCCCTTGCTGCTGCTGTTTCTATCCTGGAGCTGCCGCATGAGGAATTGTCTGCTCAGCATCTCCATGAGACTAAAATTCCAAAAAGTGAATACGAACTCTCAATGCCCAATTACTTTGTTTGTAGAAAAGATGACATCTGAAGCTTTGGAATGGAGTGGGGGACCCAACCATACTCTCGCAAAAGCAACATACATTTTCCAGAACACCACGGTCAATAGTGGGAAATGCCTGCTGGCAGGAAGCTTTTAAATTACTGAGACCATTAGACACAGCAGACACGATTCGAGCAAACATCTCTTAGAGTCAAAATATGAATGGATAATGGAATCTATGAGAGGAAGGATCAATGAGCATTGTAATTTGCAAATACAGAGAGATGGGCAGATGCCTAGGGAGACAGTTGAACATTGGGATTACACCTCATCCCCAGGTTTTTACAAAAGCTTTGACTTGGTAGAAAATAGCCTGGCTATAGAGTGTGTAACAGTTACAAAATGTTTAAAATGTTTTGTAAGATTTCAGTTTAAGATGGTGGTTCTCAACCAGAGGCAACTTTGCCCCGAGGGGATATCTGGCACTATCTGGAGACATTTTTGGTTGTCATAACTGGTGGGATTTGAGGTGCTTCTTGTATCTAGTGGGTAGAAGCCAGGGATGGTACTAAACATCCTATAATGGACAGAACCTCTTCCACTCTCAGCCACAACGAAAGATTATCCAGCCCAGGCCAGGCGCGGTGGCTCACACCTGTAATCCCAGCACTTTGGGAGGCTGAGATGGCGGATCACCAGGTCAGGAGATCGAAACCATCCTGGCTAACATGGTGAAACCCCGTCTCTACTAAAAATACAAAAAAATTAGCCGGGCGTGGTGTCGGGCCCCTGTAGTCCCAGCTACTTGGGAGGCTGAGGCAGGAGAATGGCGTGAACCTGGGAGGCAGAGCTTGCAGTGAGCTGAGATTGGGCCACTGCACTCCAGCCTGCACTCCAGCCCGGGCGACAGAGCGAGACTCTGTCTCAAAAAAAAAAAAAAAGATTATTCAGCCCAAGATGTCATTAGTGCCAGGGTTAAGAAGCCCTGGCATAAGAAGAAAACGGTATGAAAGATTTTAAAAGGGACTGAAATCCACAACCCCTTGAAATAGGATGTGTACCCCACAGCATGAAGGAGGGCCCTGTTAAGGAAGAGGGAGGGAAGCTGTGTTCCTGCTGTAAAACTTGCTGGGACCAAGTGTGAAGAAAAGCCTGGAACCTCAGGCAGTCACTGTGACTGAATTATGTTGTTCCCCTCAGCGCCACTTTTTGTTGCTAGCTGGCTGTGATAAAATCAATCAGTTTTGAGATTCTTGAATATACAAGAAAGTAATAGAGAAAAATGTATTGATAAAACATGAAGAATGTTGTCAGTCTACATGGGCTGCTGCCAGTCTCTCAGATTCAGGTTCAAAGGCAGACTGGAAAGTGACAAGAGCTGAGCTACTACATTGTCCTGATTCCAAGACAAGTTGCTTGCTGGGTTGTGATGTTGGAAAGGCTCACCGCTCTGCATGGGGTTTGGGAGCCCAGCCAGGACTTGTGACAAGCCCTCTCTTCGCCAACAAGTGTCAGGGCCTCACCCCACACCACCTCTGGCATGTCTAGCTCCTTACTGTGTCTTCTGTACCATGTGAAAGAAACTCACCTATGTTCACAAGTCACAAAATGAACTAGGATTTAGAACGGCAGAGAATTTTGTCTCAATTCAAACATATTTTTAAGCTTTTAGATGTCCATGAATCCACTGTCTGATTTCCTTGCCTGCTATTTAAAAGTGCTTTATCTTCACTTTCCTGCTTAGCTTGGAAATGTATCTGCATCTTCCTAAGTCTGTTCTCACACCCCCTTCTGAATTGGGTCTCTCTTGAGGATTTGTTCTAATGATTCTGTTTTCTGTAACTTCTCTTGTTCCTTCTCCTGCCTTGGCTTGTTCCTTTCTATTTACCAACAAACCTAAAACCCCAACCCTAAAACCAAACATGACAAACAACTCCCTCTGTCTGGAGCAATGGTATCCACTGGAGTTGTGCAAGATGGTGTTATTGTATCTACCTTATGGAGTTAATGTAAAGATTAAATGATTTAGTACCTATAAAACTCAAAACAATGCTTAGCACATAAGTGGTCAATCAATGTTAACTAGTTACTATTATTTAAATGATTTCTATGCTCAACATCTATCCTCTCAACATATTTTTCTATCCCTGGGTTGCTTCTTTTGACTCATCTCCTGGGTATTATAATTCCTAAGTTTTTGCTTGCATACTTGAGAATGTTGCTCTGTTACTTTTTTATTTAGAGGACATTCTGGCTGGTTATAAACTTAGTTACTAACCTTTTATTTTCTCTACGCTTTTGTAGACATTTCTCAAAAAGTGTTTCTAGGGAAAATAATAACTTTACAGGAAAAAAAGTTGGTAGACACCTTCTTAACAAAGTGATCATAAGTTAATATCATCAATACTGGGACAGCCTGACTTCCTGTATCCATCCGTGTTTATGATTGGCTTTTGCCATCTGGATGCCCATAAGATTCTTTTTTTTTTTTTTTCTTGAGATGGAGTCTCTGTCTGTCACCCAGGCTGGAGTGCAGTGGCACAATCTCAGCTCACTGCAACCTCTGCCTCCCAGGTTCAAGTGATTCTCCTGCCTCAGCCTCCCAAGCAGCTGGGACTACAGGCGTGTGCCACCAGGCCCGGCTAATTTTTTTGTATTTTTAGTAGAGATGCGATTTCACCGTGTTAGCCAGGATGGTCTCGATTTCCTGACCTCGTGATCCGCCCGCCTCGGCCTCTCAAAGTGCTGGGATTACAGGCGTGAGCTACCGCGCCCGGCCAAGATTCTTTCTTTACAATTCAAGTTTATGCTCTTCACCAGCGTATGTCTTGGTATTAGTCATTCTGTATCATTTTCTTCCCTTGGGGGGGGTCTTTGCGTCTCAAGATTTATGTATTCAATGCAGGTAAAAAGTTTCTTTGATATCTTGATTTTGTTCTGTTCTCTTTTTTAGGAACACCAAATTAGTTACATGTTTGATTTCCTTTGCTATCCATATCTATATTTCTGCAATAATTTTAAATATCTTTATTTTTTCTGTTTCATTTTGGATGATTTCCTTAAATGTATCCACATGAACTCTACCAGATTTCAGCCAAAATTACATGGCCCTGTAATTTTTTTTTTTTCATTTCTTTCCCAAGGTCTGCAGCTCATTTTTCATCTCTCTTTGTTGTCTTGTCATTTCCACCTTGAATGCTTCTGTCTGTTGCATCTCTTCTCTTCAGTTTCTTTCTTTTCGGAGAAATCATGTTGTTCCATAATTTTATTGAGATAATGGAAGACTGTTTGTAGAAACTCTTCCCCTATGTCTTTGGATAATTTCTGTTGTGATTTACTTTGCATTTTTTATGCAAAGATCCTGTTTATGTTTCATCTTTTTCTTTGAATGTGGTTATCTAACTACCAAAATATAGTAGAAAGTTTTAGGGTCTCCAATTTTCTCTCATTTAATTTTTTTTTGCCCTTGGGGCAATTCTCCCCCCAGCTATCAGCATTCAGGAGTCCGTGGTTGTTAATGGACAGTCCTTTAAGTCCCAGTCTCCCTCTGTTGTGATCTGACCATCACTGTCCCCCATCTCCCTTCATCCTGCTTTCCTCTATTACCTTCCTCTTCCTGTTGGCCACGTCATCAACTTAGGATATAGAAATGGCCCATGGCATTGAACTAGAACCCTCTGGACCTCCACCTCCATCCCAAAGGACCTTTTCACAATGATGACACTTACTTTTGGGAGAACATATACTCTGCTCATTCAGAGGTTCTAAAAAACACATTATAATGGACATCCAGATCCCTGCTCAGGACTAAAGGACTTATTTGTCCAGTGGCTAGGAGTGCTGCTGGCAAGCAGCCCTCAGCTGTCAGCTTTCTTTGGAATTGCCTTGTCTGGAGAGAGTTGTGATGCCCAGGGTCATGCCTTCTTCCTAGGGAAGCTTGTATCCAATGAGTGGTCGATGCAGGGATATAAAAGTCCAGCCCCAGCTGGGCCCAATAGCTCACACCTGTAATCCCAGCACTCTGGGAGGCCGTGACAGGAGGATCACTTGAGGCCAGGAGTTCAAGATCAGTTTCAGCAATATGGTAGGCACCCCCTAACCCCCAGCTTTACAAAAAAAAAAAATAATAATAATAATAAACGGCCAGGCATGGTGGCTCATGCCTGTAATCCCAGCACTTTGGGAGGCTGAGGCGGGCGGATCACGAGGTTAGGAGATCGAGACCACCCTGGCTAACATGGTGAAATCCCATCTCTACTAAAAATACAAAAAATTAGCTGGGCGTGGTGGCGGGTGCCTGTAGTCCCAGCTACTTGGGAGGCTGAGGCAGGAGAATGGTGTGAACCTGGGAAGCAGAGCTTGCAGTGAGCCGAGATCACGCCACTGCACTCCAGCCTGGGTGACAGTGGGAGACTCCATCTCAAAACAAACAAACAAAAAACCCCCAAACAACAACAACAACATAAAAAACAAATTAGTCAAGTGTGGTGGCACTCACCTGTAGTCTCAGCTGCTGGGGAGGCTGAGGTGGGAGGATCCCTGTAGCCCAGGAATTTGAGGCTGCAAGTGAGCTATGATCACCACTCCACTCCAGCCTGGGCAACAGAACAAGACTCAGTCTCTTTAATAAATAAACAAACAAATAAAAAGTCCAGCCCCCTCGCCTGAACTCAGGACATCTCTGAAGGGCCATCCCAACTCCAGAGATCCCTGTGGGTAGAAATGAGGCCTTTGTCAAGACAGCATTACAGTTCAATTCCCTTCTCTGCCCTGTCCTGCTCCCTTTTCTCCTCTTCCCCAGGTGATGATTCCTATAAAACACTCCCCAATAAAGGTCCTGTATTTTCTTTTCTTTTCTTTCTTTTTTTTTTTTTTTTTTTTTTTTTGGGACGGAGTCTCGCTCTCTCTCCCAGGCTGGAGCGCAGTGGCGCGATCTCCGCTCACCGCAAGCTCTGTCTCCCGGCTTCACGCCATTCTCCTGCCTCAGCCTCCCGAGTAGCTGGGACTAGAGGCGCCCGCCACCAGGCCCAGCTAATTTTTTTTGTATTTTTACTAGAGACAGGGTTTCACCATGTCAGCCAGATGGTCTCGATCTCCTGACCTCGTGATCTGCCCGCCCTGGCCTCCCAAAGTGCTGGGATTACAGGCGTGAGCCACCGCACCGTACCAAGGTCCGGTATTTTCAATGCTGTCTCAGATTCTGCTTCCTGGGAGACCCAGCTGGAGATTCTCATGTGTTGAGATACATGGTGGCTCTCTGCAGGATCTCTTGTCTCTATCTAGATTGATAGACTTGGACAGCTTGGACTCATCAAAGATCACCTCTTTTCTTTAGTTTTTCCCCCATGAGTTTGGAGGTATGGGAATGGAGTAAAAAAAAAAAAAAATTCATTCTTGCTATATGTATGCAGAATCCAGAGTCAAAAGAACTAATTTAAAAAACTTTTTATTTTTATATAATTTCAAATTTTCAGAAAAGTTGCAAACGTAGTACAAAGAACTTCTATATATACTTTAGATTCACCAACAGTTTGTATATTGCACCCATTTGCTTAATCACTCTGTCTCATATATGTATCATGTATATGCTTATTACTATTATTATTTTAACCATTTGAGAGTAAGTAGCAGACACACTGGCTTCTTTATTCCTAAATGCTTCAGCACTTCCTAAGAACCAGGACGTTTTCTTACATGATCATAATATAGTGATAACAATAGGGAAGTTTAACAGTGATATAAAATTATCTATCAATCCACAGTCCGCCTTCACTTTTGTCAGTTGTCCCAACTATGTCCTTTGTAGCTATTCTTTTCCGGTCCTGAATCTAATCCAGAATCATTCTTTGTACTTAGTTGTCACGAATCTTTAGTTTCTGTAATCTATAACAGTTCTTCTGTCTTTTGTGCTTTTTGTGACTTCAACATTTTTGAAAGGTAGAGGTCAATTATTTTGCAGAATATTCCTCCATTGAAGTTTGTTTGCTGTTTCCTTGTGACTGGATCTAGGTTTTTTCATTTTTGGCAGACACACCACAGTATGATGCTGTGTTACTGTCTGTGTATCATAACACGATGTCAGTTTGTCCCAGTATTCGTGATGTTAACTTTGACCACTTTGTTAAGAAGGTGTCTACCAACGTTTTTTTTTTCCTGTGAAGCTATTATTTTCCTTTTGTGATTAGTAAGTAATTTAGGGGAGATATTTTGAGATTATGTAAATATCCTGTTACTTACCAAACTCCCACCTAATAATTCCAGCATCCATTGATAATTTTAAAACTCTGTCTTTCCTTCCATGTTTATTATTTCCTCTATGGGTAAGGAAACACTGTCTGTGCATATATATTTAAATCAGAGTGGACTTGTGGGTTCTTATTGTATTCAGTGGGCAATAATTCATCCAATTTGATGCTCAAACTGTTTCCTCATAATTATTTAGTTTGATTCCCAAGTTGTTTAAGATTTGGCCAGTGGGAGCCTCTTCAGGTAGGCTCCTGTGTCCTTTAGACATGTTCCCATCATATATAGAACACATCAGTCTTTTCTGTTGAAACAAGATGTTTCAGGTCCATATTGCACTTTCCCTGCCCCACCCCTGAAATTAGCCCTTTCTCCAAGGAGCCGTTATTTCTCTCTCTCTCTCCCCCTCTCCTATCTACCTATCTACCTACCTACCTATCTCTAGCTCTATATTTATATCTATAAATTAAAAGGCATATAGTATAGATCATTCATACCGATACCTCTATTCCAATCCAACACTACAAGATTTATTCTGGGATTTCCCTTTCCATATTTGTAACTCTCTTCAGCAGTGAGAAATCTGGCTTCCATTTTCCTCAATACTTTTACTAATTTTCTCCAGCCTAGAATTCAGAAAGTAGCTTCTGAATTGCTAACATATCCCATTGTGAAAAAGCCAACCTGCTAATTAGAATTAAATATGTGTTTAAGGGTCTTTTTCTTTTCTAGGTAAAATTTACATACAGCAAAATTGATGAGATTTGATCAATGTCTATACCCATGTAACTATCATACAATCAAGACATAAATAAAATATTTCCATCAGCCCATAAAGTTCCCTCATGCCTCCTTTTAGTAAATTCCTGTGCCCCAAGGGTAATTACTGTTCTGAATTCTATCACCACAGATTAATTATGTTTCTTCTATTTTTGTATAGAGACTGTACTGTAAGCTCAAATTCCTGGGCCCAAGTGATCCTCCCATCTCAGCCTCCCGAGTAGCTGGGACTATAGGAACCCACCACCGTGCTCAGCTAATTTTAAAAATTTTTGTAGAGACAGGATCTTGCTATGTTGGCTAGGCTGGTTTTGAACTCCTGGCCTCCAGCAATCCTCCCACCTTGGCTTACCAAAGTGCTGGGATTACAGGCATGAGCCACTGCACCCCACCTATTTATGCCTGTTCTTGAACTTCATATAAATGGAAAATATAGTATGTGCTCTTTTGCATCTGGCTTTGTTTATGCAAAATAATATTTTTGAGATTCAGCCATGTTGTGACATGTATCAGTTGTTACATTCAATTTTATTACCAAGACGTAGTCCATTATGTGAATATATTACAATTCGGCTTATCCATTCTCCTGTTGATGGACATTTCATCGTTTTCGCTATTGAAATAAAGTTGCTATAAACATTCACATACAAATTCTTTAAGGAAAAATGTTTTTGTTTTTCTTGAGTAAATACCTAGCATGTCATAGAATGGTTGTATGTTTAACATGATAAGAAACTGCCAAACCAGTTTTAAAATAGTTGTTTCCTTGTATCTTCCTACCCACAATGGATGAGAGTTCCGGTTGCTCCACATTCTTGCCAAGATTCGGCAGCTGTAAATCGTTTTCACTGTAGCCATTCTGGTGGATGTGCGATGTTATCTCATGACGACTGTCACTGCATTTCTCTGATGACAAATGATGCTGAGCATCTTTTCACATGCTTAGTGGTCATTTGCATATCTTCTTTTATGAAATGTCTGTTCAATCTTTTTTTTTTTTTTTTTTTTGAGATAGAGTCTCGCTCTGTCACCAGGCTGGAGTGCAGTGGCGTGATCTCGGCTCACTGCAACCTCTGCCTCCCGGGTTCAAGCGATTCTCGTGCCTCAGCCTCCTGAGTAGCTGGGACTACAGGCACGCACCACCACGCCCAGTTAATTTTTGTATTTTTTTTTTTAGTAGAGACGGGGTTTAACCACATTGACCAGGGTGGTCTTGATCTCCTGACCTCATGATCTGCCCATTTCGGCTTCCCAAAGTGCTGGGATTACAGGTGTGAGCCACCGTGCCCAGCCTGTCTGTTCTATCTTTTGCTGTTTTTAATTGGGTTGTTTGCCTTTTCACTACAGATTTGTAGGATTTCTTTATATATTCTGAATATAAGTCTTTTGTCAAATATATGTATCATAACCATTTCTCGGAAAAGTAGTTCCAGTACAGTGGAGAAAAATCATTACAATACATATATTCTCCTTTTCATTTCATTTTCTCAATGGTGTCTTTTCTTTTTTCTTTTTTTGAAGCAGAGTCTCACTCTGTCACCCAGGCTGCAGTACAGTAGTGCAATCTCAGCTCACTGCAACTTCCGCCTCCTAAGTTCAAGCAATGCTCCTACCTCAGCCTCCCAAGTAGCTGGGATTACAAGAGCCCGCCACCATGCCCAGCTAATTTTTGTATTTTTGTAGAGAAGGGGTTTTGCCATGTTGGCCAGGCTGGTCTTGATCAATGGTGTCTTTCGATCAGCAGATTAGTTTGATTTCAATGCTGTCCAGTTTATCAAAATTTCCTTTTATGTTTAGTGCTTTCTGTGTCCTTTCTAGGAAATCTTTACCTATTTTTTTTAACCCTAAAAGCTTGGTAGCTTCAGCTTTTATATTTAGAGCTATAATCAATCTCAATTTAATTTTATGTGTGGTATACAGTAGGGGTCGAGGCTCATATGTTTTTCTGTACATTTATCCCATTGTTTCAGCTCCATTTATTGAAAGACTTTCTTTGCCTCCATTGAATTACCTTGGTGCCTTGGTTGAAAATCAATTGTCTTTATATTTGTGGGCCTATTTATGGACTCTGTTCTCTTCCATTAACCTATTTTTCCGTTATTGCACGACTACCACATCTTGACTCCTGTAGCTTTATAGTAAAATTTGAAATCAGGTAGTGTGTGTCCTAAAGCGTTGTTCTTTTTTTTTTGAGACAGAGTCTCGTGTTGCCCAGGCTGGAGGGCAGTGGCGCAATCTTGGCTCACTGCAACCTCTGTCTTCTGGGTTCAAACTTTTGTTCTTCTTTTTCAAGGTTGGTTTAAGTACTCTAGGTCCTTGCATTTCTGCATATATTTTATTAGTAGCCCATCTGTTTCCACAAAAATGTCCTTTGGGATTTTGATTGATATTAACCTATAGATTACTTTGGGGAGGAATTAAAATCTTAATAATAATGTCTTCTAATGTATGAACTTGATGTAAGCTTGAGTTACATCAAGCTTACAGACTTTGACCCTTTGACTTTCTCTCTTGCAATGCATATATGTATGTATGTATGTATGTATATGTATGTCTGTATATGTTGGACAGCTGTAGTCAGTAGACAGCTGTAGTCAGTAGAAAGTTCTTTGCTCTACTTCTGTTGAGCTGAAAATTATATCTGCAACCTCCAGCAGCTGGATAAAAGCAGAGGATCAGAAAGAGGAGTATTATGTATATACGCTGATTCTGGGAAAAGTTGGCAATAAGGATGATGAGGAGAGAGGCATGGGCTCCTCTGTACTTGGAGGCAGCATAAGACCTGGCTCTCCTAGCTGTTGGTCCAATGTGACTCATGCCACTGGTGGGAAAGGGATGGTTAGAAATGGGGAGAAGCATCCAGAGCTGATATTATGGAATACTTGGAGGAGAGATAAATGGCCTAAATTCTGGCTGAAGAGGCTGGTTATTTCAGGAAGCTGATGAAAAAAGGGGCCATCGTAGACAGATACATCTTATGTAAATATGTCTTCCCCAGAGTAGCATATGTCCCATTCAGGACTAGGCTGAGTCTTTAGGTCTGAATGATAAACAGATCTTCACTTCTCAGGGCTGGTCAATTGTGTGAATATTTCACTGCAGTAGAACATATCAACAACAACATAATCTAAAAATAACCACCATTGATTGGGTAGTCATTCTGTGCCAGACCCAATACTACCATTTTACATATATTTTGTTTTTCACAACAATCTTTTGAGTTAGGTAACATCAGCTATATGTTACAGATGAAGGAACTAAGGATTTGAATGGTGACGTGGACCGTGACCACATGGTTAGCAAACGGGAAAGCCCTTACGCTAACCCCCACACCTCCCAGTCTCTCTGCATAGCATCTATCTATAGTCACTTCCAATCTCACAGTCTTAATGCCCCTGAGACCTTGTCATCCTGGGGGAAGCCCCATTGATGTCTAATTTACCTTCCTGGCAACTTCTCTTCCCCATAAATCTAGACCAAGGCCAGGGTGAGCCTCTCTGTCAGATTCTGTCTCCATCGGGCCCTAATTAGCCCAATGGAGATGGAACACCATGCCATCAGCGCTGGAAATTAGACTTGGGAAATCCCTGGTGGTGTTTAGGCCATTATTACTCAGCCTGGGCTTGCTTCTGGGCTTTTAAGTGCATTAGCGCACTCTGCATTGACTTGACTGACTGCTCTGTGCTGGCTGACTTGTCAAATTACCTCTCATTTGTACAGCTCACCTGATGTTGTTGAAGCACTTTCCTGGCATTGGGAGCTGCTGGTTCATCCTGAGGGATCTGGGGACTGGGCCTAGTTTTACAGATGGAGAAGATGAGACATAGCTCTTTTGAGTAAGTGTGTGGTTGGTTTCCTTCAAATGCTTAATGTTTGTAACTGCAGTGATTTTCATGTGGAAAGATCTAAAGTTTCAATTTGGCTACATAATAAGCCTCAGAATGAGGCCATGTTTCAAGGTATCAAAGTGAAGCATAGAGGGGATCAATTTGTTATTGAATATGGGCCCTGTAAGCCACCCAAAGGAATAGCCTGGATCTGGAGGTTGACAGCCATTATCTCCATCATCTGGAGTCACAGGCTGGTGGTCTAAAGTTACATAGCTGTTCTTGTTGCCCTAATGGAAGTGGTTTACCAGAGGCTGCCCAAGAATGACAGCATTACGAATACAGATCTGTGGTCTTGTGACTTCACCTTAGATCAGTGCCATCTCCCCACCTGGTGGGCAAAGGGGCTAGTTAGAAGGGAAGGGGCAACACATCTATCAATTCATCCCATCAACCCATCCACAATTCATCCATCTATCGATGCATCTACCCATTCCTGAACCCATCCTTCCCACACATTTTAATTGAGCAACTACTAAGTACTAGGTTTCATACTTGATAGGCACTTAGGATGAGACTGGTTGGAAGGAGTCTCAAGCAAATACCCAGCCAGGCAAAGAATAGTCTCCCGACATGGTTCAGGTGAAAATAATTCCAAAAGGCAGCAGTCGAGACCAGGGAGTCAGTTCCCCTGCACCAGCAGAAATACACACAGAATGGGAGTCAAAATAACCAAATAACCCACTCAACAAGCTGGAGAAAACAGCCCACGTTGGCATGGGAATACCTCATCCTAGGCCGGTCTTCCAGGAGGAGTGACCTTGCTCTAAGTCCCTATGTAGTTGTGGGAGGAGAATCTGAGGACTTCCCACCTCATGTCTAGAATGCAGGAGTCAAGCTGAGCCTTGGGTAGGAGTACCAGGAGACCAGGAATGGGGAGCTTGGAAAGGCTAAGTTTCGGGCATGAAACAGGGGTTCATGGGCAAGATTTTCCAGCTCTGCTAAGCTGGAAAAGTATTTCTCTTGATTGCTGTTTTGATATCAAGACTACCCCCCTACCTAGGTGCATCTACTTACTTTCTCTGAAAGTGCAAACCTCTACTTCAGAAAAGTTCTAAAAATTTGCATACATAAAAATTATTGTGGGGGTACTGTGACAATGCTCTTACTTGAGCCCTGACCCTACAGATTTGGATTCAGTGAGTCTGGTTGGGGAAGGTGGCTCTGGATGAGGGGTAGCTCAGGAATCTATATTTTAAATAAGTCAACCAGGAGAATGAGAAGCCACCAGGGTATCCATGGAGACATTTTTAGAAGCACTGCCAAATCCCATCGGCACACAGCTGTAGCCAGGGCCAGGTGCAGAAGGGGGTCCCTGCCATACCGGCCTCGTTTTCTCAAATTCTTAGCCCTGGTTCCTTTGACCCCACCCCTTGCCCACTCCCATCACCCTCTTTGCCATCATTTGCCCAAGTTGCTCTCCTGGGACTTGACCACCATTTAGGTTTAGGTCCATTCTCAGCCTGCTTTCCACAGCTCCATTCTAGTGGATGACCAGGCCTCATGAAGTTGGCTGCCACAAATAAAACCTTGAAAACAAGAAACTTCTAAAAGCTGGTGATCTGGGAAAGATAGGGCTTTTGTACCCAACTTTAAATTGGTGGTAGGAGATAGAAGCTGTATATTGTGATATTTCTTTGGCTTTTTCTTTTGGGGAACATAGTTAAATTACAGTATCAAGAGAGGCACAATTATAAAGAACTTGTGAATTTTGCTTTTTATAAATCTAGGAATACATCAGGATCCCTAGATTAAGGTGCCATTTCAAATGAGAAGTCCACATATTGATGACGATTCTGTATTTTACACGAAAAATTCCTTTCCTGGAACTTGTCCTGCTCAAAGGCAGAGGTAGTCCAATGAAAATTTTAAGTTTGTGAAACTCTTGCACCTCACTTCCCTTTTGCTTGGACTTTCCCCACAGTCTCTAGGACTCTCTGATTCTCCTACAAAGAAAAAAGAAGGCAACCAAGAAATTAATAACATAGTAAAAATCAGTTCCACCTACAACCACTACCAGGAGTGTGTGTCTTTTAAAAGAAGTTGCATAGCAGGAGATGCTCTAAAAAGCAACATGCCAAGAGAATATTTGAGACATAGTGAACGGTTGCGGTCAAGGGGGACATTTTGGGACCTTGTATATCTTTCCGGATTTCCAGAGTCCACTGGTCATTGACTCTCTCACCTGTTCATGTAAGTGGCTCTGCTCAGGGTGGCACTTTGGAAGGTCAGAGAGTAGCAAATATCAGGTGGGAAATCTGGCTTTTTTTTTTTTTTTTTTTTTTTTTTTTGAGATGGAGTCTCACTCTGTCGCCCAGGCTGGAGTGCAGTGGCGCGATCTCGGCTTACTGCAAGCTCCGCCTCCTGGGTTGATGCCATTCTCCTGCCTCAGCCTCCCAAGTAGCTGGGACCACAGACGCCCGCCACCACGCCCAGCTAATTTTTTTTGTATTTTTAGTAGAGATGGGGTTTCACCGTGTTAGCCAGGATGGTCTTGATCTCCTGACCTCGTGATCCGCCCACCTCGGCCTCCCAAAGTCCTGGGATTACAGCCACCACGCCCAGCCTATGGCTTGCTTTAAAGTAGCAAGTTGAGTGTCAGTGGTAGGTGGCACCTTTGATTGGTAGAGAGTGGGCATTTTACCCAACCTGAGTCAATCATTTAACAACACCCTTCAAGTGACTGGTCAATCAATGGAGATTTGACCTATGTTGGACCTACCAGAACTCTTTTTTGGGACACAGAATCTGCCAGTGGCCATGTTTCCAGGAAAGCCAACAAGTGGGAGACATGAAGATAGAAGGTGAGAGAGTCTTGTGTGATGTGTTTTTTGTTTTTTTTTTTTTTTTTTTTTTTGTTATTGTTGTTTTGAGACAGAGTTTTGCTCTTGTTCCCCAGGCTGGAGTGTAGTGGTGTGATCTTGGCTCACTGCAACCTCTGCCTCCTGGGTTCAAGCTATTCTCCCACCTCAGCTTCCTGAGTAGCTGGGATTACAGGCATGCGCCACCACACCTGGCTAATTTTTTTGTATTTTTAGTGGAGATGGGGTTTCTCCATGGTGGTCAGGCTGGTCTTGAACTCCCCACCTCATGTGATACACCCGCCTGGGCCTCCCAAAGTGCTGAGATTACAGGCGTGAGCCACCACGCCCAGCCTCTTGTGTGATTCTTTAGGTCAAACAGGGCTGCTTCAGGGCTCTATTTGTTTACCTGGACTGCCATCACAAAGTACCACAGTGTGGGTGGCCTAAAACAACGGAAATTTATTTTCTCAGAGTCCTCCAAGCTGAAGTCTGCGCTGCAGGTGTTGGTAGGGCTGGTTTCGCCTGAAGCCTGTCTCCGTGGCTTGCAGAGGGCTGCCTTCTCCCTGAGTCTTCACAGGGTCTTCCCTCTGTGCATGTGAATGTCCAAGTTTCTTCTTCTCAGAAGGACATCAGTCATATTAGGACACATCCTAGTAACCTCATTTAAACTTAGTTAACTCGTTAAGGACATTATCCCAAATACAGTCATTTTCTGAGATACTGGAGGTTAGGACTTCAACATATGAATTTGGGGGGAAGGTGGGAAGAGTTCAGCCCAGGACAAAGGCCCAGCGGTAAAGCATAGCGCATGGATTCTCCCACCTCCACCTGTTCCCCAGCCTTTCTCTGGTGCTCCAAGGCACCAGTGGCTGCTGCAAGTGGTATTTTTTTTTTTCTTAGTACATTACTATTTACATATTGTTGGTATGTAGAATTTTTAGAGTCTCAATATATTAGGCATAGAAACCCATTGTCTGTAATAAAAATTACAAATATTTTTCCAGTTTGTCTTTTTTTTTTTTTTTTTTTTGAGACAGAGTCTCGCTCTGTCACCCAGGCTGGAGTGCAGTGGCGCGATCTTGGCTCACTGCAAGCTCCGCCTCCCGGGTTCACGCCATTCTCCTGCCTCAGCCTCCTGAGTAGCTGGGACTATAGGCGCCCACCACCACGCCCGGCTAATTTTTTGTATCTTTCGTAGAGACAGGGTTTCACCGTGTTACCCAGGATGGTCTAGATCTCCTGACCTCGTGATCCGCCCGCCTTGGCCTCCCAAAGTGCTGGGATTACAGGTGTGAGCCACTGCACCTAGCCCAGTTTGTCTTTAAAAAAAAAAAAAAAAAAAAAACATACAATTTAAAAAAGTAATTGTAAAATTATAATTAATTATTTTTAAAATTGGGTCTGGATTTTGAGTGATAGTTGAGTTCTCTCTTGTGACAGAGGAAAAAATATAAATATAAATAAGGTGTCAGAGTATGTAGGGAGATTGGCATAGCTTGACCTGAGAATACCAGGTGGCCAGCAGAGACTTGGCTGAAGCAAGTAAACTTCTGTGGGCCTTGTTTCCTTCTCCACGTGATGGATGCTGCCCCCATTCCCTGTCCCCAAGCCCACACTATGAGTAACTTTTTTAAAAAGCCCTAAACTTTCAGTACCCGTAAGTGCTGTTTTATACCCAGGAACCTATAGGAAAGCTGGCGGGGGTGGGTGGGTGGAGGATGGACCATGAATAACAACATAGTTAGCAACATGCCAAACTTTTCCAGTTTTCCATCCAAGTGAGAGTGGCCCCGAATGCAGATCCTGTAATGCGGGATGGGTTGGGGTGAGGGTAGGAACTGAGCCTGGAAAAATCATTCGTTGCCCTCCTGCTTGCTGTCTGTGATTGTCAGATACGAGCAGAGCCTGCCAATATGCACTGTTCTCTGAAGTAGGCTCAGCTCGGGGAGAAATATTGATTATGACCACAGTCGTCCCTGTTTCAAAAGTTATTTTATTATGTTTGAAAGAAGTGATACGGTTGATGAAAGAAGATAAAAATATCTCTATGTGATATGACTTTGTGTTCGTGAAACCGTGTCCTTAAAAATAAATAACCAACTGGAGTTGTGGTGACTGCTGTTGCCTCTCAAATAGTCCCTTGGGAGGGGTCTAGATGTTTATCCCAAGAGGCCGCCTCACTTCTCAAACTGCTCCTTAAGAGTAATGTGTTCACTCTGATGTTAGTTTCTTTTGCTGTGCAGAAGCTCTTTAGTTTAATTAGATCCCATTTGCCAATTTTAGCTCTTGTTGCAATTGCTTTTGGTGTTTTTGTCATGAAGTCTTTGCCCATGCCTATGTCCTGAATGGTGTTGCCTGATTTTCTTCTAGGGTTTTTATGGTTTTGGGTTTTACATTTAACTCTTTAATCCATCTCGAGTTAATTTTTGTAAAAGGTGTAAGGAAGGGGTCTGGTTTCAGTTGTTGGCATATGGCTAGCCAGGTTTCCCAGAACCATTTATTAAATAGGGAATCTTTCCCCATTGCTTGATTTTGTCAGGGATGTTGAAGATGAGATGGTTGTAAATGTGTGGAGTTATTTCTGAGGTTTCTGTTGTCTTCCTTTGGTTTATATGTCTGTTTTGGTACCAGTACCATGCTGTTTTGGTTAATATGTCACCAAGTATTATCAACCTTGTTACCACCTCTCCACGCCCACTGCAGGCCCCTTTCTCTTCTCATTCTACACCCTCACCCAACCCTGCTCCAAGACACACACTCTTCTATACAATCTGTGAGTTTGTGTGAGTTTCTTGGTACCACAGAAGAGTTTTTAAAGTCATTTTCCAGTATCTTGGCTCCTGTACTTGCACATACAAATGATGCTCAGAGACCACTAAGGTACTTAGTCAGGGATGGTGATGGTGCCCTCATAAGGAGGAAGGGTGAGAGGGGTTTGCCTGAACAAAGAAAAATGTCTACGAATCTCAGACAACCAAAAATAGTCATCTTTTACTTTTAAATAAGAGACTATCCTACTTCTCACATTATTCTTTCTGAAAGGTATAAAAGCCCAAGGTGAGTGAAAAGCCCCTATTCTGTACAAATTCATTTTTGGATCTTTTTAAAAGAAATTGGGAGCCTATCACCTGATGACCTTGTACTGTTTCTTATGTGCATGTCTTTCAGGCAGCTTATAGATCGGGAGAAAATTTTTGCAACCTACCCATCTGACAAAGGTCTAAGATCCAGAATCTACAAGGAATTTAAACAAATTTACAAGAAAAAAACAAACAACTCCATCAAAAAGTGGCAAAAGTTGGAACAGACAATCCTCAAAAGAGGACATTTATGCAGCCAACAAACATATGGAAAAAAAGCTCATTATCGGCTGGGCACGGTGGCTCACACCTGTAATCCTAGCACTTTGGGAGTCCAAGGCGGGTGGATCACGAGGTTAAGAGATTGAGACCATCCTGGCCAACATGGTGAAACCCCCGTCTCTACTAAAAATACAAAAATTAGCTGGGCGTGGTGCCAGGAACCTGTAGTCCCAGCTACTTGGGAGGCTGAGGCAGAAGAATCGCTTGAACCCAGGAGTCAGAAGTTGCAGTGAGCCAAGATCATGCCACTGCACTCCAGCCTGGCGACAGAGCAAGGCTCCGTCTCAAAAAAAAACCAAAAAACCCAAAAAACAAAATGGTGATGTTTTGATATACATATATTATTGTCAAATGATTAACACAGTCAAGCTAATTAACATATCAAGTACCTCACATAGTTACCTTTTTGAGCATGTGGTGAGAACACTTGAGATTACCCTCTTAGCAAATTTCTTTTTTTTTTTTTGAGATGGAGTCTCGCTTCATCCCCCAGGCTGGAGTGCAGTGGCGCAATCTTGGCCCACTGCAACCTCCGCCTCCTGGGTTCAAGTGATTCTCCTGCCTCAACCTCCCAAGTAGCTGGGATTACAGGCGTACACCACCACACCCAGCTAATTTTTGTATTTTTAGTAGAGATGGAGTTTCACCATATTTGTCAGGCTGGTCTCGAACCCCTGACCTCAGGTGATCTGCCTGCCTCAGCCTCCCAAAGTGCTGGGATTACAGGCGTGAGCCACCACGCCCAGCCAGCAAATTTCAAGTATACAATATTAACTATAGTCACCATGCTGGACATTAGATCTCCAGAATTTAACCATCTTATAATGGAAAGTTTGTACACTTTGACAAACACCTTTTCCCCCAGCCTCTAGCAACCACCATCCTACTCTGTTTTTTTTTATTTGACTTAAAAAAAAATTCCACATATAAGTGAGATCAGGCAGTATTTGTCCCTCTCTGTCTGGCTTATTCCACTTAGCATAATATCCTCCAGCTTCATCCATGTTGTTGTAAAAGGAAAGATTTCCTTCTTTTTTTTTTTTTTTTGAGATGGGGTCTTGCTCTGTCACCCAGGCTGGAGTGCAGTGGCATGATCTTGGCTCACTGCAACCTCCGCCTCCCGAGTTCAAGTGATTCTTCTGCCTCAGCCTCCCGAGTAGCTGGGACTACAGGCACGTGCCACCATGTCCAGCTAATTTTTGTATTTTTAGTAGAGATGGGGTTTCACCATGTTGGTCAGGCTGGTCTCAAACTCCTGACATTGTGATCTGCCTGCCTTGGCCTCCCAAAGTGCTGGGACTACAGGCGTGAGCCACAGCGCCTAGCTGATTTCCTTCTTCTTTAAGGGTAAATAATATTTCTTTCTTCTTTTTTTTTTTTTTTGAGACAGAGTCTCACTCTGTTGCCCAGGCTGGAGTGCAGTGGCGCCATCTTGGCTCACTGCACCCTCCTTCTCCTGGGTTCAAGCAATTCTTCTGCCTCAGCCTCCTGAGTAGCTGGGATTACAGGCGTGGGCCACCGCTCCCGGCTAATTTTTTTTTTTGTATTTTAGTAGAGACGGGGTTTCACCATGTTGCCCAGGCTGGTCTTGAACTCCTGAGCTCAGGTGATCTGCACAGTGCTGGGATTACAGGTGTGAGCCACCATGCCTGGCCAATATTTCATTGTATGTACACATCATCTTTTCTTTATTTTTATTTTTATTTTTTTGAGGCAGAATCTCGCTCTTCTGCCCAGGATGGAGTGCAGTGGCATGATCTCATTTCACTGAAACCTCCACTTCCCGGGTTCAAGTGGTTCTCCGGCCTCAGCCTCCCGAGTAGCTGGGACTACAGGCGCCCGCCACAATGCCTGGCTAATTTTTGTATCTTTAGTAGAGACGGGGTTTAACCATGTTAGCAACGGTGGTCTTAAACTCCTGACCTCAAGTGATCCGCCCACCTCGGCCTCCCAATTTCTTTATCTGTTCATCCACTGAGAGACACACAGCTGGATTCCACATCTTGGGTATTGTGCATAATGCTCAATGGACATGGAAGTGCAGGTATCTTTTGAGATCGTGGTTGTCTTTCCTTTGGATTTATACCTAAAAGTGGGATTGCTGGGTCACATGGTAGTTCTATTTTTAATTTTTGGAGGACCCTCAGTACTGTTTTCCATAATGGCTGTACTAATTTACATTCCCACCAACAGTGTGTGAGGATTCCATTGTCTCCACATCCTCACCAACCACTTGCTATCTTTATTTTTCGAGTTTTTGATAGTAGCCATCCCACCAGGCGTGAGGTTATCTCATTGTGGTTTTGGTTTGCATTTGTTTCAGTTGTCAGTTTATTTCCTCTCAGCTCTCACCCACCCTTCTTTTTTCTGCCTTATGATCCTGGAACCGGACCCTGTTAACGTGGCTCCCTTACCAGCTGGCATAATGTGGAGTTTTGCCAGAGAAGGAAGCTGGAGGGACACTGGAGGACAAAGGAGCTTCTCTTCCTGTTTCTGGTGCATTTTCTTATTTTCTTATTTCTGGAGCTTTTGGCCATACCCCATGGTGCTTACCCCAGCAAGTTTCAGGGACATCGCAGTGGGTAGCTTCCAGTGGATTCTGACTGGGTAGACAAGGGGTAGACTTGTGATGGTTAATACTGAGTCATCTTGATTGGATTGAAGGAGGCAAGGTATTGTTCCTGAGTGTGTCTGTGAGGGTGGTACTAGGGTACCCTGGTACCCTGATAGGCAACCTCCCATTACCCACTGTGGGTGGCTTCCCAGCAAGTCTGGCCCACACTTTAGCAGGTGGTTTTACTGTTTGCCTGACTGGGCCTGTGACACCTCAGCAAACTTCAACACCAATCGGTGGGCCACACCCACAGCACTCTCTATCGAGGTCTGAATCTCAGCTCTGGAGGGGTTCTTCCAAATTTGTTTTTTTCCATGAGTACTCTCAGCTCTGGAGGTCATGGCTGTGCCCTTTAACCATGATCCCTGTGTTCTTTCATGTTCTCTTTAGCCCTTAGTAGTTAATCATTCTTTATATTAAATTTTACCTGTCCAAATCCCTTTGTGAATTGTGCCTTCTGTCTGAACCTAGATTAATCCAGATATGTATGAGCTCTTAAATTTGAATTGTTGACATTTCCTTTTCCAACTATTCACTTTTATACCTGACTTTGTATTTGTCCTGTAGTATTCTTTTTCTTAAAGGGATGTAAGAGATATAACTTTCTCAAGTTATATAAGCTTCAGGTCCATGAAACCTGGATCTGCCACTGTGAGGCTGGAAGGGACTCCGGGAACATCAGACTGTGTGGAGTGGCTGCCTCAAAGTTTCCATAGAGCCTGACCAGCTTTAGTCTCTGGAGTCAGAGCTGGTGGCAGAGACTACAGAACATGGCTCACACAGGGGTCTGATAGATCGTGGGTCACATCACCCCAAACAAACATCACAGTGTACTTGCATCCCACCTCACACCACGAGGCACTGGAAGAAGACACCACGTGGGAAAACAGGCTCACAGTGGGGAGGGGACACACATGCCCAGGATCCTGGGGAAGGTTGGGGAAGGTGAGTGGTAGGGTCTGGGCAAGGATTTGTGTCTCCTGATTCTCAGAGCTCAGTCATTTCCGTGAGGGAGCAGAAAGAGAGGGAGAGAGGGAAGTCTCTGAGCTGGGCATAGACTACATAGGCTACATCTTCCATTTCAGGTAAGGACAGGCCAGGCAACTCAGGCCAAACCTCTCCCATAGACAACTAGAAAAACTGGACTAAAGTTTTCTTGAGGCATCGGAGACCCCCCAAAAAGCAGTGAAAAATGACAGAGCCGAAATCTTGGAGGCAAAGGAACACCTGAAATATGAGCTTAGCATCTGGGGCGACTTTTCCCTTTGGAGGATCTGCCTGTTCCAGAAAAGGCAACTGAGAAGGAGAAAAGCTGAGCTAAGCTCTTGGCAGCCTCAGGGGTGAGGAATCATGGCTGACACCCCCTTTTCTTCATTCAATCCATCACCAAATTCTGTCACTTCTACCTGAGACTGTCTCTGGAATCCGTCCACTTCTCTCTACCTCCCAGACTGCCCTGGCTCAACTCACCCACCCTAATGTCTGAAACGTTGCCTTCACACCAGCACCCCTCCAATCTGTTCTCCATCCCAGAGTTCCTCCACAGAAGCTGCCAATAGGATCAGGCCACTCCTCTGCTTACTGCTTTACAATTTTTCAATGATTTCCCTTTATATTTTGCGTTCAGACCCAGGTCTTTAAGAGGACCCACACTGTCTGGCTCCGTCTGCTGCTCCAGCCTCATATCATACCATGCTTCCTCTGACTTTGCGGTCCAGGACACTGATTTTCCTTCAGCTCTGTGGCCTTTTCTGCCACGGGGCCTTTGCACATGCTCTACTTCTGCCTGCAATGCTTTCCAATCTCCATCTTTCAGATCATTTCTTAGCTCTACTGGGACGCAGGGGCGAGCATACTTGATGGGAAAAGTATTTCTCACTCATCTAATCTGCTTTCCATGGATGTGTGAACCATGGAGACAAAACTGAGACACCATCATCCACCTGGTGCAGGGCATCTTAAAGGAGGATTACTCAGAATTGAAGCAAATCCTATCAGGTTCCACAACGAGAAAGTAAGTATTTGAAGTGGGCCCCCTTTCTTGGGAGAGGTCTGGTATTCCCTCTGAAAGCCTATGGTGGTTGTTCACAGAGTGGTTTTTCTCTGCCCAGATAATCGGGTTGATCTGAATTGTCCTCATCCCAGCTGAATTAATAAGGCCTCTATCAGGTTGTAGGGTTGCAGGTAGAGCAAAACGTTGCAGGAAGCCTGATAGGTACATCTGCCATGGAATGTTAAGGAAGAAAATTAGGTGAATTAAACACTCCTGGTTCTTTGTTTGGCTCATGGGATTTGGTTCATTGTTAAGGACTTGGGACATGTACGAAATTGGGAGGAGACTTCACAATGGGCAAAGTTTTATCTAACAAAATCATCTAATAAAATCCTTGTGAATGTTTCCCTCTTTGAGGACTTGAGTTTGTGCTGGGACATTGCTGCCTTCTTCAGGAAGAGGCAGCACACTATGGACAACAAAATTTTCTGAGACTGTGCAGGTCAAAGTTTCCTGTAAGGCACACTGGGAAATGAACAGGCCACAGCGACTGTTATGAGAGGTAGAGCAGGGAGGCAGGAAAACTCATGGGGGAAAATGGATGATCCATCCAAACCTGTAAGGTGACCATGTGTGTGCGCCTTAGGGACCGTGCTAATTGGGCTTAATGAGTTTGGTATTTTTGGCGTGTTCGTGTGTGCACATGTAAGCAAGGATGCTCACATCCTTAATAGAAAAGCAATTGACTGTGCCGTTGCCCAAATGCAGTCCTATATGACTAAACTCTTAGCGGGATGACAGAAATCACTTGGAATGGGACAAGCAGGTCTTGACAAATTACTGAGACAAGAAATAAATGGACATAGCGTAGGGAAAGAACAGCGCCAACTCAGAAAATTAATGTTTCTAGGTGTCAGATTTTTCTATTCCATTCTAAAATTTTAGTGTCCTTACCATTTTCTCTGAGTCTACTGAGAACAGTTACACATCTGAATGGGAGCATTAAACTAGTGTCTGGCCTTCATTCACTCTTCATATGGGACATCACAGTCTTGGGCCCTCAGAAGCACGAGGGCCAGTACCCTCTCCCATAGTCATCTGCTCACAGCACTGCGAGCTCTCAGTCTAGAGACACAGTCCACACAACCTCCCACATAGGTGGCTGGTCCAGCCTTGCAGATTTTAGTCAGAGAGCTTCTTCCAACAGTATTTTGAAGGTCATCTGGATGTTTGTCTCCTCACTTAGGTGCTTAATCCCACTTTTTTTTTTTTTTTTTTACTTTATTGATTCCTTTTCCATGGATCAAATCCTGTCTCCAAGCAGTACCTACTAAACAGCTGGCACTGCCAGACTCACCCAAATGAGGCTACAGTAGATGCAACTATATTAGCATAACAAGTGACCAAGATTGGACCAGGTTAAAGGATCACAGTCCCCTCCTCCTACCGGAATTATAATCCCCTCAACCTGATCCTGAACTTTCTACTCAGCTCTCTCCCTCTAAACGACTTCCCATTTCCTGAACATGCCTCTTTCCAACTTTCTAATATAATTTCCACCACCTGAGGCCCCTCACTCAATTTATATGTATGAAAAGTTGCCTACTGTTCATACACATTTACACATATGTGTGCATATGTACATGTGTGCACACACAGGAAAGTGTACAAAGTAGGGCAGACTCACTGTAGTTATGGCTTTTTATTTGTGGCAGTCATGGCGAAAACCATGTTTCTGGTTTGGGCAGCCAGACAGTGACATTTACTGAAGTAGAATCACGTTTGGGAGAGAAGATGATGAGGTCATTAACAGACATGTTGGGTTTGAGATGCTTATGAAACATCCAATTAGTGATATACAGCTCTCTCGCACATGTAAATTATAGCTCAGGAGATCGCTCAGAGCTATGACAACAACAACAATATTAATCATGCCTAACGCTCATGTAGTACTTATTAAGAGCTAGGTATGAATT
Organism: Homo sapiens; assembly: GCF_000001405.40. Lineage (NCBI taxonomy): Eukaryota > Metazoa > Chordata > Mammalia > Primates > Hominidae > Homo > Homo sapiens. The sequence continues at coordinate 32,319 of NW_025791797.1, forward strand.
TGAATATTTTGTTAATTCTCTTAATTCTTACTATGTCCCCATGAGATAGTACCTCCAATTTACAGACAAAGAAACAGAGAACAAGAGATTTAAGTAAGTTTCCTATTATCACAACCAGACATATAGATTTTGGAGTGAACAGTATATATATAATAATTAAGGTCCAAGAAATAGACGAGATGTTTCCAAATAATAAGAATATAGAGTGAAAAGAGCCAAGGAAGCATGCTGAGAAATCCCAATATTTTAGGAATGGATAGAGAAAGAGGAGCTTGTGAATGAGACTAAGAAGGAGCAAGCAGAGAAGGAAGAAAAACATGGAACTCGAGGGAAATGAGCATTTCAAGAAGCAATAAAGAAGCTTAGCAGGTAAAAAGCAGAGAACAAGATGATAAAATTAGTCTGGGCACGGTGGCTGACGCCTGTAATCCCAGCACTTTGGGAGGCTGAGGTGGGCAAATCATGAGGTCAGGAGATTGAGACCATCCTGGCTAACACAGCGAAACCTCGTCTCTACTAAAAATACAAAAAATTAGCTGGGTGTGGTGGCACACGCCTGTAGTCCCAGCTACTCGGGAGGCTGAGGCAGGAGAATGGCATGAACCCAGGAGGTGGAGGTTGCAGTGAGCCTAGATTGCGCCACTGCATTCCAGCCTGGGTGACAGAGCGAGACTCCGTCTCAAAAAAAAAAAAATTGTAATGGAACAAAGAACATATTTTTACATAAGTAAATGGTGTAATTGCAATGAAGAAGTAAATTATAGAAGTCCATGCATTGAATAATTGTTGGACAGAAGATAGAAATTTTAAAAATAATAAAAAATGCAGACAGTAACTTTTTTTTGAGAAGGAGTCTCACTCTGTCACCCAGGCTGGAGTGTAGTGGCACAATCTCGGCTCACTGCAACTTCCGCCTCTCAGATTTAACCAATTCTGCCTCAGCCTCGGAGTAGCTGGGACTACAGGCGTGTGCCACCATGCCCAGCTAATTTTTCTATTGTTTGGTAGAGACGGGGTTTCGCCATGTTGGCCAGGCTGGTCTCAAACTCCTGACCTCAAATAACCTGCCTGCCTTGGCCTCCCAAAGTGCTGGGATTATAAGCGTGAGCCACTGTGCCTGGCTGCAAGATGGTAACTTCTGGTTCAAAATTAATGTTTGGTCAGCAATTCCCAGTGCAGTCTCTACTGGCTTCTCATTAAAATATTTTGAAAAGGCCGGGTGCAGTGGCTCACATCTGCACTCCCAGCACTTTGGGAGACCAAAGTGGGTGGATTACCTTAGGTCAGGAGTTCGAGACCACCCTGGCCAACATGGTGAAACCCTGTCTCTACTAAAAATACAAAAAAATTAGTCAAGTGTGTTGGCACACTCCTGTAATCCCCGCTACTTGGGAGGCTGAGGCAGGAGAATCGCTTGAACCTGGGAGTCAGAGGTTGCAGTGAGCTGAGATTGCGCCATTGCACTCTGCCTGGGTGACAGAGTGGGACTCAATCTAAAAAAAAAAAAAAAAAAAAAAAGCGGAAGGAAAACTTACCACAATATTGAAAAAAAATAGTGCAGAAAACTCAGTAGATGATTCTAAGAAAAAAATCACTCTAGCTAGAAGGCAGACAGAACCGCATTAAGAAAAAGCCTGTGAGAATTGTGTAACAGGAGTTGCAGAAAGGGAGAGGGAATAAAAAATATTTGAAGCAATAATGTCCCAAGTTTTCCAAATTTATTTAAAAATGTAAACATACACATCCAAGAGGTTTTGTGTTATGTACTGAATGTGTTCTGTGTGAATGTGAATGTGAATGTACTGAAGCCCTAACCCCTAATGTGATGGCATTTGGAGGTGGAGGCCTTTGGGAGATAATTAGGTTTAGGTGAGTTCATGAGGGTGGGCCCCCCATGATGGGGTTAGTGTCCTTATAAGAAGAGAGAGACCAGAGTGGGCTTGCTTTCTCTCATGTGCAGCCTCTCTTTCATTCTCTCTCTCTGTCTCTCTATCTTCAAGGTGAAAACACAGCAATAAGTTAGCTATCCGCAAATGAGGGAGAGGGCCCTCACCAGGAACCAAATCTACCAGCAGCTTGGGTCTTGAACTTCCCAGCCTCTAGAACAGGGAGAAATGCATGTCTTTTGTTTAAGCCACCAATCTATGGTATATTGTTGACCTAATACACTCAGCAAACCCCAAAAAGGACAAAGAAAACTACAGTAAGGAACATCAGAGTAAAATTGCTGAAAATGAGGGATTAAAAAAATTCAAAAGACCCCCAGAAATTAAAGGAACACTACAAACAAGGGAACAAAGCTGGGAGAAGGAAAATTGTAGACTATTGGTTATAAAATACGCAAGCCAGAAGAAAATGGAATGGCTTGTTTCAAGTGCTGAAATAAATCTGTCAACCTAGAATTTTATATCCACTGAAGATATCTTTCAAAAATAAGTGTGTAATAAAATTTTTTCCCACACAAAAAAGCTGAGATAATTCATTGCCAGTAGACCTGCACCACAAAAGATATAACAGCAATTTTTTTAGACAGAAGGAAAATGACACCAGATGGAAATCGAGACTTGGACAAAAGAAAAAGAAAAAAAGAGCACTGGAAATGGTAAACATGGGTAAATATAAGATACACAGCTGGGTGCAGTGGCTCACCCCTGTAATCCCAGCACTTTGGGAAGCCGAGGTGGGTGGATCACGAGGTCAGGAGATCAAGACCATCCTGGCTAACATGGTGAAACTCCATTTCTACTGAAAATACAAAAAATTAGCCAGGCGTGGGGGTGGGTGCCTGTAGTCCCAGCTACTCGGGAGGCTGAGGCAGGAGAATGGTGTGAATCTGGGAGGCAGAGCTTAAAGTGAGCCAAGATCATGCTACTGCACTCCAGCCTGGGTGACAGAGTGAGACTCCATCTCAAAAAAAAAAAAAAAAAAAAAAGATACACTTTTTTCATTAAAAAAATTATTTTGAATACAATTGACTGTTTAAAACAAATAAAATAAAGTATATTATGGAGTTTATGATATATGTAGACATAAAAAGTAAGAAAAGAAGAACACGAAGGATGGGAGGGAAAAATATAAGTTCACTGTTGTAAGTTTCATACATAATATATGAAGTGGTAGAATATTATTTGTAGGTAGACTGTGATGTTGTTAAAGATGAATATTATAAACCTAAAGCAGCTACTAAAACAAAACACAACAAAAAGCTATAGTTGATAAGCCAATTGTTGAAATGAAATGGAATCCTAAAAAGTAATAATTAACACAAATGAAGATGGAAAAAGAGGAAAAAGGGAATGAAGAACAAATGGGAAAAATAGAAAACAAATAGAAAGATGGTAGATTTAAACCCAACCTTATTAATGATTAAATTAAATGTAAATGGTCTAAGCGCTCCAACTAAAAGATATTGTCAGATTGAATTTTAAAAAGGAAGAACCAATTATATGTTATCTATAAGAAACTCACTTTAAAACAAGGATATATATATGGGTTAAAATTAAGGATGAACAAAATACTGTGTAAACACTAGTTAAGCACCCAAGAAGCCCACTTAGTCACTACACCAGCAAATGTGGAAGGCCAGCTCAATTTTGTTTATAGATTTGCCATCCTTCTAAAAGTTGACTCAACTTTCAAAAAAGAATTGCACCCTACAATGAAGTTGTACCCACTAGTTTCTATGGGCTACTTCCTCTTGCATGTGTTCTGGGAGGCCTGTGTGGGAAGCATCTTCCATGTTGCAAAATAAGGTGTGATCCCAGTCCTCAATTGACACGTCTATTCTCAAACCAGGTGCACTTTCAGTAGCTCTAGCACAGATACCACTGCTATCTCTAAATAGTCTTTTCTCCCTCCATGCAACATGTCTTGGGGCTATTTTCATCCCCGAGAACCAATCTGTTTAGCTTCCAAAGCAGGTACCTCTTGGCTCAGTTCAGTGGAATTCAAACAAATATAGCTAGACCCTGCATCACAGCTCTCTAATTCTAGGCAGCTATGCACTTTAAGTTAGAGGAAAGGAAGGAGTAGCCGGCAGACCAAATCAGTCTTACTGGTCCGCTGCTAGGCTGGTCACATGTTGTGGTCTCTTCCAATCCCACCCCCCCCTTATACCATGAAGAACCCCACACATCTGCTGGTGATTAGGAGCAGTAAAGTTGTGGTCTAATTCTTTCTCAACCAAAAGCACACACGCATGTGCACACACACTTAATTAAAAAAAAAGCCTAACAAATTCCTTTTTAAAAAGTAATTTAATTCTGACCAAAGCAATATATGTGCATAATTTTAAAAGACAAATGATACTGAGTGACTTATAGGAAAGTAGGCAGTCCTCTACTGTAGTCTCCTGGAACCTCAGTTTCTGCTTCCCATCTTCACCACTCAGAAGAAATCCTTAAAACTCTTCTAAGTTTTTCTTCTGTCTCTCTTTTTAAAATCTTGATATTTCTACACAACATGTTTATACTACTGCTTATGATTTTTGAAATTTTAGAAATCATCTATCGACTTTATGACTGAAATTCTATTATACTTTCTAAACCACCATACATTCCCTCTCCCCGTCCTCCCAGTGTAGTTATCACTTTTTTTTTGAGACGGAGTCTCACTCTGTCGCCCACGCTGGAATGCAGTGGTACTATCTCAGCTCACTGCAACCTACACCTCCTGAGTTCAAGTGATTCTCCTGCCTCAACCTCCCAAGTAGCTAGGACTACAGGTGCCTGCCACCACGCCTGGCTCACTTTTTGTGTTTTTAGTAGAGATGGGGTTTCACCATGTTGGCCAGGCTGGTCTGGAACTTCTGACCTCAGGTGATCTGCCCACCTTGGCCTCCCAAAGTGCTGGGATTACAGGCATGAGCTACTGCTCCCAACCTATATCACATTTTTTTGTCAAGTGAAGATTTTGTATTGTCATTGTGACTATGAAAATACTATTCATAGCTAGAGCATGTATTATGATTTTACTTAACTTATACCATTTTAAATAATTGTCTTACTTTTTATTTCCTGAGTTTTATAGACATTAATTATCACTGATTCAGCCCCAAACATTCTGAAATAACTCTTACACATTTCTGATGCTGTCACACACACTCAAGTAACATCCGAGTTTCCTGGTTTTCCCTTACAGACAGCCCTCCTGGAGTGAGTTCTGCTTTTAGGAACTCACTCGCACTGCTTAACCCATCCTGTCCTCTCCCTTTGCAAGTGCTTTTATCTCAATTCCTGAAACTTCCCAGGCTTCTGGGCTGGGAGTCAGTTTCTTTTTACCAGTTTCTCTTCCCCTGCAGGCAGTCAGATTTCTGCTTTCACAGCTAAGTCTGTACCATTCATACAACTGCTTTACATATTCACAAATTTGATTGACATCTGTAGTCTGTCATTCTCCTTCTTATTCCTTTAGTGTCCTTCTATGAGGTTTTGGGAAGAGGTGGAGGTAAACATGTGTGTTCCATCTGCCTTGGTTAAGTGAAAACTTCCTTCAATCAATTCTTAACTTCATTGTTCAAGTGATAGAATCGGTCTAAAGTCATGCTTAATTAACAATGGGGATAGGTTCTGAGAAATGCATCATGAGGTGATTTCATCATCATGCAAACTTCATAGGGTATACATGCACAAACCTAAATGGTCTAGTCTACTATACACCTAGCCTATATAGTGTGGCCTATTGTTCCTAGGCTACAGACCTGTACAGTATGCTACTGTATTGAATATTGTAGGCAATTATAACATAATGGTAAGTATTCGTGTATCTAAACATAAATAAGGTACACTAAAAATACAGTATTAGGCCTTGGTGCAGTGACTTATACCTATAATCCCAGTGCTTTGGGAGGCAAGGCAGGAGGATCTTTTGAGGCCAGGAATTTGAGACCAGCCTGGGAAACATAGTGAAACTCCATCTCTGCAAAAATATTTTTAAAAATTAGCTGAGTATGGTGGCTTGCACCTGTAATCCTAGCTACTTATTGAGAGGTAAGGTGGGCAGATAGCTGTAGCCCAGGAGTTGGAGGCTGCAGCGAGCTATGATCGCATCACTGCATTCCAGCCTGAGTAACAGAGTGAGATCTTGTCTCTAAAAACAAACAAGCAGCAAAGAAACAAAAACAGTATTAAAATCTTATGGGACCACTATTGCATATGTGGCCCGTTATTAACCAAAATGTTGTTTTGTCATGATTGTATTCGGAGTAAAAGGAGTGGTTAAGGAATAGTCTACTCAGCTCATCCCCATGTACCATTTCTGAGTAGTAGGCCTTATTCCAAGCTTGGGGGCACCCTTTATAGTCAATCATATTTCTCTGTCTTCTCAGTATCTCTTCCACATGTACTCGCAGTCCATAATGACTCTGTCAGTGCAGAAGCAGAAGGAGATGCCCTTGGATCTCTTCCGTCCCATCTCTTGCTGTCAGCCCTTTTACCCCTCATCTTTTTCCTGGGCCCTGGCCCTGGCTATGCATTGTCAGTCTGTGGATTAGCCCTTTGGAGTGGGTTTTCCTGTTTTGTCCAGACCCGTTGCTGGAGACAGGGTAAAGGGAGCCTCAGATCCGGCTGGTGGGATGGAAAAAGGCCATTATGGTCATCTGGTCTCCAGGTGGATTACCTAAAATATATCAGATATCTTGTGCTGTTGGCATATCTCCTGTGTTTTATTATCCTGAGGAGTGTCTGTCTTCTTCTAAGACTTGGGTAATATTATGAGCATCTTGTTCAATTATCTTAGCCTGGAGGGGGTGGGCTCTAGGAAGAAAATGGAGGAGGGAAAAAAATTACAAAAATATTTTTTAAATTTAAGCAAATAATGTTGGATGTATCAATTAGAATTTTATGATCCCTAATTCTTTGTTTTTAAAGGTACACAAATAAATAAATAAAAGTGCAAAGGAGCTGAATGAAGTTATGTTATAGCTCTTGCCTTTTTTCATTCTATCTGGGCGGCCTCATTAATTTGGTATAAACCCTCTGTATGCCACGATTTGCTTAATAGTTTCCTATGGTGCACCAAGTTCTATAAAATCAATTTTTAGGCAGCAAAGTGGAAATAAGACACTTCAAAGAGATACATCTGATATATTGGATATAAATTCTAGGAATTTGTTAAATATGTACTAGAGACATGAAAATAAAGTTGAAGTACCCTTAGAAGGATTGGCTAAAAAATAGTTACTAATATGATCAAAAGTAGAGGAATCAGAAAGACATCAAAACTTACCCCAAATCTCCAAAAGCGTGGGTTGTGCCCTGAACAAGATGCCTACTCAAGGAAGCACACTTAGACTTCACTCCCTAGGTTAAATGCCTGTGGGAATCTCATGTCACATGTGAACTAGAATAGATCATACAACTGTAAATTTTAGAAAAATGTGTCGTTAAGGGAATCGATGCTTTGGCTTTTATGCAAACAGCTTCTTCAGGGCCCTCCAGCAAGTCGGGACCGAGATTGGGTGGCACCTGGTACTTCTCTCCTACACACTTTATCTGGGTCTTGTGAAGAACAGAAAAACAAGAGCTGGACCTTGGACTCTGAGACTGCATAGCCAAAGTACCCAGTTTAGAGAGTTAAGAAATTTCAGGTATTCAGGGAAACTCGAGTGTTTCAGTCCATTCAACCAAATTATTTGCAAGAGCCTGAACATCCAAACTTCCAGAACCACTTAAAATTAGACCCCATATTGGGAAATCAAGAAAATGTAAGACAGAAATCAAAGGGTCAAGATTGTATAAAAGATAAACTCACAAATCCCAGGAGACAACCCTACCAATGTCCTTCAAAGGTAGAGAAGAGTCTCAAATTATTTTCCTGAAACTGAAGAACTTGGAAAATGAGTTGGGGCCAGGTCTGGAACATCCAGCATTTGCTACCTTAGGGCGGGCATGCTCCCCTCCTGGGGGGATGTGTGAGGGCCACACTTTCCTGGAAGTGAGCTGCAGAGAGAAGAGGAGATGGGGGTCCTTTTCCCCACAATCAGAAGGAAGTATGAGAGGAAAACGCAGGTTCCCAGGATCACATTCAAGTGGAGATGAGGGGGCTGGAGGGAACTAACACCAGCTGGACACAATTTTCTATATAGAAATCAGGTGAGGTCATCCCACAAGTGTCAGTCGGGGGAAGGGCAAAAGCAGAATGGAAAACAGGAGAGGACGGGTTGTTTTTGAAGTTTTGAGCCTTAAATGTATTGCACGGGGGTGGCCAGGATTAGGTGATTGGTGATTTGTTTTGTTTTTAAACAGAAGTGATGGACCTGCAAAGGAGAAAATTCAGGGCATTTGTGCATTGTCATTGATTTAAGCATTATTATTTAATTCCTCTTTTAAAACTTTCTGCTAGATGTAGTCAAAAGCTATGAACTTAATGTAGTTTCTTCATGCATATAGAAAAGTGCACATATTTTAAGACTAGGACTCAATGGACTCACAGAATTAACCCTCGTGTGCACACAGACTGAGAATTCAAATATTAGCGGCACCCATGGCTTCATCGTGACCCGTTCCTGTCAGGACTGCCTCTCCTAAGGGTAAACAGTATCCTGATTTCTAACAGCTTACATCAGTTTTGCCCAAAACGAAATGAACTTTGAAGTCAGTCCCTTCCTGCTCTGCAAACCCATGGGTAAGATTTTTAAGTCATTCAGTGGCTTCTCAAAAATTGTTTTGTGTGTGGGCAGTTTGTCAGGTTCTGTACTAGTTTCGTGGGCGGGGGGGGGGGGTGTGTGTGTACAGAAGCGGGCAAGGTAAACTTTGTCTTCCAGAAGCTTGACCAAAATGAGCTGGCAGAGCACGAGGAGGCTGGGTGCGGAGTGTGTGCGTCGGCACCCTGAAAGTCCTCCATCACTTCAGCTGCACTGGCTCTCCTTCCCCAGAGGGAGTGGGCAGGAAAGGGTCAGGAGTCAGGCAAAGCCACAAGGATGGAACAGTGCCAGTGAGTCTAACACAGGCTTACTAAGCCAAATTTTCCAGCTCAGGGTCTGGTAGTGAGGAGAATAAAGCCATCCGTCACTACAGTGAAATAAAGATCACATTAAGGCACAAAGTAATCCAGTCTCCAAATACACACCATGTAATACTAAATGAATAGTCTTGCATTTCTCTGGTCAGGGAAAAGCACTTGAAGGAGTCAGAGGCAGGGACTCACTAGACTCCAGCCACTTCTCTAGACTCCTGCTTTTCCTAAGACCACATGGGACACTTTATGGAAAGCTGCCCATGTGTTTCAAATGTGAGCTTCTATAGAATAAAAACCTTCATCTCTACTGACTTGGCTCCCAGCACAAGGCCAGACACTCTTAGGTGCTTAATAAATGTGTGTCAAATAAATGAAGCAATGAATGAAACCTAGTGTGCTTTAGAGCAAGGAATAGTCAAGTGCACCCAGGTCCTGGTTCTCTCCAGGCCAATGTGCGGGCTTCTGTAGCCACAGCCTGTGAGGCGAGTCAATCACATTTTGTTGCGTAACACTTCATCTTTCCGAGCTCTGTCTCCTCATCCCTGACTTGGTCACGCATATCTCAAAGAGTGGCCATGAGAGTGCACCGTGGGCCTGGCACGTTCTGTGCACACTGTGAATTCTTTCCCCTCGCATATCCAGGGGCCTCCTATGGCCTGGGCTGTGGAAGGTGGCTGCAGGCCACTAGTTCTGTGCTTCATGGGTTGGGGCATATTCTATTCCTTGGACAAAATCTGGCAAAATCAGGCTCAGAACTTTATACCCACCAGGGCCAAAGTGATGATGATATCAGCCTCTAAAGTTTACCAGCAGAGATGCTAACCCAGAAGAGAAAAAATGCCATCCCCATGGCCAAGGGAAAGACATAGCTGGTACTCAGCTATTTTCCATCCAGTCAATTTATCGAACTCAGGAGCTGTTGGCTGTGCATGTTCACTATTCATGTAACGAAGGTGTGTTAAGTAGAAAAACTGCATCCTGGGTCTCTGTGAGACTGATGGGGACTTGTCACCTACAGCCTTGCTACTAACTGTGGTCCCAGACCAGCAACACTGTCATCACCTTGGAGCTTGGTAGAAATGCAGAGGCTCAGGCCTTGGGCCCTCGTGCAGACCCAGGGAAACAGAACCTGCATTCTAACCGGTGCCCCAGGGGATCCACGTGCACATTAAAGATTGTAAAGCACTGCTTTAGAGAGCGATGGAATCACCCTGGACAGTGTGCATTTTAAAGCTCCGCTGTTTTACTTTCAGGTCCCTCACTGCCCCCTATAGACCGTAATCCTAACAGTAATAGACTAACTAAAATACAAATCAACTCAGGGATAGACACTGTCTAAACTTTTCTTGTATGATTAGAGGCACACATAACACAAGGGGGAGATTCCTGAAATACCAGATGCTAAGTACATTGCTGCTACATTTGCAAATGCAGCAGCATCTTACACTAAAAGGGAACCACAATTTCTTTTCACAAGGACAACTGAAAAGAGAAATATAAAGTCAATCTGGGGATTTATTTTTTTTCTATGACTCATAGAAAAATGGGTAGAAAAAGCACACTTTTTAGTGGCCCAGCAAGCATTTTGGCCTTAAAATTAAATGTGTCATTCTTTCTGGATTTTCTTAGAATAATTTAGTAAAATACAATTCTGTAACTATTGCCTCTGAGTCTTGATGACTGGTGTCTTCAATGCATTCATTTAGCATATTTTGTAAAAAGAATTTGACATTTTTTCTCAAAGGGGAATGGGGACAATGGGCACAGTTAAAGCATTAGTACCAGTTGGTGACTGGAGTAGACAGGTAGAGGAGTTTAAGCAAGCTTAGACCGGTGGGATCTAGGGCAACAATCTCCCATGGCCAATGAAGGCCAGAGATTTCTATGTAACCCTGACCAGTGACCAGGAAAGGATCAAGCCATAGGTAATAATGCTACTAATTAAACGTCTCGTGCATTTAACGGCGCTTCCTTAGGTCCTACAACACCTGTGAGGACATTGTTATCAATCTCATAGTGCTCTTAAGGGGCCAGGGCTCCCACAAGATCAGGGACAAGGCCACATTAGATGGGAACTTCCTATCTTTTGTGACAGCTGCTGTGGACACCTGGCCAGATGTCCCCACGAGAAGACCCTATTTCCTGTGCTCCCTCCGCTGCTGACCATCACGGCAGGATTCCCAGCTGTTAGTGCAACCTCTGGCTGCAGAGAAAACACACCGTTCCTTGGAGGTCAGTACTAGCAGGACCACTGCTCACTTCCCCCTGAATGCACAACATGACAATGACCTCTCACATTTTCTTGGCCCTTAACACCACCTACTTTTACCACCACTCCTCTTTAATCATCACCCCCAACTTCATGTTAAATCTGATACATTATTTTAGGTGCTTGTCTGCTCTATTCATGGTTATTTATTTATTCATTAACTGAATATTTATGTTTTTTGAGCCGCTCTAGGACTCCAGCTATTCTCTGGTATTGGGAGGTTGCAGTAAATAAAGCAGATTAATTCTCTTGCCCTTCTAAAGCTGCGTTGTCCAACACAGTAGCACTAGCCACGTGTGGCTATTTAATTTTAATTAATTAAAATTAAATTCAAAATGAAAGCATCCATTGTCAACTTTTCAGTGATTGATAGCCACAGTTGGGTAGTGGTTGCCAATATTGGACAGCACAGATAGAGAACATGTCCATCATCATAGAAAGTTCAACTGGGCAGTGCTGCTTAATAGTGCTTTCACTCACTCTGGTAGTGGGAGATAAATGACAATCTAAAACATATATATGTATGTGTATATATATACATATATACTAAAATATCAGGTAGATAAAGTGCCATGGAAGGGAATAAAGTGAGTAGAGGGAATAGATAGAAAATGATGGCATTGTGTGCTTTTTGTTGTTTTTGTTGATTTTTAGAGACAGAGTCTCTCTCCGTTGCCCAGGCTGGAGTGCAATCATAGCTCACTCCTGCCTTGAACTCCCGGGCTCAAGTGATCCTCCTGCCTTGGCCTCCCAAAGTGCTGGGATTACAGGTGTGAGCCACTTCGCCCAGCCGGGGACTGCTATTGTAACCATTGACTCTAGTGGTCACTTCCTTTTTCTCCGAATTCCTCCTCTGGTAGCATGATACCATTTTCTATGTGTTCTTCTACCTATATGGCTGATGCCATAGGGATGGGACAGCTCTTCTTGAGATTCTTCCAGTAAGAACTGAAAATTTCTGTGGCAACATTTTTGCATGCCACACCATTAAAATGAGCTGTTGTGTCAAGACTCAAGATGCTAGTGTGCTTTTTTAAAAGTTAGAAGTAAACGACATGAAACTAACCACTATAGACTCACAGTTCAGAAAGGCTTACCTCTGTCGCTTCTCAACACCACCACAAGGTGGCAGCAGGGGTTTATGAACGCCATCTGCGTCGCTCGGCTAATTCCTCATCCCCAACACAAACTTTTATGCATCTCTTTAGTAGAAGTGAAAAATAAATCCTCCAGGGTAAAATATGGAAATGTAAAATGGCACCTATGTAATTAACAAAGGCTAATTGGAATTACAGCATGGCCCAGAATTCTAACTGAATGTTTGTTGATAGGTTCCGGAAAAGCAGAGTCAAGCATTGTAGATAACTATGACATGCATTAATTCCCTTTTGCCTTTACTATTGAGATGCATAGCAGTTGTGCAGTGTGCTCTTTACCCCATCCTTTTTTTTTTTTTTTTTTTTTTGAGACAGAGTCTCGCTCTGTCACCCAGGCTGGAGTGCAGTGGTGCCATCTCGGCTCACTGCAACCTCTGCCCTGGGTTCAAGTGATTCTCGTGCCTCAGCCTCCCAAGAAGCTAGGTTTACAGGCAAGTGCCACCACACCCACACACCCAACTAATTGTGTGTGTGTGTGTTTTTTTTTGAGACGGAGTCTCGCTCTGTCGCCCAGGCTGGAGTGCAGTGGCGCGATCTCGGCTCACTGCAAGCTCCGCCTCCCAGGTTCACGCCATTCTCCTCAAGGCTGAGGGTTCACACCTCAGCCTCCCAAGTAGCTGGGACTACAGGCGTTCGCCAACACTCCTGGCTAATTTTTGTATTTTTAGTAGAGACGGGGTTTCACCTTGTTAGCCAGGATGGTCTCAATCTCCTGACCTCGTGAATCGCCTGCCTCGGCCTCCCAAAGTGCTGGGTTGCAGGCGTGAGCCACCGCGCCCGGCCTCATCCAAGTAATTATATTTTTTAGTAGAGACAGCGTTTCTCTATTTGGCCAGGGTGGTCTCGAACTCCTGGCCTCAAGTGGCCTGCCTCGGCCTCCCAAAGTGTTGGGACTACAGGCGGGAGCCGCTATGCCCGGCCCCATCCTCATTTTTAAACAAATAAAAATACTTCAGATTTTTCCTCTACATTTTAAAATGAAAAGTCTTTCTGGCCTTTTCTTAACTGTCAATTGATTTTCCCTCAGCTTCTTGTAAAACAATAAGCAAAGAAAATCTGTACGTTTGTTCCCAGTTGTGATCTTGTGAGTTCAAGGCAAATTGCCATGTTCAACATCTGGGATTCATCATGTCTGCTGTTACCTCATCGGTGGGCACACATCTTTCCCAGATGTGGAAAAAAAAAACAAAAAAACACCTATGAAGTTACAAGGAAAGCAAAAACAGTATCTGTGCTTTCAGCTTTCTGCTGCAGCCAGGTATGTGAGGGAATTCAACTGAGAGAAATAATGCTTCTAGATCTGGTTTATCTAAATACTTGGCACACTGCACAACTGCTATGCAGTTAGTGGGCCAAAGCCCCACCCTTTCATGCACAAGTAACCCAGGAGGCCTCCTAAGAAGAAAGTTTGGGTAAGAGATTTTTTTTTTTCAGGAAAAAAAGAGAGAGAGAAAGCTAGACGTAGAGAGGTCATGGTTAAGCTAACATTTTAAGGTTAATAGAAGGCATCAGTATTTGAACTTGGCTCTCCGAGGTCTGCCAGGCACTGCAATCTGGAGCGTGTATTAGGCTACAGGTTGATGAGTTGTTGTTGTTGTTTTTGTTTGTTTTTTGTGTTTTTTTTTTTTTGAGACAGGTCTCACTCTGTTGCCCAGGCTGGAGTGCAGTAGTGCAATCTCAGCTCACTGCAAACTCCACCTCCCAGGTTCAAGTGATTCTCCCACCTCAGCCTCTGAGTAGCTGGGACTACAGGTGTGCACCACCACGCCCGGCTAATTTTTTGTATTTTTGGTAGAGACGGGGTTTTGCCCTGTTGCCCAGGCTAGTCTCCAACTCGTGGCCTCAAGTGATCCACCCGCATTGGCTTCCCAAAGTGCACTGGGATTACAGGTGTGAGCCATTGCGCCTGGCCAGTGAATTTTTTAATGACATTAAATTCAATTCAAGGCAAGTGGAAGACACAAATCCCATATCCATGTTTCTTTGCCTCGTTTCTCCTCCTCCCGCCTTTTTTTTTTTTTTTTTTTTTTTTTTACAAGATGCTTCTCTAATGACTGTGTATCATGGGAGCAATGAAAACTGCATTTTACATACATATATATAGTATTTAGAATTGTTCAAATTCTTTGATGCACTAATTTTACATCTCAGAGTGGAGTCCATCCTAAGGAAAGTCCATTCCTAAATATAGAAAGAAAACTTTAATATGGAAAAAGATGTTTAATGTGGCATTATTTAAATCAGGAAAAATATGGGGGGTGGGAACCTTTACATGTGTATTAATGGAAAATAATCAAATATAATTTGATATATCTACAATGGTTTAAGTTGTCATTAAAATGTTGTGTGTGAAGACTAGACAATATAGGAAATGCTCAGTTAACTAAGAGAACAAAGAAAATACAGTATGCATAGTCATGTCACTGTTATGCTTAAATTTTACAGGAAAAATACTCTACAAGAAAAATATACCAAAATATTAAGAGTGATTGTTTCAAATATGATTCCAAAGGTAGTTTTTCCATCCTTTTATTTTTTGATGATTTCCAAATTTCCTCTAAATGTTATTGTATAATAGAAAATATATACTTATGAAAATATTTTGAATTTCAAACAGTTTCACAATTCTTTTATCTCAAAACTTGTTTTTAAATTCTCGTCACTCCATCTTTGCCCCCGTGTCTTAAAACCAACACTCTGCACCCTAGTCTCCCCCTGGTTCATTTGCTGTTTCAGAAAAAAGGTACTGGGCCCATTCTGGTCTCTGCCTGAGGGTTCTCATATGGAGCAGGAGGTGGTCTGAGTAGAAGGAGGTGATGAGGTGGCCCTAGTGGATGTGCTCTGACCATGGCTCATTCTAGTCATGCCGTGGCTTCCATAAAGTGTTTAATTATTGATGCTGATAGAGAATATAAATTCAAATATATTTTAGGTCAGTGGTAATCACTCATTGAGTAAAAATTAGATGAATAATTTCCAAAAGCAAAGAGGAAGAAAAAGCAAAGAAAATCTGAGTAATAGATAGATAATAATGATAGAAGAAAGAACTATGGCTGGGCATGATGGCTTATGCCTATAATCCCAACATTTTGGGAGGCCAAGGCAGGAGAATCACTCGGGCCCAGGAGTTTGAGACCAGCCTGGGCAACATAGTGAGACCCCATTGTACAAAAAAAAAAAAAAAAATCAGCTTGGTGTGGTGGCATGTGCCTGTGGTCCCAGCTACCTGGGAGGGAGAGGTGGGAGGATCACGTGAGCCCAGGTTGTGACTTCAGTGAGCCATGATTGTGCTATTGCACTCCAGAGCCTGGGTAACAGAGCAAGACCCTGTCTCAAAACAACAACACAACAACAACAACAACAACAACAAAAACCCAAAAAAAACCCAAAAAGGAACTATGTAGAAGAAAAATAATAACATACCACACAATGACAATTTTTCTTTTTGTAATAAATATAAATGCTTAAATCTCTCTAGGAAACGGCAAAGACATATTTTGGTCCAGAAACAAAATTAAATTTTACTCTGTTTATAGCAGCACGTGTCTACAACAAAATGAAAGGCCAAAAGACCAATTAAGACATAAGAAGCACATATACACAAAAAGTAAGGATACAAATATGGGTATGTGGCAAAGTAAAATAGAAGGCAAAAAGCTGTAAGTAGGACAAAATATGTTTTTTTCTACAGATAAAAGAAAAAATCGACAAGGAAGATATGACAATAATAAATACCTATAAACAGAATACCATAGCACTGAAATGTTTAGAACAAAAGTCCCAAATATAAGACGCAACAGACATAATCACAATTGTAGCAAGAGATTGTAGAGTAGAATATAGTACCTCTCTTTGACGAATAAAGTAGAAAAATATGTAATCCCAGCACTTTGGGAGGCCGAGGCGGGCGGATCACGAGGTCAGGAGATCGAGACCATCCTGGCTAACATGGTGAAACTCCGTCTCTACTAAAAATACAAAAAATTAGCTGGGCACGGTGGCGGGCGCCTGTAGTCCCAGCTACTCGGGAGGCTGAGGCAGGAGAATGGTGTGAACCCAGGAGGCAGAGCTTGCAGTGAACCGAGATAGCGCAACTGCACTCCAGCCTGGGCGAAAGAGCGAGACTCCATCTCAAAAAAAAAAAAAAAAAAAAAAAAAGAAAAATATTGGAACACAGAGCATTTGAACATGCTCATACCTGATTTATGAGATATATGATGGGATATTTTGAACATTAATAAGCATGCTTCCCTCCCCTTCTAACCCCTACCCAGAATTCTTCTGCCCCCCAACAATGCCCCCCAGATAGATATGAGTCACTTGCTACAGAACCAGACACAAGGAATGCAAATACTCATTAGACTCAAAAGCTGGCCTGGAGGTGAGTCAAAGGCCACAAGAAAAAGAGCATAGGCCAGGAGCAGTGGTTCACGCCTGTAATCCCAGCACTTTGGGAAGCTGAGGTGGGCTGATTGCCTCAGCTCCGGAAAACCCCGTCTCTACTAAAATACAAAAAAAAAATTAGCTGGGCATGGTGGTGCATGCCTGTAGTCTCAGCTACTTGGGAGGCTGAGGCAGGAGAATCACCTGAACCCAGGAGGTGGAGGTTGCAGTGAGCCAAGTTTGTGCCACCTCATTCCAGCCTGGGCGACAGAGCGAGACTCCATCTCCAAAAAAAAGAAAAGAAAAAAAGAAAAAGAGCTTAAGAGAACACTGAAACCTCTGCCAGAACATGGGCCATCTGGCAGAGTGCCAGAGACAACCACAGTGTCCCTCTTGTCATTGACTTGTGAAGACCACCAAATGCCCAAAAATCCTTCAGTTCAGAGGGATGTGTGTCAGTGCCTCAGGACACTTCCCAGTCCCCATCAATTTCATTCCATATGTAGACAAATCTGTCAAACAGTCCAGGACACTTGTATACACTTGTACCCCCCTTCCCTAAACAGAGGAGCTGTGGGCCCTTAGTGATTGAAGGGTGATGGTGACGTGAAGGGGAAAGCCTTGAGCTGGCCAAGGGGGCTCTAGCTAGCATGAGTTGGAAATCTTCCTCTGAGCTAGAAGCTGTGTAGAATACACACTCTTGTTACAGATGAACTAAAAAACTGTACATTAGAAACACAAAATGAACAGTATTTCAAACCTCTATGATATGTGTTTACAATGAAACATGACAGGCTATGTTTAAAAAAAACCTTTCAAGACATGTTATTTGACGATAGTATCACAAGTCTAGAATTTAACATAGAATAAATTTTAAAAAATCAAACCACCTAGAAAAGGTTTTTTTTTTTTTTTTTTTTTTTTTAAACAGAGTCTCACTCTGTCGCCCAGGCTAGAGGGCAGTGGCACCATCTTGGCTCACTGCAACCACCACCTCCTGAGTTCAAGTGATTCTCCTGCCTCTGCCTCCAGAGTAGCTGGGACTACAGGCATGCACCACCATGACCAGCTAATTTTTTTAATTTTTTTTATTTTTGAGACTGAGTCTCACTCTGTCGCCCAGGCTGGAGTGCAGTGGTGCGATCTTGGCGCACTGCAAGCTCCGCCTCCCAGGTTCATGCCATTCTCCTGCCTCAGCCTCCCGAGTAGCTGGGATTACAGGTGCCCGCCACCACGCCTGGCTAATTTTTTGTACTTTTTAGTAGAGATGGGGTTTCACCGTGTTAGCCAGGATGGTCTCGCTCTCCTGACCTCGTGATCTGCCTGCCTCGGCTTCCCAACGTGCTGGGATTATAGGCGTGAGCCACCATGCCCAGCCTAGAAAAGCTTTTTAAAAAATTATCCTGAATAACATTTGGATCAAAGAGGAACTCAAAACTGTAATGACAAGTTTTATTTAGAAAATAGGAGATCCATATCATTCATGAAAACAAGGTATGAAACCAAAGCCATACTCAGGAGGAAAATTTATAGTTTTATAAAAATAAATAAAAGACATGAGATTAAGGATACCCAAATACACTTTAATGGGCATTTGTTGTTGCTTATATATATTATTTTTATATATATTCTCTAATATATATTATATATTCTCTAACATGGTATATATTAAAGAATGTATATATTATATATATATAATATATGATATAATATATATATATATAAAATTTGGCTGCCTAACCTCTGAAGCTTCCTCCTATAGTAGGGAAATCTGCCATGGAGTGAATCCACCAATCAGATGCTGCCCTTGCTACTATGCAGCTGGAGTGACTGCCTGAAAGGGCAGCCTTCATTCTGGTAGCCATGGCCAGGGCTCAGTGGCAGAGCCAGCATATCCCAATCAAGCTGTTCCTGGACACCCTGTGGATCTCAGTGCTCAGATTCCTAATTCCTGCTCATCCCCTCCACCTTGTTCCCTACACCCCTCCTGTGAATCTCCAGGCTGCCTGACATCCTTCTCCAATACATATTTTCCAGCTTATGTTAGCTAGAGTCAGTTTCTATTGTTAAAACCCTCAAACTCTCACTAGTCTTCTGAACAAAAGTGAAGGAAGGAATGTGTAAGAATAATGAAAGAAAAATCAATGAGAGAGAAAAATCTGTAGCAATGATGAGTACCTTCAAAAATATTTTGAAAGACCAATAAAATCAGCAAACCTCCAATAAATCTATTCACTGAAAAAATTAAGACAAATCACAAAAACTTTTACAAAGGAGAAAATGTATATGAAAGATTCTGAAGTTTAAAAAGTATGATCTTCAACTCTATACTTGATTAATGAAGGAGATAAATTACCAAAATCAACTGAAGTGAGAAACTTGAATGTACTAACGACTGTGGAGGAAATGCCAATAAACTGTTTGAAAAAAAAGCACCCCCCTCCTCCCAAAGGGCACAGAGCCGGATTGGTCTAGGGGGAGGTACCATAGAACCGGTGCTATTTAAACCTCTCTGGAGCATGGAGAAAGAGGAAGCTGAGCAGCCCTGAATAGCCTAGGACAAGAGAGACCTGCCAATCCTGGACTCCAGCTGCAGCTGGCTCTCTGCCTTATGTAGTGGTTGGCCTGCGGTGAAGCCCACTGTTGAGAGGCATTTGAACTGTTGTATGGACAGGTCATCTTGCTACGCCATTCTGACCCAGCTGTCACCACCCTCACACTTTTTAGTTATCTATCAGTGGCTGGTGTCAGGCAGGTAAGCCCACAACACTCACCCAAGTCATGCTCATTAACCCTCTGACTGGCTGCCCTTATCCCACGATCTCCACTAAGTTCAAGCATTTTTTCCCCAGTATCAGAGGAGGAACACTGTTTATTCCAGTCTACATGCTTCAAGTAGAAGTGAGGAAACCAAGGCCCAGAGAGGTGTGTACTTACTTGCCCAGTCCTCACTAGGATGAAGTCAGGGTTAGGACTAGCCCCGACTGGGCGCTGGGAGCTAACAGCTAGGGGAGGAACTGCATGACTTTTGTCCTGGAGAAATGTTATGGCAGGTGGACACCAGGGCACAGGCATATACCCGAAGTGTCCAGGGCAGACAGGGACTGCTCGTCACCCCAGATGGGACCTGCTAAGGGCCCAAAAAGAGACTGAAGGTGGGAAATGTTTTTGTTTTTCAGTGTGAAGCGTTGCCAAACATATATTCTAGGTTTGGGAATCCTCGGGACCTTTGGAAGCCAGATTCAGCGAAGATGCTGTACCTTTTGGGGATAGCTCTAACACGAGGTTAACGCAATGCTCCATGTCCCTGGCTGGGCTTAGCTGTGAGTGCGTCGACCTCTGGACTCTGTGCAAATGGACACTCTGTAACTGACACAGCTGGTAGGGGTTACCGAGAGAGCTGGGTTCCTGGTCTGGTGGACTCCGCCGGATATGCAACGAGCTCTTTATGGCACCTTGGAGATGGTTGCTTTTAGTGCCGTTGACAGCGGGCTCAGAGCACCAAGTGAGCTAGCACCGTATTTATTAGTAAATTACTCCATAACTCTAGGGCTCCCAGAAGACCAAAATCATTTGAGCAGATTGCACCCAGAGCACCGCGTGGAGAGAGAAGAAAGCCCGCCACCCACAGACCGCTTCCTCCTACCACAGGTCCCCCATCGAGTTGCATTTGTTGTCCCTCCCTAGGCGCATTTCTGAGCCTTCCTTTCTTAAACATACACCGAGCGAAAATGCGCCGGAGGGAGGCGATGTTGCCTGTGAGCCAAAGCCGGTTCGGCACCAAGACAGAAGCAGAGAGAACTGATCTCTCTCCCGGTACCCATGACAATCTCAGAGCTAGATCTATATCGTCCCGCGCCCAGCAAGAAGCACTGTGTGACTGTACTCCCCCGACCCCCAGGACATCCCCACGCCCAGCTTCCCAGGCCGGTCTTCTGCGCGGCTCAAGTAGCCCAGGTCTCCACGCAACAATGAAGCGTGGGCGGCCCCAGCAGCTTCATTTGCATATCGCCGCGGCTTGGCCAATGGGCTGCGCAGGGGCTTTGGAACGCAGTGTTGCCATCGGCGTGCGCGCGTGTGTGCGAGTGTGACAGCGGCTGTGGCTGTGGCCGTGGCCGTGGGAGGCGGGCCCGGCGGAGCCCAGCCGCGGGGGGACCGGCCCGGGCTCCCGCTCCCCGAGCGCGTCGCGGCCGCGTGGCCCAGCCGAGCCTTGAGACCACCCCGCCCCTGCCGGTCGCAGTCGCGATGTCGGTGGCCGGGCTGAAGAAGCAGTTCCACAAAGCCAGCCAGGTAGGGAGGCGCAGAGGAGGGAAGGAGGGAGGGGGACGCGGAGGCTGCGGCCCCCCGAGGCTCCCGGGCCTTTGGGACTCCTGTTCCCTGAAGGGCCTCTCTCGGGGCTCAATTTCTTCCCGCCTAGGAGGGCGCGAGGGTGGGGTGAGGGGCCGCCTGCTCTCTCCTCGGCGTCTTGGCGCCTTCTCCTTCCCATTCCCTGGCCCCCGGCTCTGCCCTGGGCCGTTGTAAATCGGAGAGATTCTGCGGAGCGGAGGGCAGAGGTGGCGGCCGCGGGGACTCGGGAGGCGGAGACGGAGTGGGCGTGGGGGGGCCCCTACCCGCGCGAGGGGAGGACGACCACAGGGAGTACGATGCCGGCAGGGCCTCCCCCGAGTCTCCAGCCGTTTGGTTGGGAGAGCCTCGTGGGGGGCCCATCCTCCACCGGCCACCGGCGCCTCCAGAGATGCTGTGTATTTGGCGCTTGGCTGTGTCCCGCTGAGCTCCCCGCGCGCGCATCGAAATGGCCCCGTCTGGACTGTGCCCGGCTCCCCGGCTGGGGCTCTCTACCGCGGTCCTTCCCCTCCCCACCGTCTTCCCGGTGTCGGCCCGGGGCTGGGCATCACGCTTCTGCTCTTACAGAGCTGACAGCCTGCAGGGGAGACACGGAGACAGACACGTAAACAAACAGTGCTAGACACACCTCCACGCACAGAGGATGACAAATAACACAGTGGGGGCGTCAGGGAGAGCTTCCCGGAGGAGGAGACATGTCATTTGAGAATTAAGTATGAGGAAGAATTATGGCTGAGGGTGTGGGATGATAGGAGGAAAGCCGTTCTGAGCAGAGGAAACAGGAAAACAGGAGGGGAGACATGAAATTGATGTGTGTGTGTGTGTGTGTGTGTGTGTGTGTGTGTGTGTTGATGACAAGCAAATTTGTTTTTCAACATCAACATTGCAGGCTCTTCCAGCTATGGCAGAGCTCACGTTGTAAAACCTGTTCCCCACCAGCACCGCTGGGTCTGTTGCTTCTCACCACCTCTCCCCGCAACCCCAGCCCCCATTTTGCTAGAGCCAGGGTAGACAGATTTCATTCAACGTCCACATTTGTGGTGAGGTCTCATCCTGCTTCTCCCACAAATTGGCCCATAGAAAGCAACTGCAATTAGAAGATTCTCTTCTTCTAGCCCCAGTTCCAGGCTGAAAGGCACTGCTGTCCCCTCACTCACACTCTTTCCATATGGAAACTGGGTGATGCTGTTTCTAGCTGGGGGCACTGGGTGGACAGTGGTGCTATTCAAGGTGTTAAGGAGCCCTGGAGGAGAGGCTATTCAGGTGAGGGTGGAGATGATGGATTCACCACTGAACCCAGGGACTTTGAGGGGTCTTTGGGACATTCACATGTCACTGGCCTGGGTTGGGGTGCATATCCTGACCTGCAGCTCAGGGGGTGAGGCTGGTACTGGAGCTACAGATTTTTGGTGATTTCCAGCCTAAGCGGAGATTTAAAAATGTATGTGTAGACAAAAGTGAGAAAAGGCACAGCGAGTTAAAGGCAGACTCTAGACAGCACCCCCATTTAGGGACAATGTTTAGCCCAGTAATTGTTGAGCAGTGACCACTCAATAAATATTTATTGAATAGATGAAATTTTGGGGTGGCACAACACAGGAAAGAAAGAACTCGTAGATGACAGGAGAGAGAAGACCATCATGGAAGGGGGACATTTAAAGGCAGGAGCAATCAACAAGTGCTTCAGTGAGCTAGGTATTGTGGAGTGTCCTCAGCTGGTACAGCCAGGAGGCCGAGTGCTGCTGTGAGCAGAGCAGAGCAGAGCAGTGCCAGAGTAATCGCTGGCTGTACTTGTTACATTGGCTTCCTTAGCACTGGCAGGAAATGAACCTCCTCTTTTGAAAACTTTTCCTTTATTGGGTATGGACTTCACAGGGGCAAATCTCAAAGATAAGCAAATCTCAGAGATAACGTAAGCCCTTGGGTGATTTAAGTTGGTTTCTGACAGTAACCAGAATGAATGGTTGAAATCCTTGGAAGTTATTGGCACTGGAGAAATATTTTGCTAGTCATGGGTAGTTTGGTTTAACTACCTGTAATCAGTACATTAAAAATGAAATGAACAGAACGTCTTATTTAGTCTTTTTTTTTTTTTTTTTCGCATGAGCGGAAATAATTTATGACTTTACCTGAAAGGAGAGGCATCACAGATTCTCTCTGGGCTTCATAGCCATGTTTTGTGGTTAAAAGTACTCAGTAGATATGTTTTAATATGTTCTAGAAGTCTTTCTAAAAAATCTTGCAATGCAACAATTTGGTGGAGAAATCAGACCGGTTTAATATAATATGAGGGAGCTCAATAATAAAAAATGCCAGATGTTTTTCTCAGACAACATTTTAACAGCAGGTTTTAATTCATACAGAACTTACCTGGGGCAGGGGAAGGGAGCCCCAGATGATGTCAATGGCTAAAATAATTTCCAGGGATCTAGGTCTGGCTCAGCCACTGACCAGCTCTGTAACCTTGGGAACATAACTTAACCCATCTGGACCTTGGTTTCTATCTGTATGATGACTCAGGGAATTTAGAAGCTATGTTTCTGTTATAAAAATGATTGTGGCAATGGTTTCACAACTCTGTGAATATGCTGAAAACCACTGAATTGTACACTTTAAGAGAATTGTATGGTATGTGAAATATATCTCAATAAAGTGATACGAATATGTCTCTGTGTCTCTGGGTGTGTGTGTATGTATACATCTCAGTGCTGAAATTCTTAAGTAAGTTAAGCATTTCAGAGTAAGACAAAGATGATAAAGTGGACCTTTTACAGAGAAGGGATCCAGGACCATGGCAAACTGAGATAGTTTTCTGAAAGATAAGCGAGGTAAAATTAGCTATAACCCGGTTAACTGTTCCTTTTTTCCTGATACCTTCCCTATCTCTGGGAAAAAACCCCTACTTTACAGAGAATGAAGACTCGTAAACCCTGGGGATTATGCATCATTTTGGCAGCACATGGAGACCAACAGGAAAGAGGAAGAAATATGCTAAAATGAGAAGAATATAAGTTAACAAAAAAATTTAATTAATTCTAAGTTTCAGCGTTTGAGACTAGAACCCAAATTTTTCTTTTTTTTTTTTTTTCTAATATGCATTATCCTTTATTAAAATGGGATATTTTTCTTTTTTTTTTTTTTTAAGGTTATAGATTTTCTTTTTTTTTTTTAATTTTTTTTTTTCTATTATACTCTAAGTTTTAGGGTACATGTGCACATTGTGCAGGTTAGTTACATATGTATACATGTGCCATGCTGGTGCGCTGCACCCACTAAAGTGTCATCTAGCATTAGGTATATCTCCCAATGCTATCCCTCCCCCCTCCCCCGACCCCACCACAGTCTCCAGAGTGTGTTATTCCCCTTCCTGTGTCCATGTGATCTCATTGTTCAATTCCCACCTATGAGTGAGAATATGCGGTGTTTGGTTTTTTGTTCTTGCGATAGTTTACTGAGAATGATGATTTCCAATTTCATCCATGTCCCTACAAAGGACATGAACTCATCATTTTTTATGGCTGCATAGTATTCCATGGTGTATATGTGCCACATTTTCTTAATCCAGTCTATCATTGTTGGACATTTGGGTTGGTTCCAAGTCTTTGCTATTGTGAATAGTGCCGCAATAAACATACGTGTGCATGTGTCTTTATAGCAGCATGATTTATAGTCCTTTGGGTATATACCCAGTAATGGGATGGCTGGGTCAAATGGTATTTCTAGTTCTAGATCCCTGAGGAATCGCCACACTGACTTCCACAATGGTTGAACTAGTTTACAGTCCCACCAACAGTGTAAAAGTGTTCCTATTTCTCCACATCCTCTCCAGCACCTGTTGTTTCCTGACTTTTTAATGATTGCCATTCTAACTGGTGTGAGATGATATCTCATAGTGGTTTTGATTTGCATTTCTCTGATGGCCAGTGATGGTGAGCATTTCTTCATGTGTTTTTTGGCTGCATAAATGTCTTCTTTTGAGAAGTGTCTGTTCATGTCCTTCGCCCACTTTTTGATGGGGTTCTTTGTTTTTTTCTTGTAAATTTGTTTGAGTTCATTGTAGATTCTGGATATTAGCCCTTTGTCAGATGAGTAGGTTGCGAAAATTTTCTCCCATGTTGTAGGTTGCCTGTTCACTCTGATGGTAGTTTCTTTTGCTGTGCAGAAGCTCTTGAGTTTAATTAGATCCCATTTGTCAATTTTGGCTTTTGTTGCCATTGCTTTTGGTGTTTTGGACATGAAGTCCTTGCCCACGCCTATGTCCTGAATGGTAATGCCTAGATTTTCTTCTAGGGTTTTTATGGTTTTAGGTCTAACGTTTAAATCTTTAATCCATCTTGAATTGATTTTTGTATAAGGTGTAAGGAAGGGATCCAGTTTCAGCTTTCTACATATGGCTAGCCAGTTTTCCCAGCACCATTTATTAAATAGGGAATCCTTTCCCCATTGCTTGTTTTTCTCAGGTTTGTCAAAGATCAGATAGTTGTAGATATGCGGCATTATTTCTGAGGGCTCTGTTCTGTTCCATTGATCTATATCTCTGTTTTGGTACCAGTACCATGCTGTTTTGGTTACTGTAGCCTTGTAGTATAGTTTGAAGTCAGGTAGTGTGATGCCTCCAGCTTTGTTCTTTTGGCTTAGGATTGACTTGGCGATGCGGGCTCTTTTTTGGTTCCATATGAACTTTAAAGTAGTTTTTTCCAATTCTGTGAAGAAAGTCATTGGTAGCTTGATGGGGATGGCATTGAATCTGTAAATTACCTTGGGCAGTATGGCCATTTTCACGATATTGATTCTTGCTACCCATGAGCATGGAATGTTCTTCCATTTGTTTGTGTCCTCTTTTATTTCCTTGAGCAGTGGTTTGTAGTTCTCCTTGAAGAGGTCCTTCACATCCCTTGTAAGTTGGATTCCTAGGTATTTTATTCTCTTTGAAGCAATTGTGAATGGGAGTTCACTCATGATTTGGCTCTCTGTTTGTCTGTTGTTGGTGTATAAGAATGCTTGTGATTTTTGTACATTGATTTTGTATCCTGAGACTTTGCTGAAGTTGCTTATCAGCTTAAGGAGATTTTGGGCTGAGACGATGGGGTTTTCTAGATAAACAATCATGTCGTTTGCAAACAGGGACAATTTGACTTCCTCTTTTCCTAATTGAATACCCTTTATTTCCTTCTCCTGCCTGATTGCCCTGGCCAGAACTTCCAACACTATGTTGAATAGGAGCGGTGAGAGAGGGCATCCCTGTCTTTTGCCAGTTTTCAAAGGGAATGCTTCCAGTTTTTGCCCATTCAGTATGATATTGGCTGTGGGTTTGTCATAGATAGCTCTTATTATTTTGAAATACGTCCCATCAATACCTAATTTATTGAGAGTTTTTAGCATGAAGGTTGTTGAATTTTGTCAAAGGCTTTTTCTGCATCTATTGAGATAATCATGTGGTTTTTGTCTTTGGCTCTGTTTATATGCTGGATTACATTTATTGATTTGCGTATATTGAACCAGCCTTGCATCCCAGGGATGAAGCCCACTTGATCATGGTGGATAAGCTTTTTGATGTGCTGCTGGATTCGGTTTGCCAGTATTTTATTGAGGATTTTTGCATCAATGTTCATCAAGGATATTGGTCTAAAATTCTCTTTTTTGGTTGTGTCTCTGCCCGGCTTTGGTATCAGAATGATGCTGGCCTCATAAAATGAGTTAGGGAGGATTCCCTCTTTTTCTATTGATTGGAATAGTTTCAGAAGGAATGGTACCAGTTCCTCCTTGTACCTCTGGTAGAATTCGGCTGTGAATCCATCTGGTCCTGGACTCTTTTTGGTTGGTAAACTACTGATTATTGCCACAATTTCAGAGCCTGTTATTGGTCTATTCAGAGATTCAACTTCTTCCTGGTTTAGTCTTGGGAGAGTGTATGTGTCGAGGAATGTATCCATTTCTTCTAGATTTTCTGATTTATTTGCGTAGAGGTGTTTGTAGTATTCTCTGATGGTAGTTTGTATTTCTGTGGGATCGGTGGTGATATCCCCTTTATCATTTTTTATTGTGTCTATTTGATTCTTCTCTCTTTTTTTCTTTATTAGTCTTGCTAGCGGTCTATCAATTTTGTTGATCCTTTCAAAAAACCAGCTCCTGGATTCATTGATTTTTTGAAGGGTTTTTTGTGTCTCTATTTCCTTCAGTTCTGCTCTGATTTTAGTTATTTCTTGCCTTCTGCTAGCTTTTGAATGTGTTTGCTCTTGCTTTTCTAGTTCTTTTAATTGTGATGTTAGGGTGTCAATTTTGGATCTTTCCTGCTTTCTCTTGTAGGCATTTAGTGCTATAAATTTCCCTCTACACACTGCTTTGAATGCGTCCCAGAGATTCTGGTATGTGGTGTCTTTGTTCTCGTTGGTTTCAAAGAACATCTTTATTTCTGCCTTCATTTCGTTATGTACCCAGTAGTCATTCAGGAGCAGGTTGTTCAGTTTCCATGTAGTTGAGCGGCTTTGAGTGAGATTCTTAATCCTGAGTTCTAGTTTGATTGCACTGTGGTCTGAGAGATAGTTTGTTATAATTTCTGTTCTTTTACATTTGCTGAGGAGAGCTTTACTTCCAACTATGTGGTCAATTTTGGAATAGGTGTGGTGTGGTGCTGAAAAAAATGTATATTCTGTTGATTTGGGGTGGAGAGTTCTGTAGATGTCTATTAGGTCTGCTTGGTGCAGAGCTGAGTTCAATTCCTGGGTATCCTTGTTGACTTTCTGTCTCGTTGATCTGTCTAATGTTGACAGTGGGGTGTTAAAGTCTCCCATTATTAATGTGTGGGAGTCTAAGTCTCTTTGTAGGTCACTCAGGACTTGCTTTATGAATCTGGGTGCTCCTGTATTGGGTGCATAAATATTTAGGATAGTTAGCTCCTCTTGTTGAATTGATCCCTTTACCATTATGTAATGGCCTTCTTTGTCTCTTTTGATCTTTGTTGGTTTAAAGTCTGTTTTATCAGAGACTAGGATTGCAACCCCTGCCTTTTTTTGTTTTCCATTGGCTTGGTAGATCTTCCTCCATCCTTTTATTTTGAGCCTATGTGTGTCTCTGCACGTGAGATGGGTTTCCTGAATACAGCACACTGATGGGTCTTGACTCTTTATCCAACTTGCCAGTCTGTGTCTTTTAATTGCAGAATTTAGTCCATTTATATTTAAAGTTAATATTGTTATGTGTGAATTTGATCCTGTCATTATGATGTTAGCTGGTGATTTTGCTCATTAGTTGATGCAGTTTCTTCCTAGTCTCGATGGTCTTTACATTTTGGCATGATTTTGCAGCGGCTGGTACCGGTTGTTCCTTTCCATGTTTAGCGCTTCCTTCAGGAGCTCTTTTAGGGCAGGCCTGGTGGTGACAAAATCTCTCAGCATTTGCTTGTCTATAAAGTATTTTATTTCTCCTTCACTTATGAAGCTTAGTTTGGCTGGATATGAAATTCTGGGTTGAAAATTCTTTTCTTTAAGAATGTTGAATATTGGCCCCCACTCTCTTCTGGCCTGTAGGGTTTCTGCCGAGAGATCCGCTGTTAGTCTGATGGGCTTTCCTTTGAGGGTAACCCGACCTTTCTCTCTGGCTGCCCTTAACATTTTTTCCTTCATTTCAACTTTGGTGAATCTGACAATTATGTGTCTTGGAGTTGCTCTTCTCGAGGAGTATCTTTGTGGCGTTCTCTGTATTTCCTGAATCTGAACGTTGGCCTGCCTTGCTAGATTGGGGAAGTTCTCCCGGATAATATCCTGCAGAGTGTTTTCCAACTTGGTTCCATTCTCCACATCACTTTCAGGTACACCAATCAGACGTAGATTTGGTCTTTTCACATAGTCCCATATTTCTTGGAGGCTTTGCTCATTTCTTTTTATTCTTTTTTCTCTAAACTTCCCTTCTCGCTTCATTTCATTCATTTCATCTTCCATTGCTGATACCCTTTCTTCCAGTTGATCGCATCGGCTCCTGAGGCTTCTGCATTCTTCACGTAGTTCTCGAGCCTTGGTTTTCAGCTCCATCAGCTCCTTTAAGCACTTCTCTGTATTGGTTATTCTAGTTATACATTCTTCTAAATTTTTTTCAAAGTTTTCAACTTCTTTGCCTTTGGTTTGAATGTCCTCCCGTAGCTCAGAGTAATTTGATCGTCTGAAGCCTTCTTCTCTCAGCTCGTCAAAATCATTCTCCATCCAGCTTTGTTCTGTTGCTGGTGAGGAACTGCGTTCCTTTGGAGGAGGAGAGGCGCTCTGCGTTTTAGAGTTTCCAGTTTTTCTGTTCTGTTTTTTCCCCATCTTTGTGGTTTTATCTACTTTTGGTCTTTGATGATGGTGATGTACAGATGGGTTTTCGGTGTAGATGTCCTTTCTGGTTGTTAGTTTTCCTTCTAACAGACAGGACCCTCAGCTGCAGGTCTGTTGGAATACCCTGCCATGTGAGATGTCAGTGTGCCCCTGATGGGGGGTGCCTCCCAGTTAGGCTGCTCGGGGGTCAGGGGTCAGGGACCCACTTGAGGAGGCAGTCTGCCCGTTCTCAGATCTCCAGCTGCGTGCTGGGAGAACCACTGCTCTCTTCAAAGCTGTCAGACAGGGACACTTAAGTCTGCAGAGGTTACTGCTGTCTTTTTGTTTGTCTGTGCCCTGCCCCCAGAGGTGGAGCCTACAGAGGCAGGCAGGCCTCCTTGAGCTGTGGTGGGCTCCACCCAGTTCGAGCTTCCCGGCTGCTTTGTTTACCTAATCAAGCCTGGGCAATGGCGGGCCCCCCTCCCCCAGCCTCGTTGCCACCTTGCAGTTTGATCTCAGACTGCTGTGCTAGCAATCAGCGCGATTCCGTGGGCGTAGGACCCTCTGAGCCAGGTGTGGGATATAGTCTCGTGGTGCGCCGTTTCTTAAGCCGGTCTGAAAAGCGCAATATTCCGGTGGGAGTGACCCGATTTTCCAGGTGCGTCCGTCACCCCTTTCTTTGACTCGGAAAGGGAACTCCCTGACCCCTTGCGCTTCCCAGGTGAGGCAATGCCTCGCCCTGCTTCGGCTCGCGCACGGTGCGCACACACACTGGCCTGCGCCCACTGTCTGGCACTCCCTAGTGAGATGAACCCGGTACCTCAGATGGAAATGCAGAAATCACCCGTCTTCTGCGTCGCTCACGCTGGGAGCTGTAGACCGGAGCTGTTCCTATTCGGCCATCTTGGCTCCTCCCCTCAGAACCCAAATTTTTCAAGTGCATAGTTAAATATTTTTTCTCTTGACAAGATTTTTTTGATAGAGCTGTTTACTCTTCTGGTAGAGATGTAGCTTGAGCTATTATAAATAAATACAAATAGCATAGATATGGCATTGTGGTTTCTTGTTAAACGTGGTACCTCACCAATAAAAATATAGCTTACAATATTTACATTTGTGTTACCACTCACTGATTTGTATTTGTATGCTTATTTCATAGTAATTTTTCTTGACAGCATTTATTGTTGAAGAAGGAAGTTCAGGGCACACCTATGTGTGTTCTGACCTGGAAAGTACTAATAGTCATATTCTTTCCATTTCTGGACCTTCTTGTCTTCCAGGGTCCTTGTTCTGCATCCCATAAAAGTCCAGGGACCAGTTTCATCTCTTCTCCTCCTCTCCTTCTCTCCCAAGACTAACCATCTACTGATGACACTTGTGGGCTCCATGTTAAATTTACTTCTTTATGCCTTTTAACTTCTGTCATGTGACTCAGCAACACATGCCAGAGGTTAAAGGACACTGCTTGTAGGGCAGAAAGAAGGGGAGCCTCTAACACAGTGCTTTTTTACAACTTTTCCCCCTTTCTCTTTTAATGCATTAGCCAGAAAAATGATAAGGGGTCATGAGGGGCCTGGACGTATTCCCTGTAATCACTGACTATACAGGCTGGCCATTTAGGGGTAAATGCTTCAGAGAAGGATATTCTTTGTAAATCATGAGATTCTCTAGGGAGGCAATGAATGTCTCTTGTTTCACTATCTCATTAGAGAGAAAGATAAAATGCACTTTGCACAATCCATAATGATTTATTTTTTTCTCTTAGACGCATCAGAAAATATATTAAAGCTAAAACATTCTTGCTCCTTTTCACATAGATTGCTTGATAAACTAATTGATAAATCCTTTTTTTTAAAGTCAGGGTGTGAAGATAGATGTTTAAAATGGATTGATTTTGATTTTTTAAAATATCTTAAGGATATAATACAATCCATATATTTCTTACCACTGAGGACTTTTTGTTCTATAAAGTAAATGTAACTCATGGTATCACTTGGAATTTGATTTAAAAATGCATTTGAAAGCAGGGATTTTTTTCCCTATTGCTTTAGTTTAATTTTTCAGCTTTATTAACAAACGGAATGTAAATTAATTTCCCAAAGTTAAGTGTGTGTGTGGGTATCTCATGTGTATTTGGGGAAGCTATTACTGGCATGCTTTGCCCAGAAGATAGAACTGTCAGTAAACAACTGACACACTGTTCGGCTAAATAGTGAACATATTCTGGAGAATCTTTAGCAGCAAAATGTGGACAGTTAGATTTTGCTTTTCAACAGAAACCTGGGAAAGTGTTGAGCTGAGGGGAGAGTCTGAGAGAAGTACTATTGATGAGATCAGGGAGGCATTGTTTCCAGTTCTAACTATTCTAGTTCTTTGAAATGCTTTCCCAATGGGAATTCCTTCCCAATTTCCAGGGTCATCCCAATGTTTTTACCACACACAGCACCAGCAGCCAGTGGCCTTCCTGAGCCAGGTGTTGTTCCTTCTGACTTCCAAATCCAGTGGATAATGGTGTCTTTTCCCCGTCCCTGGCTACATCTTCCTCAGACAGTAATGCTACTAAGTACTTTGCCTGTTCAAATCATCCATCCGTGGTAGAGGCTGCTGATATTTCAGGCTGGATAACTTGAGTCCTCCCTAGTGAATCTGATATCCGAGTCAAATCTTCTCATCCTTGTCCACCTTTCTTTCTTCTGGGCCACAAATCAAAACTCTGGAGGGTCTTGTGAGCTCATATGTAGTGCTTCAGTGCTTCTCCAGTGCAACAGTGGAAGACACACCTGGCTAGTCACACCATTGTGCTTCCAATCCCATCTCCTCTCATTTTCTCAGGGACTTTGCTCTTGTTGCCATCTCTTCTCTGCACTATTGTTTCTTCTCTCCTGGATAAATTTCACTGTAGGACAAAGAAGGGTGTATTAGTCAGGGTTCTCTAGAGGGATAGGACTAATAGGTTAGATGTATATATGAAAGGGAGTTTATTAAGGAGTATTGACTCACACGATCACAAGGTGAAGTCCCACAATAGGTTATCTGCAAGCTGAGGAGCAAGGAAGCCAGACTGAGTCCCCAAACCTCAAAAGTAGGGAAGCTGACAGTGCAGCCTTCAGTCTGGGCCGAAGGCCCGAGAGCCCCTGGCAAACCACTGGTTTAAGTCCAAGAGTCCAAAAGCTGAAGAACTTGGAGTCCAATGTTCGAGGGCAGGAAGCATCCAGCACGGGAGAAAGATGAAGGCCAGGAGACTCGGCCAGTCTAGTCTTTCCACATTCTTCTGCCTGGTTTATTCTAGCTGCGCTGTCGGCTGATTAGATGGTGTCCACCCAGATTGAGGGTGGGTCTGCCTCTCCCAGTCCACTGGCTCAAATGTTAATCTCCTTTAGCAACACCCTTACAGACACACCCAGAAACAGTACTTTGCATTCTTCAATCCAATCAAGTTGACACTCAACGTTAGCCATCACACTAGGGTTTAAGAAAATGATGGCAGGTCTAAGCGAGTCATGGAGGGTTTATGAAAGATGGGTCTTGGAAAGGGAGTTTTGTGTATAATTGGGTTGGCTGGGATTCCGGAAAGGAATTTCAGAATTTAGCCCTGGTTTCAGGGATACACTGATGCAGGACCAGAGCAACAAGATTTTCTCAGAATATTGATCTACGCCTAGTAAAAACTTGCAAGAGGATTTGATTTTAATTCTGAAATCGATTTCTTTATACTTTCAACCTTCTTCTGAACTACAGCTTTTTCATGTTATACAGTTTCTGCCTAATTTCAAATTGAAAGTGCTGCCTTCTTCATTTAAAATGATAATTTCATTTCTTGAGATAGAGTTTTGCTCTTAAAGCTTTCCAGAGTCATATCTCAAGAGTTCAGCTTTTTGCCACGTCTCACGACATACAATTTGCAGGTCATGCATCATTGCCTTCTGCTCTTCTTCCTTCTCTCCTTGAAAAGGTACATTTTCTTTTTAACTGGAGTGGTGACTCTCACTCTCAACTTTTTCATCAGTTCCTGTGGCTGTTTCCCCCCCACCCCCAGTTCTCACCCTGTTATTGTGACCTTCCCTTTCCCCTTTCCCTTTCCCTCTCCCCTCCCCTCCCGTCCCCTCCCCTCCCTCCCTCCCTCCCTCCCTCCCTCCCTGCCTCCCTCCCTCCCTTCCTTCCTTCCTTCCTTCCTTCCTTGCTTCCTTCCTTCCTTCCTTCCTTGACAGGGTCTTGCTGTGTCACCCAGGCTGGAGTGCAGTCATGTGTTCATAGCTCACTGCAGCCTTGACCTCCTGGGCTCAAAGGATCCTCTCACTTTAGTGTCCTAAGTAGCTGAGATTAAAGACGGATGCTGCCACACCTGGCTTTGGCTTTTCTTGATGTGTCTAAATTGTTCCATGTAACCAGGCAATTTCATGTGTCTTTAATTTTTCTAAAAGCCATGCATTCCACTGCTCAAGGTACTGGTTTCCTTGTTTACATTATTCTTCTATAATGTGGTATATACTCATGACCTTCGACACATACTTTTCCAGTGTCTAATTGAATTCAAATACTGTTTCATCAGGTTCGACTTACAGTTTATCTAAATGAGATTCCCAAAGGAAGAAGTACTCATACCGTAGGAGGTTTTTCTTTGCCTTTTCAGTAAATGGCCTGGGAAACAGAACTTTCATGTTTTATTAAGAATTTATGGTGCTTTGTGCTGTCTTTATTAGCTTTTTGATTATTTAGAAAAACTGCATCATCTTTAATAAGTGATGTTCATCTTTAAAAAATTATATGTGTGCGGATGTGTTTATATGAATATTCTAAAAACTACGTAAACTGTATAAGAGTCTGATGGTCTTGGTATGATGCTGTAAATCATGATTCTGGTTGTTATCTTAAAATACGGTACACAGGCCGGGTGCGGTGGCTTACACCTGTAATCCCAGCACTTTGGGAGGCCGTGGCAGGCAGATCCCGAGGTCAGGAGATCGAGACCAGCCAGACCAACATGGTGAAACCCCGTCTCTACTAAAATACAGAAAATTAGCTGGGCGTGGTGGCGGGCACCTGTATTCCCAGCTACTCAGGAGGCTGAGGCAGGAGAATGGTGTGAACCCGGGAGGCGGAGCTTGTAGTGAGCCGAGATCACGCCACTGCACTTCAGCCTGGGCGACAGAGCGAGACTCCATCTCAAAAAAAAAAAAAAGTACTGTACACAATAGAAGTAACTAAATTTCCTTGTTAATTGTTTGTTACAATGAATTCTCATCAAATTTTTAACCACAGCTATTCTAAATTTTTGTCATCCACAGTTTTGATTTTTCTCATAAAGTCATCTGCAGTCAGATTCATGGAAAAGACTCTAATAAGTAGCCTTGAATACATGTTTCTGATAACTTAAAAATCAATGGATTAAGTACAAATTTCCAAAAGTCTAATTAAAATAACTGACATATTCATGAAACTGCTAACCAAGATCAAACAGAGCAACAGTTAATTACATGGGACTAAACTGATAATGGATTATAATTTTTATGACTTTTATTTAAAATATTGCTAATTCTTTAATATTTTATTTTCCAGATTTAAGGAAACTTTTTTCTTAAGGTACCTATAGCAATTTGGTTATGTATACTCTTGTGAATAATATTAAAATGTTTGCTTTTTCTCCCTATCTTATCTCTCTAAAATTAAAAAAAACTATTCGTGAGTATTTTTTATTTTATGACAATGTATTTACATAATTTTGATAAAAATTTATTTTTTAAATAACAAGATACAATTTAAAATGTTAATTATATTAGCAAGGTTTGACTTAGACATCATATTTAAAAATTCTTGTAGGTACTTCGGATACAATCTGAAGCCCACCTTGATTTGGCCTTCTTGCTTCAGAAGTTAAAAAAAAAAGTTCAATCTGAGATTCAATCACTATTCTCACTGTACTTATGTAAATACTCAGGACAAATCTGATAAAACTAACTTATTTTACATACAAATTAGTCTTGCTCTGAGTACTTTGGTAAAATTGGGATGACAGTGATATACCCTTTATTAGATTGTAGTCTTGTGAGTTGTTTTCAGGTTTTATTATATACTTGTAGAAGGGACTGGATCTTAAATTCTTCTAGGTTCCTCTAATCCAATTTTCTCCTATGGAATTTTTAAATAGAATTACTAACAATGGAAACCATTCTTTTCTAAAGCGCTGTAAGCTAAAACTAAACATCTTAATATAAATTACAAGGGACAAGCCTTGTGCCTGATATGTGGGCCACACAGAAAGTTCACCAAACCGCCTGATGCCATAGTCAGAGGCATTCAGACTGCAAAACTGCTGACTTCACACTGTGGACAGTGTTTCCCAAGGCCGTTGGAACAAGACATCATAATGAGATTCTTACCCCTTGTAATGCCTCCCTTCTTCACTTGACAGGATAATGCCATAATTAAAATTTCACAATCAGTAACAATTATGAGTAACTTAACAAAAGCTGATCTAAGAAATCCCTTAGTCCACTTATTGAGTAGCTTTGGCAATATCCCTAACAACTTTTTGTTCATATTGTACTAGTGGGCCCTTTTACAGAGTTAGCACTGTCTGCTTTAATTTAACCCAGTCATGGAATACTACCCAATGGCTATGCCAAGTCTTACCCAGTTTCTCCATGGTCTTTTGATTTGTTTAGTTGATTGCCCTTAGGCTTGGCAGAACTATTGCATAAACTAGATTTGTCATACTCCTGTTGTTTTTACTTTGTATTTTCCTTTTAAAAATATGTACCTGATGTCTGTCAAATTTCTGCAGAAATGCAACTTCTAATAGAGTAATGTTTGTCTAGTGTCTTAAAATGATAGCCAACATCAATGGAACAGACAAAAATCAAACTTGATGACATCCAGACAAACAAAGCCTGAGAGCTTCTCCTTATGGCCTTCTTGTTGCTCAAATGTGGCTAAAATGGCTTGATACTGACTTCCAGCTGATAATCACCTGCCCCTGATGTTGTATAAGAATATCTATCCAGGACAGGTCCATCCTAGCACCCAGGGATATTCAAAACCTGAATACAGGCTGATCAATCTTTCTCCAAAGAAAGATCTTGATTAAAAGGGGGAAACGTGAAAGTTGCAGATATGAGGATAAAGTCAGTTCTGTCAGACTCAAATTTGAGTCAGGGAAGCATGAAGGGGAAGGGCTCATGCTTGCATATCCGAGATAAGGCTATCTCAAGGACTTTCTAAAATAACTCCACAAGAAATTCCTTCACAGCTTTCACATATCTCATTCTTTTCATGACTTAACGTTCTGCACATATGCATACATTTCTAGGACCAGGTTTATCATTAGACATTCTTTAGAACTGTAGCAATTCAGATAAGATGCTCTTGAAAGAACCCTTGCCTAGTAATGGCATCTCCACCAATGAACTGACGCTGACTCTGGCTTTGAGCTTCTGGAAAAAATGAACTCTTTCCAAGCAGCTTACATGAGCTTATCCTTTTTGTCAATAAAAGCTTCCTCTTACCATCTCCTCTTTGGGTGTATCTGTGGCTTTACTATAGCTGTGCTATGGTGAGATTACATTATAGTAAGGTTATATTATAGTCTGGGCAGATTATAATATAGTATAATTTGTGCCCAGATTATAGTTCTTTTTACTTACTCTTGGAAAAATACATTAAATTAGGAGATAATTTTCTCTGATGTCTTTTTTAGCTTGATGCCATCAGCATGCAGACATCCTCTCTAGTATCTCCTGTCTTGAAAAAGGAAAGGAGGAAAACCTCCTTTGATCTTAGGTCCCTCTTCACCCCTGTCCTATTTAAATATTTGAGGAAGTTATTTGTTGTCCCATGTCTGCTTTCTTTCTTTCTTTTTTTTTTTTTTTTTTTGAGACAGAGTCTTGCTCTGTCACCCAGGCTGGAGTGCAGTGGCACGATATTGGCTCACTGCAACCTCTGCCTCCCGGGTTCAAGCGATTCTCCAGCCTCAGCCTCCCTAGTAGTTGAGACTACAGTTGTGCGCCACTGGCTAATTTTGTATTTTTAGTAGAGATGGGGTTTCACCATGTTGGCCAGGCTGGTCTCAAACTCCTGACCTCAGGTGATCCGCCCGCCTCGGCCTCCCAAAGTGCTGGGATTACAGGCCTGAGCCACCGCGCCAGGCCCTCTGCTTTCTTATCTATTGTCTTCTCAACCTATTCAAATTGGCTTTCTTTTCTTGTGCTCTGAGACCATGCTTGCCTAGGTCTTGAGTGACCTCCACATTGTCAAATCTCATGGTCACTTCTCCATCTGAGCTCTCAACAGCATTTGACCCAGTGGACTATTCTCTGCTTACAACACCTTCTGTACTTGCTCAGATTTCCTCTGGAATCACTAGCTGTTCCTTCAGGTGTCTTTTAATGGGTCCTTCTCATGCCCTTGACTGTAAATCCTGGAATACCCCAGGCCCTGGCTTGGGTACTTTCTCTTTTCTAACTTTGCATGCTCCCAAGGTAGCTTCCTCAGCTGCAGATTTACACAAAATCTATACATTGATTTCTCTCTAAATTATATTTCTAGCCCAGATGCTTCTCCTGGATACAGACACACAAATCTAAGTGCCTGCATCACCTCTCTCCTTGGATATTTAAAAAATCTCAAATTTAAGATGTTCAAATGTGAACTCTTAATTATCTCTACCCCAAACTGTTTTTCTACTTGTGATCTCTTAAGCAAAACAAAACAAACCAAAGTAAAACAAAAACCAGGACTCATCCTTGACATTTCTTTCCCTTATTCCCAATTCATCAGCAAGCCTTTCCTCTTGGTTCTACTTTCAAAATACAACCGTTTGCTTTTCTCCATCTCTGCTACTATCACCTTGGTCCTGGCCATCATTTCTTGCCCCCATGATTGTAGTAGCCTCCTAACCAATTTCCAGACCAGCTACAATTCATTTGCCCACAATGGCCAGGATACTGTTTTAAAAAATGTATCTCGGGCCAGTGCAGTGGCTCACACCTGTAATCCTTTAGAACTTTAGGAGGCCAAACATGTATACATATGTAACAAACCTGCACATTGTGCACATGTACCCTAGAACTTAAAGTATAATAATAATAATAATAATAATAATAATAATAATAACAGCAATAAAAACAGCTCATGTGGGAAAAAAAAAAGAACTTTAGGAGGCCAAGGAGGGCGAATCACCTGAGGTCAGGAGTTGGAGACCAGCCTGGCCAACGTGGTGAAACCCCGTCTCTACTAAACATAAAAAAATTAGCTGGGCATGGTGGTGTGTGTCTGTAATCTCAGCTACTCTAGAGGCTGAGGTAGGAGACTGTCTTGAACCCAGGAGGCAGAGGTTGCAGTGAGCCAAGATTGCACCACTGCACTCCAGCCTGGGTGACAGAGCAAGACTCTGTCTCAAAATAAATAAATAAATAAAAAAGTAAAAAATAAAAACATGTATCTCAGACCATGTCATTCTTCTGCTTGCATGTCTTCAGTGGCTTCCAGTTGAATTTAAAATAAAACCTAAGCTTCCTCTTCGGGCCTGTGAAACCTCACTTGACTTGGCCTCTCCCACTCCTCTCCTGAGGATGTTTAGCCGCTTTTTGCTCCCTTGGTATTCTAAGAAAGGTCATTCTATCTTGGGGCCTTTGTGGTAGCTGTTCCCTTAGCCTAGCATGCTTTTCCCCTTGATCCTTGCAAAGTAGTTCCTTCTTGTCATTCACATCATAGCACAGATTAAGGTCTCCTTTTAAGAGAGGGCTTCCCTGGCTATTCAATTCAAATAGACATTTACCCTTTCTTGTCTGTTATCCAGTTGGGTGGATTATTTTTTCCTATCACAAATATTTTAATATTTTCGATATTTTGATAATTGTTTTTCAATATAATTGTGTTCCTTTATTCTATGTGCTTTTAATTAAACATTTTATTTTGAGGTAATTGCAGATTCACATGCAATTATAAGAAATAATACCAATCTCTTGTATCCTTTATTCAGTTTCCCCCAGTGATAACACTATGAAAAACTATTGTACATATCACAACTAGGATGTTTATGTTGATACAGTCAGGATATAGAACAGGTCCACTACCACAAAGATCCCCTGTGTCACCCTTTATAGCCATACCCACTTCCTTCCTGCCTCCATTCCCTCCTTAACCCCTGGCAACTACTATTTTTTTCTTCATTTCTATAATTTTGTCATTGCAGGAATATTATATAAATGGAATCATACAGTCTGTGACCTTTTCTGAATGGCTTAAAGTGTCAGCGTAATACTATATTCACCCAGGTTGTTGTGTATATCAATAGTTTGTTCCTTTTTATTGCTGAGTAGTAATCCATGGTATGGATGTATCACAGTTTGTTCAACCATTAACATGTGGAAGGACTTTGGGATTGCTTCCAGTTTGGGGTTATTATGAATAAAGCTGCTATAAATATTTATGCACAGATTTTCCTGTGAATGTAAGTGTGTGTTTCTCTGGCGTAAATGTCCAGGAGTGCAATTGTTAGAATATATATATATATATGGGGAAAGGCATGCTAGGCTAAGGGAACAGCAATCACAAAGGCCCCAAGATGGAAACACCCACCCAACTGGAGATATATGTATATAAAATCTAACATTGTACTCCTGGACATTTATCCCAGAGGAAAGGTACTACTTTGCAGGTATCAAGGGGAAAGGCATGCTACGCTGAATCTGTTTAGGTTTTTAAGAAACTATCAACCTCTTTTCCAGAGTGGCTGTACCATATTACATTCCCAAGAGTTATGTGTGACAGTTTCAATTTCTCCACATCCTCTCCACCATTTATTGTCATTCTTTTTAATTTTAGCCTTTCTGTTAGATGTGGAGGGATATGTCATTGTGGTTTTAATTTGCGTTTCCCTAATTGCTTGTGATGTTGAATAGCTTTGCATATGCTTATTGGCTTTAAGTATCTCCTCTTATGGAAAATGTCTGTTCATATCTTTAGCCTGTTTTCTAATTGGGTTTTTAAAAAACTGTTGAGTTGTGAATTCTTTATATATTATAGATATTAGTCCTCTGTTGGATATGTGTTTGCAAATGTTTTCTACCAGTTTGTAGCTTGTCTTTTCATCCTCTTGAATCAGATCTTTTACAGAGCAAAAGTTTTACATTTTGATGAAGTCCAATTTAAGAATTTCTCCACATATGGATCATACTTTTGGAGTCTAAGAACTCTTGCTTAGTCAGAGATCATGAAGATTTTCTCCTATGTCTATTTCTGAAAGTTATATAGTTTTATGTTTTACATTTTAGTCTGTAATCCATTTTGAATTAATTTTTTTAATAAAGTGTGAGACTTAGGTTGTTTTCTTTGCCTGTGGATGTCTACTTACTCCAGTACCACGTGTTGCAAAGGCTATCCCTCCTCCGTTGAATTGCTTTTGCATCTTTGTCAAAATCAACTGAGCATATTTGTGTGGGTCTACTCATGCCTTGCCTATTCTGTTCCATTGACCTGTATATCTGTCCCTTGGCCAGTACTATCCAGTCTTGATGACTGTAGCTATATTCTAAGTCTTGTATCAGGTAGACTGACTTGTCCCACATTATTCTTTTTCAGAATTGTTTTAGCTATTCTAGTTATTTTGTCTTTTCGTATAAATTTTAGAATACTCTTGTCTATATAAAAAAATCTTGCTGGAGTTTTGATAGGAATTGCGTTAAACCTGTATATCCATTTGGAAAGCATTGATGAACATTGATATGTTTCCTGTTGTAAGTCTTCTAATCAATGGATATGGTGTATCTCTGTGTGTATTTTGCTCTTTGATTTCTCTCATCAGCATTTTGTAGTTGTCAGCACATAGATCGTGTGCATGTTTTATTAAATTTGTAGCTAAGTATTCATGCCTTTTTTTTAGTGATTGTAAAAGGTATTGTATTTTCTTTTCTTTTTTTATTTTATTTTTTTGAGACGGAGTCTCTCTCTGTCACCCAGGCTAGAGTGCAGTGGCACAATCTTGGCTCACTGCAAGCTCTGCCTCCCGGGTTGACGCCATTCTCCTGCCTCAGCCTCCCGAGTAGCTGGGACTACAGGTGCCCGCCACCACGCCCAGCTAATTTTCTGTTATATTTTTAGTAGAGACAGGGTTTCACCATGTTAGCCAGGATGGTCTCGATCTCCTGACCTTGTGATCTGCCCGCCTTGGCCTCCCAAAGTGCTGGGATTACAGGCATGAGCCACTGCGCCCTGCCAGGTATTGTATATTCAATGTAGGTGTCCATGTATTTATTGCTAGTGTATGAAGATATAATTGTTTTTGTACGTTTATCTTGTATCCTGTGACCTTGCAGAACTTATTTATTAGTTCTAGGAGTTTTTGTTTTTGTTTTTTAGATTCCTTGGGATTTTCTATGTAAACAATTATGTCATCTGTGAATAGGGACACTTTTATTTCTTCCTTTCCAATCTGTAGGCTATTTATTTTCTTGCCTTATTTCACTGTCTAGAACTTCCAGCATTATTTGAATAAGAGTAGTGAGAGTTGACATCCTTGCCTTGTTCCCCATCTTGGGAGGAAATTATTCAATCTTTCACTATTAAGTGTAGTGTTCACTGTAGGATTTTTGTAGATGCTCTTAACCACAGTGAGGAAATTTCCCTGTATTTCTACTTTTCTGAATTTTTATCATGAATGAGTATTGAGTTTTGTCAAATGTGCATCAGTTGATATGATCATGTAATTTTTCTTCTTTAGCCTGTTAATGTGGCAGATTGCATTAATTGATTTTCAAAAACTGAACCAGCAAAACCCACTTGGTCATGATGTATAATTTTTTAAAGATACTGATCAATTCTGTTTGCTAACGTTTTATTGTATTTTTTTGGTGTCTATATCCATGAGGGATATTGGTCTTTAGTAGTGTTTTTTTTTTTTTTTTGTAATTTGTCTAGTTTTGGTACCTTAATAAAATTAACTGGGAAATGTTCTTTCCTGTTCTGTTTTCTGAAGGAGATTGTGTAGAATTGGTATTAATTCTTTAGACAATTCAGAGAATTTTCCAGTAAAACCATCTAGGCCTGGTGATTTCTCATTTGGGAAATTTCAAATTACACGTTTAATGTCCTTAATAGTGATATAGTGTTATTCAAATTATCTGTTTTTTATCGAGTGAGTTTTATTAGTTTGTGTTTTTCAAGGAATTGGTTCATTTCAATTAAGTGATCAGTTTTAGGCATGAGAGTTATTTATAGTATTCCCTTATTATTGTTTTGTTGTCTGCAGGGCTATAGTAATATCTCATCTTTCATTCCTGATAATGGTAATTTTTGTCTTCTCTTTTTCTTTTTCAGTCCTGGTAAAGGTTTGTCAGTTTTATTGATCTTTTCAAAGAACTAGCCCTTTGTTTTATTTTCTCAATTGTTTTGTTCTTTTCAATTTCGTTGATTTCTGCCCTTATCCTTATTATTTTCTTCCTTCTGCTTCCTTAGTTTATTTGCATATTTTCCTTCCACACCAGGTTCTTGAGGGAAATGAGATTATTGATTTGAGACCTTTTCTGTCTTCTAAGGTACAAAGTTAGTGCTATATTCTTTCCTTTTATCTCACTTCAGTTGTGCCTCACTAATTGTGATATGTTGTAGTTTAATTTTCATTCAATTCAATGTATTTTTGACTTCCCTTCAGACTTTTTCTTTGATCCATGTATCATTTAGAAGTTTGTTTTTTTAGTTTCCAAGTGTTTGGGATTTTTCTTGTTATTGATTTCTACTTTGATTTCATTGTCATTATAGAACACTTTCTGTATGATTTCAGTTCTTTTAAATTTGTTGAGGTTTATCTGATGGCTCAGGATATGGTCTATCTTGGTATATGTTCTGTGGGTACATTAAAACGATGTGTATCTGCTGTTGTTGAGTGGAGTGTTCCAAATAAATTATCTAAATATTGATTAGCTCTTTTTGGTTGATAGTGTTACTGAGTTCTTCTATATCCTTACTGATTTTCTGTCTAGTTCTATTAATTGTTGAGATAAGTCTCCAACTATAATTATGGATTTGTCTCCCTTCTTTCATTGCTACCAGTTTTGCTTTACATAATTTGCAGCTCTGCTGTTTGGTGCCTACACATTTAGGATTGCTATGTCTACTTGGTGCACTCACTCTTTTACTATCATATAATGTTCCTGTCTCTGATAATTTTCTTTCCTCTGAAGTCTACTTTATCTGATATTAATATAGCCAGTCCTACTTTCTTTTTCTTTTCTCCTGTTTTCT
Organism: Homo sapiens; assembly: GCF_000001405.40. NCBI lineage: Eukaryota > Metazoa > Chordata > Mammalia > Primates > Hominidae > Homo > Homo sapiens. The sequence continues at coordinate 75,947 of NW_025791797.1, forward strand.
TTGGATTAATGCTCGCATAATATATACATTTTTTGACTTTCAACCTGCCTATATTGCTATATTTGAAGTTTTTTGTTTATTTGTTTTTTTGAGATGGAGTCTCACTCTGTCACCCAGGCTGGAGCACAGCGGCGTGATCTCAGCTCACTGCAACCTCTGCCTCCTGGGTTCAAGTGATTCTCCTGCCTCAGCCTCCCAAGTAGCTGGGATTACAGGCATGCGCCACCACGTCTGGCTAATTTTTGTATTTTTAGTAGAGATAGGGTTTTGCCACGTTGGCCAGGGGTTGGTCTCCAACTCCTGACCTCAAGTTATCTGCCCACCTTGGCCTCTCAAAGTGCTGGGATTACAGACATGAGCCACTGAGCCTGGCCTGAAGTTTGTTTTTTATAGACAGCATATAGTTAGGTTATGCTTTTTAATCTACTCTACCTGTCTTCCTTTTAACTGGTGCATGTAGACCACTTACATTTAATGTAATTACTTATATGTTAGCGCTAAAGGCTGCCATTTTATTTTGGGGGTATTTGTTTGTTACTCTGTTTTTAATTTATTTTCTTTTCTTTCCTGTATTCCTGTGTGTTAGGTGAAATTTTTTAGTATTCCATTTTGGTTTATATAGTGTTTTTGAGTACACCTCTTTGTACTGCAGTTGTCGTGGCTGTTCACATGTGTGTGTATACATACACACACACGTTATCAAAGTCTACTGATGTCATCATTTTACCAGTTCAAGTGAAGTGTAGAAAACTAACCTCCCTTTGTCTTCCATTGGCCTTCCCTATTTATAATATAATTTCATTAAATATTTCTTCTATATACATTTAGAAACACATTAGACAGTATTATAGTTGGGCTTTAACCATCAAATATAGTTTAGAATACTTATGGAAAGGAGTCTATTATGTTTACCCATATTTTTGCTTATCATGTACTTTTTTCTTTTCTGATGTTCCAAGATTCTGTTTTTTATTGTTTCTTTTAGTTTAGAGAACTTTCTTTAGCCCTTCTTTTAGGGTTGGTCTGCTGGTAACAAATTCTCTTAGTTTTCCTTCATCTGAGGATATCTTGATTTCTCCTTCATTTCTGAGGATATTTACTTTGGATATAAGATTCTGGGTTGATGGTTCTTTTCTTTAAGCAACTGAAAAATATTCTGCCACTTTCTCCTGGCTTTTGTAAGGTTAAATTAAATAAGCAGGAGGTTATTACCTTGAGGCTGTTTTCATTCTTTGAGTTTCTACCTAATGAACCACAACCAAACAGTATGTAAACAAATTAAAAGCTAACTTAGAACTATAACAAACAGCCAAGTTTCAGCCAGTCACAGGCAGCTAGCTGATCAGACTATGCCCAAATAAGGCAAATACCTCATCATACCAGGCTTTAATAAAGCAGATGCCTAGCTGTAGCCAATCCAGTGATTTCATGACTTTGCTTCTGTGTCTGGCCTATAAAAGTTCACTTCTCATACTACCGGACACAGGTCTCTGAACCTCTTCTGGTTCTGAGTGCTGCCTGATTCATGAATTGCCCTTTGCTCAAATAAACTTGATTAAATTTGTCTACAGTGTTTCATTTAACAGTGATTTCTGGTGAGAAATCTGCTGTAATTCAAATTGTTTTTCTCTATAGGTTAAGTGTCATTTCTCTCACTGGTTTCAAGATATTTTTTCTTTGTCTTTAGATTTTAGAAGCTTGACTATGATGTGTCTTGGTGTGGATTTCTTTTCTTTTCTTTTTTTTTTGAGACAGAGTCTCGCTCTTGTCACTCAGGCTGGAGTGCAGTGGTGCCATCTCAGCTCACTGCAACCTCTGCCTCTCAGGTTCAAGTGATTCTCCTGCCTCAGCCTCCTGAGTAGCTGGGATTACAGGTGCCCACCACCACACCTGGCTAATTTTTGTACTTTTAGTAGAGATGGGGTTTCGCCATGTTGGCCAGGCTCATCTCGAACTCCTGACCTCAGGTGATCCGCCTGCCTCAGCCTCCCAAAGTGCTGGGATTACAGGCGTGAGCCACTGTGCCCGGCTGGATTTCTTGCTTTATCCTGTTTGGCATTTACTTAGCTTCTTGGATCTGTAGGCTGTCTTTTGCCAAATTTGGAAAGTTTTCAACCACTGTTTCTTTGAGTGCTTTACCAGTCCTGCCTTCTTTTCCCTTCTCTTATTGGAACGCTGATGACATGAATGTTAGGTCCTTTGTTATGGTCCCTCATGTCCCTGCAGCTTTGTTCTTTGTCTTATTTTTTTCCTGCAGTTTATTTTCTCTCTGTTGTTCAGATTGGGTAATTTTCATTGTTCTATCTTCCAGTTCACATTTTTTTTCTCTGTTTCTGCATTCTGTGGGTGAGATATAGGCTAATTTTTAATTTCAGTTATTTTATTTTTCAGTTCTAAAATTTCCATTTAGCTCTTCTTCATATGTTCCATTTCTTTGCTAAGACTTTCTATTTTTCACTGCTTCTAGCATCTTCACAGTGGCTTCTTGGCTTCTTTAGAATCTTTGTCAGATAATTTTAATGGTTCTGTGATCTTGGTGTTGGCATCTACTGATTGTCTTTTCTCATTCAACTAGAAATCTTCCTGGGTCTTGGCATGATTATTGTTTTATTAAAATCTGGGCATTTGGGGCTATGATATTATGAGACTCTGGATCTTAATTACATTGTCTGGTTTTGCTTGTTTTCTTTGACATTGCTCTGGTAGGGGACATGGGGGGCACTGCCTTGTTACTTCCAGGTGGGGGAAGTCTCCTCTCAGACTTCACTGACACTCAAGGTGGGGTCTCATTATTGCTGAGGGGGAGCGAGAGTTCCGGCCATTAGGCCTCCACTGATAACAAAGCACTCCTACCCTTCTCTGGTTGGGAGGGGTATGAGTGCCTTGTTACTGCTCTGCACTTGGCCTCAACTGACACCATGGCGGGGGCAGCCTCATTACCACCAGGTAGTTCTGACTCTCCACTAGGCATCCTCTGACATCACCCCAGTGGGGAGGAGCAAGGGCACCTCATTTCTGCTGATGGAGGCGAAAGTTCAGGCTCCCCACATGCTGTCCACTACCACCAAAGGTGGGTGGGGGGGTGGGTGGGTGTTGTTACTGCCTTATGGGTCTACTTGGCCTTCTCTGACACTGCCCCAGGGGTGAGGAGGGGAGAGGGCTATTGGTTACCTCATTTCAGCCTGGCAAGGGTAGAAGTCTAGGCCCCCATTCATCCTTTGCTGGTGTGGATAAGGGTACGGCCACATTTTGTTTTCTCTGTGGTCTGTGGCTGGAGTAGAGCAGTTATTGTCTAAAAGTTTTCTTTCTTCCTTGGCTGCCCCTTGCTTGGTCCCTTGGCTAGAGAGAGCAGACATTTGCTTGGTCCCTTGGCTAGAGAGAGCAGACATTTGTTGGGGCTTTTTTTTTTTTCTGAGACAGAGTCTCGCTCTGTCGCCCAGGTTGGAGTGCAGTGGCACGATCTTGGCTCACCACAAGCTCCGCCTTCTGGGTTCACGCCATTCTCCTGCCTCAGCCTCCCGAGTAGCTGGGACGACAGGCACCCGCCACCACGTCCGGCTAATTTTTTGTATTTTTAGTAGAGACGGGGTTTCACCGTGTTAGCCAGGATGGTCTCGATCTCCTGACCTCGTGATCTGCCCGCCTGGGCCTCCCAAAGTGCTGGGATTACAGACGTGAGCCACCGCGCCCGGCCTGTTGGGGCTTTTTTTTTTTTTTATGTCCATGCGCATTTCCGTGTTGCTGGCTTCTTCAGCTCCAAATCTTGGACACGTGAGGGAAAAAGAAAACTGAGAGAACCCATGACCTTGTCCTTTCTTGGGTCCCAGGGTCCCAAGCTGGTGTGCCTTCTTCTCTCCACCTTTCAGAGTCTTCTTATGTTTGTGTTCTATATAATGCCCGGGGTTTTAAATTGTAGTTAGTGTGAGGAATAGAGAAAAGTATATCTACCCCATCATCCCTGAAGCAGAAGTCCTCTGTGCTACCCAATTTTAAATCCCTTCTTAGCGGATGTTACTGTCTGATAATCTCTTGTCCTGTTTATCCCTATGGTATCCCAAGTCCCTCAAACACTGCCTGGCACATAGTAGTTGTGTAGTAATTATATGCTAAATGTCGAATGAACATTCAGCAGGTAGCGATGATGGTGAATTGGGGCCTGAATGTCCTGCTTCTGTTTACCTTCAGCCTGTTCTTTGCCTAGATCCTCTTGATTTTTTTGGAGGGAGGATGCTAAAAATCCAGATTTTATATGAAATGTCCTACTTTTGAAATATTGGCAATTAATTTAATTTTTTAAAAAGCTGTGCAGGCCAAAGAAATGTGTGTGATTAATTATTATGATCCACTGCCAAATGGCTGGCACTTTTTTTTTTTCAGAGTCTTAGGTAAGCGTATATTGCTTGGATAGTTCATCTGCAGGTTGCCTTTTTCTCAGTTTTTGAATAGTGGAAGGATGTTACCTGCTCACCCATAGCTTGGCCAGTATTTGCTCAGGAGCTGCATATGGTCTCTGTAGAGATAACTCCTGGCTTTTTGTCTGAGGATGTTCCTGTAAACCTTATTGGGAGGCAGATTGGGTAGTAATGAACTGAGCGCTTGCCCATGTGCTGTTGTGTTAATCCGTTGAAGGAGCTTGGCTGGCAGAATGTGAGAGCTCTGGCATGATCGGGGATAAGGACAGAAAGCTGTCAAGTCATGATACAGATTTGACGATGCTGGGTGGGCAGAGCAGCAGAAGGCAGGCTTTGAAATGGGTGGGCAGCCTCACAAGTGGGCTGAGCAAAGGCTGGCAAGAAATGAGGTGGAGGGAGTGCTTTGCTTGTAGTGACCTATTTAGGAATCTTTTGAGAACAGGATGCAAGAATAGGTATTCTCTCGAATGTTATAAGGCAGATATAATCCCCTTCTTGGTGGTCTCATTGAGCCTTAGCTCAATGTAAAAGTGATGCATCTTAAAACCTATTTTAATAAATTTTATATAAATATAACTATATATAAAAAACTATAATTTTATATAAAAATTCGTTTTAAAAAAGTTAACTAGGCTGGGCACAGTGGCTCACGCCTGTAATCCAAGCACTTTGGGAGGCCAAGGCAGGCAGATCACATGAGGCCAGGAGTTCGAGACCAGCTTCGCCAACATAGTAAAACCCTGTCTCTACTAAAAATATAAAAAATTAACCGGGCGGGGTGTTGCGTGCCTGTAATCCCAGCTACTCGGGAGGCCGAGACAGGAGAATCGTTTGAACCTGGGAGACAAAGATTTCAGTGAGCCAAGATCACGCCACTGTACTCCAGCCTGGGTGACCGAGTGAGCTTCTGTCTCAATAAATAAATCAATAAATAAAATAAAATAAAAAATAAAAAGTTAACTAGCATTCCTGAATTTTACCCATCCTGGATCTCTGCTATTCACATTGGTGTCACCAAGTGCATTTTCCAAGAAAAGACAGTCATTGCCTAAAACAAATTGTCACCTGTTGTATTGAAATTATTTTGGTTACTTCCTGTGCCTGTCTACCAGATACTGCTTATACAAGTCTTGAGGAATGCTTGCTGAGTGAATGAATGCTTGCATTCTTTTCTCATGACTTCGCACTTACAGCGCACAGAAATCTGAGGTCTGTAGACTCCTGGTTGCTGAAGAGTTGGGATGTTGCACCAAAATTAAAATTTTCTTTATTGTATTAGTCTTTGACTTTAACTCTGGCATCTACTTTGTTTGGAGCTTTGTCTTTTATAAATAAATAATTAGGAGTAAGGATTTCTAAACATTTTATCTTCATATCCAGGACAAATGTTTTGCAGTTAGTTAATCAACCATTACGTGAGTATTGATCATAATACTAATTAGATTTATTTTGCAGATGTGGTGGATGCTATACAAAGTGTTTTAGTGGAAAGGTCTCATTTAATCCTCATAACTATCAAAAAATAGTATAAACAGTCAAATAGTATGTCAAATAGTATAACTAGCAAAAAGTAGATTAAAATAGTATTATTTTTATCCTCCTTCTACGAAGGAGGGAATTGAGGCTTGGCAAGGTCAAGTAAAATTTGCTGAAGTTTATACAGTTGGAAAGTGATCTTCCCAGGACTCAAGAGCAGGCTTGTGTGATTCCAAGGCAAGTACAGTACAGTATTTGTTACCATCGCATGAGATAAATATTTGTGTTTGTATTTGTCACCATTGCATGAAATAAATCTGTTGCTAATTCTCTAACCTTTTCTCCATGATTCTGAATCCTTATATAAATTTGAGGTGCTTTCATCATTCATTGGAGCCAGATGTCACCTGTTTACACTCTGTATTACATAGAATATTCTAAAACAGGGGTTGGCAAACATTTGGCCTGTGGGCCAGATATGGCCCACTGCCTGTTTTATTGTACAGCTTGTGAGCTAAGAATGGTTTTTATAATTTCTTCTAATGGTTGAAAAAAATCAAAAGAATAAAAATATTTAAAACATGTGATAATTACATGAAATTCAGATTTCAGTGTTCATACATAAAGTTCTATTGGAACACAGCCATGCTCATTTACCTACTTGTTGTCTCTGGCTGCTTTTGTATTACAAGGGCAGAGTTGAGTAGTTGTAACAAGAGACTGCATGGAGGGCAAAGCCTGAAATACTACTATGTGGTCCCTACAAAGAAGTTTGCCAACAGTTTTTCTGGACTATAAGTCTGGGCAATTGAAGTATGGCGGTATGCATGTTTCTGAAGCCCTGGATAGAACACTAGAAGCGTTTTGTCTGAATATGCAGTTTGGTTGTGCATTTTTGGAGGATCCCCAATGCTCAACAGTTCTTTTTCATCCTGGTGACCTGGGGAGGGCCTCACTCTGGAATACATTCTTACTTTGTAGTTCAGGAGCTACAAGTACCAAAAAGTCACCTCTGCTAATGCCTTACTTGGCCATCACACACCAAACTCTTCTATCCAGATATTATAGTACTGGGGAAGAATGACTGTGGTATGTTTGCTTGGATGGGGACTCTCATTTACTTGGAGGGAGGAACTCAAGAAGCATTTTTGGGTTGCAGGTTGTCTGGCATTTTGCTGTGCATTTCATTGTAATTTCTCACCAGGGAAACACTGCTTGCTCTCCTGGCTGGGTTTACTTCATTTCTATCATCTTTTCTTTCTTGTTTTAATAATTCCAACTTCATCTTGCCTTCTCCTTTGCTTCATTTTGAAAGAGTCCCAGTTTGCTTTTCTTGCCAATTCTCTACTTACTTTTCCCAGAGCTCAAAAATTATTCTTGGGGGTGATGTCATTTTCATGTTTATCTTTCTTCTCTCACATGACTTAATCAAATAAGTATGTAGATTATAATTTGTGAGCTGTGTTCTGAGGGAATTAATTGATCATCATCATATTCTTTTAAAAGGACTGTGGCCAGTTTTAGCCTCGGTTAACTTCAGTCAGTTTGTACAATAGTAATGGAATGTTTTGGCGTCTATTGGAGCAGGCGTGGACCATATATGTTCTATAGGCTTTTCAGAAATTCTATGCAGAAATTATGTGAACCAGATGGTACCCTTTTGATTTGCCAGACATGCATACTTAAAGAAATGTGGGGCATTTATTCTCCTTAGGAGACTTAGAGGGGGTTCTTTGGGAATGTAAATCAGCCAAAATTGTCCTAATTGAAAAATTCTTTGGAGTTTGTCATCAAAATAAGGAGTGTACTATCAGAAGACCGCATAGATTTTGCGGGAACAAATATTACTGGATTTATTTGATTTACTTCTCTGAGAATGAAAAGCCCCATAGACTTAGGTAAAAGAGGATATAATCCATGAGATGCTTTTATTTTGATAGGGCCATGGATTTGCTCACTTAGGCCTCTTTGGGGACACTTTCAGCAGTGAGAGTATGTGGATGTGAGGTGGGTGAGGGAGATGGCATGGGTCCCAGGGAATGAACAGACAGTGAGGGCCAGTTCATTAAACCGAAAGCTGAAGGGACAGGGTCTAGTCATTCTGAGAAGACCAGACTTTAGGGGAACTTGCAGATCATTGCAGGGGCTTAACCTACGGGAGGGCAACTGTTAGATTTCCTCTGAGCAGGTAGAAGGTGTACATGAGTCATAGTTACATCTAAGCACAGAGATTTGGGATTCAGCAAGGATTGCAGAGGAGGAGATAGTGTCTTTCTTCAGGTAATATGAAGAGCACAGTGGAACTGGAAGCCCCAGCCAGATAGGGAGAGCTGAGTCTGGTTGGCTGTCTGCACTGGCACTTGCTGGGGACTTTGGGGAAATGTCTTTCAGTGCTTCAGTTTCCTTATCTGCAAATTGGAGTTAATACCTCAAAGGGCTGATGGGTTTGTGCCGCTTACAAATTATTTGGCTCAATTCTAACTTGTAATGTTGTGCTGAAGCTTAGAAATTATGTATCTCAAGTGCTTTATATATGATATATGGTTTAATTAATGGGAGCTTTAGTATAGTAATCATTTAGTATACTGGTTAAGAGTTGAGTTCAGAATCAGAGAGACCTGGCTGGAGTCGCAGCTCAGCCATTTTGGTAGCTGTGTGATGGTGAACGAGTCACATATCCTATGTAAGCCTCACTCTCCTCTTCCGTATACTAGGGTAAAGAGCAGCTCCAACACGGTGGACTCAACTTTGGGGATTAAATGAGCTAATGCACATGAGGTGCTCAGCACAGGGCTTGGCCCATAATAAACGTGTAATAAATGCTAGCTGATAACTTTCTCCACTGACCTCCTGCCTGGAACAGAAAATGAAATTCTGCTTCTTAAAACCAAATGTTATAAGCTTCATCCTTATAAACCAACTGCCTTTAGAAATGTCCTCTTTCTACTCTTCTCTGGGTTCCTGGGGAGCAGAACGCCTGCTTGGGTGATGACTTATGTCTCTCAAATCCTCTCTACCCCTCCATGATATCACACATTTCCGTCGTACGGCATGTACTAAGGTCTGCACTTAATTTATGATGTAAGGGCCAGGTGCGTATTTTCAGCCTTCAAAGGCTGAGTATATTTGGGATTGACTCTGAAGGGGGAATCCCCTGTTGTTTCATTCATACAGTAGGTATAGCCTGATGGTTAGAGTGTGGGTTAGTATATCTGGGCTGCGTAGCTTGCTTTCTTGGTTGGCACTCCACTGTAAGCAGACCTCGATTTGTGTAGAGGTAGAGCGTGTGCATGTGTGTGTGTGTGTGTGTGGTGTTGATGTTGTTGTTCTTGCAGTGATCCCGGGAAAACTAGCTGGTGAGTAGGGAGAGTGACGGGGAGGAGATGGAAGCCAATCAAGGTGCACTATTAATCAAGTTAGTTACCATGGATGGTAACTGGAGCTCATTCTTCCTAGGGAACTCTCACAGACAGCATAGAAGCCACCTGAGAGTTATCCCAGCAAAGGCAGGAAGCTGGGGGATTTATCTACCAACTGCCCTGCCCATCATTGGCTGAGGACTGTTTCTGGGACGTTAAGTCCCTGGCACTTCCAATTTGCCTGGCACATGGGCTAATGTTCCTTTGGTTGGGGGTAAAAAGGCCTCCAGACTGAAGGTTGCAGGTGTTTGTGGTAACAGACTTGATCTTGTAGAATTGAGTCCTCGGGGCCATCAGTGGGGCACTGACAGCATCTGCTCTCCTGTCTAAGGTGGAAGGCTGTCTCTGCCACCTACCAGCTCTGTGATCTTGGCCACACTACTTATTATGCCTGAGTTTCCTCATCTGTAAAATGAAGATAATAATAATACCTCCTTCCCAGACTTGTGATGGGAATGAATTGAACTGATATGTGTAAGGCACTTGGTAGAATGCTTGCCATGTCGTAATTGCTAAATAAATGCTAACTTTTATTATTTTGTGATTATTCATTGAGTTTCTTCAGGTTCTTTTTCAGTGTAATAAAATTCACCATGTTTACTGTGACATAAGATGAAGATTTTTTGGATGGAAACTAATTAGTTGTTTCTTTGGGCATCAGATTATTTCCCCAATTTTTATTTATTTGAAAACTGTTACAACAAAAACGCAATCTGTTTTAGGGTTAAAAAAATCCTCTTTAACTCTATCACCCTTCAATTATTACTTTTATCTTTTTGTTCCTTTGGAGTCTGTTGATATAAATTCATATTTCTACACTGTTATAATAAATAATGGCAAAACTCAGTTTTTATCACTGTTTGTTCTAAAAATAAAATAGCAACCCTGTACCCAGCATACTTTACAGGTTTTTTAAAGTTCTCACAGTTTATGAAGAAGATGCCGCCATCCCAATTTCACAGATGAGAAAACTGAGGCATGCAGACATTATGCAACTCTTTTCAAATCACACAGTTGTTACCTTGTGGGGCCAGCATGAGCCTGGGAGGATTGCAAGGCTCGGGCCTCCCCTCTGCTCTGTGTCTCTCACGGTGGCTGAGGTAGAATACAGCTTGGAAGTTCAGCCAGCCCTTAGTATCCATGGGTTCCACATTTGTGGAGTCAACCAAAAGAAGGTCAGAAAAATTTGAGAAAAACACCAAAACATCTGGATTGAACATGTGCAGACTTTTTCTTGTCATCATTCCCTAAACAATACAGAATAACAACTATTTATTTAGCATTTACATTATATTAGCTATTATAAGTAATCTGGAGACAATTTAAAGTGCTGTATATGCAAAAATGTGCATAGATTATATGCAAATATGACTCCATTTTACATCAGAGGCTTGACCATTCAAGGATTTGTGTATCCCATGGGAGTCCTGGAACCATTCCCCCATGGATACCGAGGGGTAGCTGTACATTTATTGGTGCCTGCCTTCTTGCCTGGTGCCTGTTTGTTCTTTTTGGATTAAGAGAAATAATTCCTGGCTGTGCACGGTGGCTCACACCTGTAATCCCAGCACTTTGGGAGGCCGAGGCGGGCGGATCACCTGAGGTTAGGAGTTCGAGACCAGGCTGGCCAACATGGCGAAACTTCCTCTCTACTGAAAATACAAAAATTAGCGGGCGTGGTGGCAGCCACCTATATTCCCAGCTAGTCGGGAGGCTGAAGCAGGAGAATCGCTTGAACCCGGGAGGCGGAGGTTTCTGTGAGCCGAGATCCTGCCACTGCACTCCAGCCTGGGGGATAGAGAGACATTCTGTCTCAAAAAAAAAAAAAAAAAAGAGAAATAATTCCTGTCACAGGGAGCGGAAACATGCTGAAATAATTATTTGCTGAAATTGTTTTCCAACAGATGGCTTTAGGAATCAGGAGATTTGACACTAGGACGTTAGGTGGGCAATGGATTTCTAGTAATTTGTCAGCTTTGTTTTATTGAGGTGGAGCTGCATTTAAATTGCTACTTCTCCCTGCTGGTTTGGTTTGGTTCTCCTCAGAAATGGCTTACTTTATTTGTACTTGACTTGAGTTACATTAAAGCAGGCAAAAATATTTCTTAAGAGCTGAAATTTCAGGTTGGCAAAAGGAAACAATGCAATCTTTAATCATATATCTGAAAGAGCACAGTGGTGCATTATGATGGCAGAACTTCATTCCCTAACCCTGTACAAAGGTTTTTAGAGACTAAAGGATTGATCGTTTTTTTCCCCTGACAAAACACCTCTTTTGACATGTGCAGAGAAATATGTAATTTGGGTTGCATTGAAAGAAAGCTACTCTTGCTATTTCTCTCTCCAAGAGGCTGTGCTCTTGGAGTTAATATTTTCTACTGGAGACAGTTCTACTTGAAAGGCAAATATTACAAAAAACCACTAGAGAGGCATTGAAATCTGTTGTGGGAAGGAGTCATTTTAAATTTTCTTATTAAAAGAAGATGGCACTAAAGAGGGGGGAGTCATTTCCAATTTATTACTTAACAGAAAGATGAGCAATTTGTCCTCTCAGCAATAGTGTTCTGTCAGATAACCTGTTTGCCATTTCCTTGCCAACACTGGGTCTTGCCATTCATTTGAAATGTTTGCTCTTGTGATCTATTAAAAAATTTGTATATATTGATTTTACATATGTGCTGATCATTTGCATTTCTTTTGTGAATTGCCTTTTGATATTTTCCATTTTTAAATTGTCATTTTCAAATTTACCTTTATATATGAAATATATTAATCCATCATCATATATCTTGTAATGGTTTATTTAGCTGATCCTTTGTGGTTGTTGCAAGCTTTTTTGTGTATTGTTTTACAGTTTGCAGTTTTTGTCACAAATTAAATCCATTTTTTGGGATATAAAGTAGGCTTTACTTTTTATATATTCTGTTCTTTTCTATACCGGTGGAAATCTTGTTATTAATGTATACTGCCTCCTTAGGGTTTGTTTTCCAAATCTCTTTTCTTTCTACAAGCATATTAGTCTGTTGAGCCTTCTTAAGTTTTTTTTTTTTTGATTCAAAGTGTCGCTCTTGTTGCCCAGGCTGGAGTGCAATGGCGTGATCTCGGCTCACTGCAGCCTCCACCTCCCAGGTTCAAGCGATTCTCCTGCCTCAGCCTCCGGAGTAGCTGGGATTACAGGCGCGCACCACCACACCCGGCTAACTTTTTGTATTTTTAGTAGAGGCGAGTTTTCATCATGGCCAGGGTGGTCTTGAACTCCTAACCTCAGGTGATCCACCCACCTCAGCTTCCCAGAGTGCTGGAATTACAAGCATGAGGCACCGCGCTCGGCTGAGCCTTCTTAAGTTTTGAGAGAATTTTCTTAAGTTTGTTTTCTAAGTCTCTCATTTGGTTTCCTTTGATACGCAAGCTAGTTTTTCTATGCTATACCATTTTTAATGTGAACAGTTCCGTTCTAGGAATAGAAATCTTGATCTCAATTTGTCCTTCTTCCAGGGGGCAATGCCATCAAGAATCCAACCTGGAAATCAGAATCAGTGCACTGTTTTGACTTTTCCTTCCCTTGCCTTCTGTGAGTTTGTTTCTTATGGTCATACTTACTTTGATTTCTCCAATTGGTTCTCTTATTTTAAATGACTGAGTTTCTTCATATGTTGGATTATTTTCTCCTATGCTCTTCAAAGAAAGTGGCTCTAGTGTGTCTAGTTTCAGCAGGTGAGATATAGTCTGTTGTCAGCCCAGACAGGGTGAGAAGGGAGAGCTTCAGATTGATAGTTTAGCTTTCTGAAAGGAAGGTTGCAAATGGAGGGCCTTGCTCTAGACCAGTGCGGCCCAGTGCAAACTTTCTGTGCTGATGGAAATGTTCTTGGATCTGAGCTGCCTGGTATGATAGCCACTCACCATGCATGACTACTGAGCATTTGAAATGTGGCTAGTGCAAGTGAGATGGATTTCTAAACTTTTATTTACTTTTAATTAATTTTTATTAATTAATTAAAACATAAATTTAAATGACCACATGTGGCCAGTGGCTATGTATTAGATAGCACGGTCATCATGAGGACGGCTTCCTGTGTGATTTGTTTACTGTTGTGTTCCCAGCCCCAGTACTTGTCACACAGTAGACACTCAATATTCATAGAAATTAATGGATGCAGCAAGGGGAAATCTCTGGTAGGGCTTCTTTCCTTGCTATGCCAAGAGTTCCTTTTCTTTCTGTGGGTCTGCCCAAAGTTAGAGAAGTCGCATTACCCTCATCAGTAACTACCACAAGTGCTGTTGGTAGGGGCATCTGTAGGATTCCCATCCCCATGGCCCTTTTTATGTCCTACTGTGTGTGCCAGTCTGACCAGTGAGATCAATCCATCCTTGCCTTAGGAATTCCTAAGAATTTCAGAAATTTCTCAAAGCTGCTGCCAGGAAGTTGGGAGTTGTCCTAGTTTGTAAAGCTGATCTAGATACTTCTCAGTTTTATAGTCCTATGGCCATTCCAGGGAGAATGTTGGTGCTAGAGAGAAAAGAACTGAGATCTGTGTTTTGAATCAAGAGCCTATTGTCATCTTTCTGTGTTTTAATGGCTTACTATATCTTGATGCAAAAGCTTCAGTGTTTACGAGGCTCCACTACTGATTGTATCTTTCAGCAATCTCAAATGACCCTCTTTAATCCCATTTTCTGCCTTCTTCTTATACTCAGAATGATACAAATATTACCCCCAATTTAATTTTTTCCTCACATTTGCCCTCATCTTTTGGTGTAATACTATGGTGTTACTTTAAAGGGTTTTTAAGAAGCAGGTAATTTATGTTTGAACCAATTTTGATTGTCTTTGCCTATTATTTATTGAGGAAATCGTACTATTGACACAGTGGTATGTCTGGTCATCTGCCATTTCGTTTTCCTTGTTTTTTGCTTTCAGTCCTGTCTTTACATTATCATTACATTTACTTTTATCTTGTACTTTTGTTTGGATCATAGTTATGCCATTTCTAATTCTAGTAGTGGATCCTATTAAGTTTTTAAAAAATCCATATTAAATCTATATTTATGAAATTGCTGAAGTCAGTAAAAATAGTTTTTTTTTTCACTCTCCCTGATAGACAATCCCACATTTCTTTATTTTGGTTGTTTTTTTGTATCTCTTTTCTTTTCTTCTATTTCCTGAGACATTTGGCAATCTAATCTAGAACTATTCAAGTCAGCATTTCACAAATAACCTCAGTGATTTTCTTTTGTGTCTCTCTTCATAATCCTGTTATGAATTATGCATGCATTTATATTAAACTTAGTTGATGCTCACTTTGCCATTTTGAGTTCTTAGGTTTTCCAGCTCTCTCTGACATGAAGCACATTTTCAAATACGTTCTTCAAGAAGCATACACCATATGTTTTCTGAGACTTTGCATATTTAAAACATTTTTTTTGGTTGCCTTCTGTTGCGAACAACAATGTGTCTTAATTTAGTAGTTTTAAAGTCACAAGTGTTTAAATATTAAAATGTAGATATTGATGCATTATCTTCCAAAACCTCCTGTTGGGGGTAAATATTGAGGCCATCCTGATTTGTATTCCCTTGCAGATAATCTCTCTGTCTCCTATTTTCTCACCTTTGAATTCTGATGACTCTTTATGTGTCCTTGAGACTAAAAAATGTCACCAGAACATGTCTATCAGTGAATCTCTTTCCATTAATTTTGCTTAATATATGATGAACCATGCAAACTGAAATCTGTTTTCAACTGAGGAAAGTGTTTTTTTCTGGTAAGTGCTTATTTATTGTTTGGATACTATTTGTGTGGGTTTTATTTTGGGATGAAATAGTTTTACATGGGTTGGATGTTTCTTCTGTGTTCCTTCATATATTAATGTAGGTGCCTCAACAAGTCTGGGGAAGAATAATGAAAAAGTGTTGTGTTCTTTGCGATGATTTTTGTTTTTAGGTAATTTTTTGCTCCATTTTTGAAGTATTTCTCCTCTTTTTCCATTGGCTGCATTTTTTAGCATTGTAAAGTGTGTGAAGTTTATTTATTCATTTATTTTTTTGAGGTGGGGTCTTGCTCTGTTGCCCAGGCTAGAGTACAGCAGCATGATCATGGCTCCCTGCAGCATCCACCTTCCAGGCTCAAGCAATCCTCCTGCCTCAGCCTCCCAAGTCGCTGGAACTACAGGCGTATGCCACCACACCTAGCTAGTTTGGTTTTTGTTGGCATTTTTTTTTTATAGAGTCAGGGTCTCCCTATGTTGTCCAGGCTGGTCTCGAACTCCTGGGCTCAAGCCATCCTCCCGCCTTGGCCTCCCAGAGTGCTGAGATTACAGGCATGAGCCACCATGCCTGGCCGGAAGTTTACTTTTTACTGCCTACCATGTGGATTTGTTTTTTTAAATTTCTATTATGAGGAATTTTATACATACAGAAAACTAAAGAGAAAAATACTATGAATACCTCTACCCCATCACATAGATTAACAGGTATTAACATTTTGCCATCTTTGGTTTATCTTGTTTTATTCCTGAAGCATTTTAACAGACCACGTAACATTTCATTCCCAATACTTCAGTATGCACATCTGAAAAATAAGGGCCTTTCTCTTAGGCCTTTCTCTAACCATGCTACCACTATCACATCTAACAATGATTTTTTATGTCCTCCAATGCCCAGCCTATATTCAAATTTCTCTAATATTCTCCAAATGTCTTTTATGGCCAGCCTGTATGAATCTGGATCTAACCAAAGACCATACATTGTATTTGATAGTTATGTCTCTTATACTGCTTTTTTTTAAATTCAAATTTACATAACATAAAGTTAGCCATTTTAAGATGAATAATTCAGTGGCATTTAGTAGTCACAGTGTTGTACAATGATCATCTCTATCTAGTTCCAAAACATTTTCATCACCCCAAAGTAAAACCTCATACCCTTTAAGCAGTTACTCCTCATTTCCCACCCCACCCATCTCCTGGGAATCACTAATTATCCTCTGCCTCTGTGGATTTACTTATTCTGGATATT
Source organism: Homo sapiens (assembly GCF_000001405.40). NCBI lineage: Eukaryota > Metazoa > Chordata > Mammalia > Primates > Hominidae > Homo > Homo sapiens. The sequence continues at coordinate 92,266 of NW_025791797.1, forward strand.
TTATATGAATGGAATTGTACAATATGTGACCTTTTGTGTTTTGCTTCTTTTACTTAGCACAGTGTTTTTGATATTCATCCATATTGTAGCATGTATCAGTACTTTATTCCTTTTCATGGCTGTATAATATTCCATTGTATAAATATACCATAATTTGTCTATTCATTTATCCTTTGTGGACATTTGGGTTTTTCTCCCTTTTGGTTATTGGGAATAGTGTTGCAATGAATACTTACCCTAGTCAGCTCAGACTGCTATAACAAAATACTGGAAACTGGGTGGCTTAAATAACAGATGTTTATTTTTCAGTTATGGAGGCTGGGAAGTCCAAGATCAAGGCACTGGAAAATTTGGCTCTTGGAAAGGGCCCGCTTCCTGGCTTGCAGATGGCTACCTTCTCCCTGTGTCTTCACATGGCAGAGAGAGAGAGAGAGAGCACTCTGGCCTCTCTTCCTCTTCTTTATAAGCACACCGGCCCCATCATGGGGTCCCTACACTTGTCCCTCTTCTAAACCTGATAACCTCCCCAAAGCCCTGCTTCCAAATACAACCACATTAGGAGTTAGAGCTTCAACAAATGAATTTGGGAGGACATAAACATTCAGTCCATACAATACTCATGTGCAAGTATTTGCATCATATTTTCAATTATTTGGGGTATATACCCTGAGTGGAATTGCTGGGTTATTCTTAAATGTTTTAATCTTGAAGAATTTTTAACCGGTTTACCTGTTTTTTTTTTTTTTTTATCTTTCTTGTTCCTTCTTGTTCTTTTCCTGCAATGACATCAATTTGATAACATGACTAGTTCAGTCGTCCCATCTTTTGGCTTGGCCTGATTGTTTCCTCTTGTTCTTCTTCAGTATGTTCCTCTGTGCCTTGCATGTCTTATAATTTGGGTACCATGTTTTTATTTTCTCTGCAGTCTCTTTTTTCCGTCTGTTTACTGTTTGATATATTTGCCTCTTCTGTTTGGTATGTGGACTATTTTGGGGGAATGTGCCCTTATTTTCTGTTGTGAACCCAAAGAAGTTTCTATACTTTCCTGCAATAAATCTATGTGCAAGAATGTTTTTGCTCTTTTTTTTGAGGAACGGTTTCTGTCCTCTTGTGCTTCAAATTCTGGTCATAGGCATCAGACTGTTGTGTTTCTCCTTCCTTATCTGTGAATAGACCTAGTGTTGGCACACAGATGTGATACACTGGCCATTTGCAGTGTACCACTGACCCTGGCACAATGCCTTCTCATATCTGAGGCCAGGGGCTGAGCTGGTGGCACCACCAATGGGACATTCCTAGTCTGTGGCCCCATCCCAGGAAGCTCTTTTTGGCTGACATAGTTTTTCTCTTCTCTCACTATCCATTTTTTTTTCTTTCTTTTTTTAATTTTCTTTTCTTTTTCTTTTCTTTTTTTTTTTTTCCTGAGACGGAGTCTTGCTCTGTCGCCTGGCTGGAGTGCAGTGGCGCGATCTCAGCTCACTGCAACCTTCGCCTCCTGGGTTCAAGTGATTCCCCTGCCTCAGCCTCCCGAGTAGCTGGGATTACAGGCACATGCCACCAAGCCCGTCTAATTTTTTTTTGTATTTTAGTAGAGATGGGTTTCACCATGTTGGCCAATATGGTCTCGATCTCCTGACCTCGTGATCCGCCTGCCTCGGCCTCCCAGAGTGCTGGGATTACAGGTGTGAGCCACTGTGCCCAGCCTCTTCTCTCACTATCCGTTTCTGACAAATGAAAAAAATGGATGTGGGTCCTGCAGAACCTGAGGCCAGCTCTAACCAGTCTTTCATGGATGCATACACCTGCCTGCAGGCGCTGCTCCCAGGTGAGGAGGTTGCATGCCTCAGAATGCAGTTAGCCTGGGCATCTGTGCACCAGGCTGAGTTCTTGCCTAGGAGCTGCAGATGTGTGATGAATGCAGAACTAAAGTTATTGAGGAGACCAAGAGACTTGACCTGGGAGTGCTTATGTGGTTTGGATGGGATTCCTTGAGGCTTTTGTGGAGGAGCAGTCCGTGGAGTCAGGGTGTCCGTGGGTCACTGTTAGCCCACATGGTGCTCTTTGTATGAGTTAGAAAAATACGCCTCTTCCTCGACACACTTTACTTTCATGCGGGGGAAAACTCTCCTATCCTGAATTGGTTAGAGCTGGTGATTTGACAGCCGCCTGCTGGAAAATTGTATGATAAGTACACAAATCTGCTTCAGGAGGGTGTGCTCCCTTCCATGTGGCACAGTTGTCACCCCCTGCCCAGCTGCCTCTGCAGCCACTTTGGGTTTTGTGGCTGATGTTCACTAGCCACTGACTATACATCTGAATCTCTTCCTGTCAGTAGAAGATCCTTCTGATTTGGGCATATGGTCAACTTTTTATTTTTCATAACTCTTGCTACCCCTTTCCTCCATTTTTATTAGTTTTCATGGGGACTTAAGTGAGCATCCAGGCACCGTTGCTGATCTGTCTCCCTGACCCAGAAGACCATGTTGGCTTTTGGACAAAGATCCTGGATAGTTCTGAAGCTATGATGCTGTGCATCAGGGTTGAATGGGGGTCCTGAGAGTCCAGCATTGCTTGTGCTAGCAGCTCATAGCAGCTTAACTTGTGTAGCAGAATGGGTGCCTTGTAATAGATAGCCATCTGCTTTTCAGTTTATGGAAGGCTTCGTTTCTTCTGACGGCATTCTGACGGGCAGGTGTTACATCTTTTGTGACTCCCAGGTTATGAGGCTGGTTCTTGGGTTTGACTCTGGGAATCATGCTCATTGATCTGCTTTTCCTAATCATGTCAGTGAATACCTACACGTGAAGAAAACTCAAGCTGCACCATAAAGCTAAAGGAAGAAGGTAAAAACCACCTCAAATTTCCGTGATACAGGAAAAACTGCTGTGACCCTCCACTTCTCCATCCTGGTCCCATTTCCTGTTTCCACCCTCATCCAGTTTGCTTTTCCAGAATCTTTACTGCTTCCTTTGATGGGGGTAACGACTCTCCCTAACCACCCCACCTCCCGTGGGAACTGTTACCCCATCCATAGCCAGCATTTGACAGCCCAAGGGCAGGTTTATGTATTTGCAAACGACATTATTCTCCTATAACTAAAAATGTAAAGATCCTTTCGTATTAAATAGTCCAGTGTCCCTAGGGCACAGTGCTTTTGGATTTCAGCCTGCTTCTGCTTTGTGATCTTGGGAAAGTCACTAACCCCTCTGGGCCTCTATCTCTATTTAAAAGGAAGAGGCTGAACCAAAATGCCCTTTCCAGGTGAAAGCAAGTGGGGAAGTTAGACCTATTTAGGGAATAGAGAACAGCCTGTGGGACAGGTTTGTGCTTATTGTTGGTGCAGTTTAGTAGGAATTGTCAGAAGCCGATAGATAGATAGATAGATAGATAGATAGATAGATAGATAGATAGATAGATAATAGATAGATAGATAATAGATAGATGATTGATAGATGATAGATAGATGACAGATAGATGATAGATTATAAATTGATGTTTGATAGATCAATAGATAGATAAAAGGGAACCAAATACTGTCTCTGTGGCCTGGGCATTTTTGCCAGGCAGGGGGAATCACATCGTTGGTGACAGAGTTGTATGGCCCACAGAGGCCAGCTAAGAGATTGGGAGAAGGTTGTTGACCTTGTGTGGGAACCAACCTCAGGGGGATGGATGAGGTTGGGGCCCCTTAGGGGTCTCCGCTCTTGGCGTCTGGACTCCCCTTCTCTGTGGGTCTAAGCTGGCTTCTTTCTGCTGTGGGATTGTGTTAACACTGCCCCTTTAGTGATTTTGCGTTTTTTTTTTTTTTTTTTCCGCTGACCCTCATTAGCAGAGGTTTTGCTCTTACACACTGCATTGTCCCAGTGACTTCTTATATGCCAGTCACTGGTGGGTAAATGCCAGAGGGACACTGAGGGCTCATCAGGAGGACTCAGCCTCCTCTCAGAGAGGAAGCCAAGGTGGCCAGATTACAATTTGTTTTTTCTGGTAAATGTCATGGGTAGGAAATGTTATTTGTGAGTCTGAAATATCCACCAAGGGCAGAGGGTGCTCTGAAGACAAACAGGAATTGAGTGCTCATTTTCTTGGCCCTGAAGTGATGTGTTGCCTCCGTGATGTCACAGTTGGCCCCCCTACAACCTAGTTCAGCCTGGCACAGTATATGACGGTGGTCACTGGCTTTCTATCTGGGCAGGATAGCACCTGCACATCAGGGAAAACAGACCAAGCTCTCACAAGGGCAATATCATCCTTTGGAATTTGTTCACTTTTAATTACAGGAGCTTTTAAGTGAATAAGACCATTTTCCCAATGAGCAGTGTCATAAACATTGAGGACTCTCTTAAATCAGAAGATGAATGAATGGATGGAATCTTTGCTGGGATAATATGCAATCAAGCTAATAGGTGCCTTACCTGGACCTCCCAACAGGTAATAAATGGGAAAATGTTAAGGGGGAGTGGTTGGGGAAGAACAGTAAACTTGGAAAAGCCATTCTCATCAGCACAGAAGCACTGAAAGAAGGTACAGATCTTCATGGTGAAAAGTGGGAAGCCTTGTATTAGCAAGGAGTGATGATTGACAAAGACCTAAGGTCTAATGTCTAATGTGTGCTGGGGAGAGTCCGAGAATCCTGTGGGTACAGAGAAAAGTAAGACATTAGAAGTCCTTATGTGTGTTTTGGAGACAGAGTCCCTAAGCTCACCTGGTCAGTAAGTGTCTCTTGCATGAGTGAATTGGACAGTGCGGACTCCATTCTGCAAAAAGCTTGATTGGAGGCAAGTGGAAAGGACCTTGGAAAATTAACCAAAATGCAATGAAGCTCTTTCCTAAATACCAATGGCTAAAGAACTTCAACATGTCAGTGTTGTATGAAATACTTCATTGGACTGAATTGTCCTCTGAATTTAATGTTAGCATTCCCTCAAGAGTCTTGGCTTTCTTTTTTTGCCTGCACTGTCTGCATTACAGTGCAGTAAGGCAGACTTTTCTTGTGAAGTGGTATGGATAAGATTTAGAGGATCTGAACACCTCTCTGCTTTGGAATTCGTGGTAGCTAAAGTGTAAATAGATTCACACATCTGACATTCAAAGTCAGAAATTCACGTGGTCTTGCACTGTTCTGGTGTGCAAGTTGGTTTCAGAAGGGGCTTGGTGTTTGAAAGGTGCTGTAAGGAGTGGAAGAATCGATGCCATCTTCAGATGTTTGTTCCAAGTCACAAGCAAACCCTGCTTCAAATCTGCTGGCAAGGCCTTTGAGTCACACAGAGCCTGACTTGTTCACTTTGTGTTTGTCCAGCTTCCATGGCATGTGGAAGAAGTTGGTCGGCTTGGGAATATGCTGAATCAAGCAACATAACCAACCAATGAGAGGGGGCTTAAGCTTCTTTCAAGCCGGGCAAACCTTTAGTTGTTAGAAGCCCATACTTCCTATGTGGTGGTATAGGAAGGACACAGACTTACCTGTAGGTTTCTTGCCAAAAAATAGAATTGCGATCTGATCAATCTTCCAACTATTTATAGAAAGTACAGGCCAGGCTTGGTGGCTCACGCCTGTAACCCCAGCACTTTGGGAGGCCTAGGCCGGCAGATCACGAGGTCAGGAGATCAAGACCATCCTGGCCAACATGGTGAAACCCCGTCTCTACTAAAAATACAAAAATTAGCTGGGTGTGGTGGCATGCGCCTGTAATCCCAGCTACTCGGGAGGCTGAGGCAGGAGAATTGCTTGAACCTGGGAATCGGAGGTTGCAGTGAGCCAAGATCGCCACTGTACTGCAGCCTGGTGACAGAGCAAGACTCCCTCTCAAAAAAAAAAAAAAAAAAAAAAAAGGAAGGTATGGACGATAAGGGGTTCATATCAAACAACACTATGGGAATGAAGTCCATCGGATTTAGAATGTGGAAATACTAAAAGATGCCACACCACATTTCTTCAGTAAATACATGGAAAAAAAAAAGACGGGGGAAGTGGTGTTAATGAAAGAAACTTTGAAGGGACTGTGGCAGATGCAATTGATGTTCTGCCTACCTTCACTCCACTTCTACCTCTATAGCTTGCTGGAGGCTGTGTGCCAGGAACACCTGTGACGCTTTCCCCTAGGGCATTTATTCTGTCCCCAAGGTTACACATGGTAAGCGGAGCAGAGTGCCCGAGAATTAATGGCCTAGAGAGTTAATGTCTCTGGAAGCAGTGCTTAGCCAAAGATGGGTGGAAAGCTGGTGGACAAATACCCCAGCTTCCTTCCCTCTATCCCCCAGGGTTGGGAAAACTCTCAGTGGTGCCCCACACTGTTTTCCAGAGTTGTCCAGAGAGACTGAGCTTCATTTGCCCCCAGCAGTAACGAACCCTTTGTTGGTGGTCCTCCCACTGTCTCACTTTCCGGCTCCCCTACCAGTTTCACTGGGGTCACCTCCCAGTTAAACCATTTGCACTGAAATCATTGCCCCAGGGTCTGTTTCTGGGGGAAACCAAAGTAGGACAGGGACAAATCAATCCATGGAACAAGTGAACCTTATTTCCATCTGGATTCAAACAACCCATCTGCCAAAAGGCATTTATGAGTTAAATGTGGAAACATGATCATAGATGGGATATTAGATGATTTTAAATAATCGTTCTTTAATTTCTTTAGGTTTGATTGTTGTTTCTTGGTTATTTTTTTAAAAAAGAGTGCTTATCTGCTAGAGATCCACATTGCAGTATTTACAAATGAGATGATACGATGTCTGTGGTTTGCTTTAAAATAATCCAGTGGTGGTGGTGGAGGTGGAGGGGCACCAGGGAGGGGATCCGGGGACTATAAGGTGGGCAAAACTTTAATAACTGTTGAAGCTGGGTGATGGGGACATGGCAGTTCATTACAGAGGTTTTGTGGTGTATTTAAAATCTTTCATAGTAAAATGTTAAAGAAAACAAAAAAAAGCACATGTACACCTTTCTGGTCTCCCTCCTCTGAGGCAAAATTAAATGATCCTCTTCCCAGCCATGTTACCGTGACACATCGGCTCTGTCTTGGGGATCAGTGGCTCAGCAAGTGAGTCCTTAGTGTCTCAGTTCATGGCCCTCCTCCATGCTGGTGGCCTTCACCTCCTCCATTGCATCCATCCATCCCGTAGCCAGACTGGAGCCTTTGGCATCACCCAGACCTGCTTTTACCTGAGTTCTTAAATTCCATCCTGTGAGCTCCTGCCCTGAGCGATTCCTCTGGTTCTATTGCAGCAACTTTCCAATCTGTAACCCGCCATGCAATCATAACCCACGTGGTCTCGACTGTTAAGTACCAGAACTGCTGGGCGGGAGGGAGGGTGAGCCTGGAGACAGAGGTCAGGCCAGGTTGTGGGCCTTCTCCTGTAAAGAGTCTTCAGCAATTCTAGTGGGATATCCAAGAGGTTGTTGTGACTTTGGCCTTGGCCAAACACCCCAGGGGTGTTATAATTGGGGGGTGGGCAGCCACTGGGAGAGGAAGTGCCACCATGGCTGTAAGTGGAAGAATAGAAACTTCAATCGGGAGGGATCCAGTACAGGAAGAGTTCAGTTCTCAGGGAGAGAGGGTTGGAGAAAGCCTGAGTCGTTGTTAGGGCATTAGCCAAATGGCCAGGACTTTTCCAGAGGGAAGCTGGGATATAATCAGGAAACTAGGGCAGGAGGCTAATTCTGCATACTGGATGCATGGGCCAGGTTCAGGTGGGTCTCCTGCCCAAGGCTTGCCACAGGTATGCCAGGCTTTGGGTGGCAGGAGGAATGGCAGAGCTCAGCCACTGGAGGGAATGAGCCTGTGCCCATGGGGCTAGTTTCTGATGGGCTCGGTCACTGGAACAGGTTGGGTGAGGGTGGCCATGGAGAACCTGCAGGCTGAAGATCTTTTATATTTGGCTTATTTATTGAGAGGTCTCAGCTCTGCACATACATAGGAATTGGTTTTATTTTTGCTAATCACTGCTTTCCACTGTGCTGAAGCAAGTTCTTCTCTCCTTCTGTGGAGTAGGACTCTTGAGGATCCTTTGACCAGGGCCATATATTTCCTGTCATGGTTAAGTTTTAAAACCTTTTTATTTCTGTATGACTTAGTCCCCCTTTTTTTTTTTTTGAGGTGAGTCTTGCTCTGTCACCCAGGCTGGAGTGCAATGGTGTCATCTTGGCTCACTGCAACCTCTGCCTCCCGGGTTCAAGCGATTCTCCTGCCTCAGGCTCCTGAGTAGCTGGGACAACAGGTGTGTGCCACCGTGTCCAGCTAATTTTTGTACTTTTAGTAGAGATGGGGTTTCACCATGTTGGCCAGGCTGGTCTCGAACTCCTGGCCTCAAGTGATTCGCTTGCCTCCGCCTCCCCAGTGTGCTGGGATTACAGGTGTGACCCACCGCACCTGGCCGCTTTTTGTTTTTAAAATATCAGTTTCCAACCTGATTGACAGTTTGTCCTCAACAGCATGGGCAGAGATGGGATCCTGGCTGCTGGTAGCGGAAGAGGGTGCTGTGGTCAGGCTCTGTGCACCTCCTCCCTCTCCCCCTTCCAGATGCTCCTTCCCTTGGTGCTGGGCACAGGAAGGACAGGTGGAGAGGCTTAGTTCTATGTGTCTTCCACCTGCAGAGGGTGTATGGGGGTTCCTGGTCTTGCTGTGGTCCCCCCGGTTCTGTCTGATGCTGGTGTGGCACCTGTGTCTTCCTGTGGTCTCATCTGTGGTATATAATCCCACCCTCTTTTCCTGGTGCTATTTCCCTTACCCTTGAAGCTGCCTGGACAGGCCATGGCTCCTCTCCTGCTGCTCTCCCAACCTGAACCTTCTTGTTGACTCAGGGAAACCACTGGAGTCTTCTTTCATACCCTCTGAGGGCCATAGAGAATGGTATTCCTTCACTGAAGGCAACTCTAGTCTTTGCAAGTGGTTTTCTTGGAGTCCCTCGGAACTGGCTTTGAGAAAGGGAAAGCATCCTCATCAGTTTCCCATGAGAATGTGAGGGAATAAGAAAAGTAGCTAATAGGCCAGATGTGGTGGCTCATGCCTGTAATCTCAGCATTTTGGGAGGCTGAGGTGGGTGAATCACTTGAGGTCAGGAGTTCAAGACCAGGCTGGCCAAAATGGTAAAACCCTGTCTCTACCAAAAATACAAAGAAGTTAGCTGGGCGTGGTGATGCACACCTGAAGTCCTAGCTACTTGGGAGGCTGAGGCAGGAGAATTGCTTGAACCCAGGAGGCGGAGGTTGCAGTGAGCCAAGATTGCACCACTGCACTCCAGCCTGGGTGACAGACTGAGACTCGGTCTCAAAAGAAAAAAAAATGTTGCACTAAACATCTTTTTCCATGTTAAGGTTGTCTGTCTGTATTTAGGAATGGACTTTCCTTATGATAGACTCCACTCTGTGATGTGAAATTTGTACATCAAAGGATTTGAACAATTCTAAGTACAAATTTTTATATGTGTGTGTGTTTGTGTGTGTGTATGTGTAGTACAGTTTTAATTGCTCCCATGATACATAGTCATTAGAGAAAACCCTTGTTAAAAAAAAAAGGAGCGGGGAGGAGAAAGGAGGCAAAGAAACACGTATATGGATTTGCGTCTTCCATTTGCCTTGAATTAAATTTAATGTCATTAAAAAACCCACTGGCCAGGTGCAGTAGCTCATGCCTGTAATCCCAGAACTTTGGGAGGCCAGGGCGGGAGGATCACTTGAGGCCAGGAGTTGGAGACCAGCCTGGCCAACATTGCAAAACCCCCTCTACTAAAAATACAAAAATTAGCCAGGCGTGGTGGTGCACGTGCCTGTAGTCTCAGCTACTCGGGAGGCTGAGGTGGGAGAATTGCTTGAACCCAGGAAGTGGAGGTTGCAATGAGCTGAGATTGTGCCACTGCACTCCAGCCTGGGCAACAGAGTGAGATTATGTCTCAAAAAAAAAAAAAGAAAAAAAAAAGAAAAATAGCTAATACTTACATAGTGCAGTTCTAAGAATGTTAAATATTTCAATTGATTTAATCCTTGTGATAACCATTTGGAGTAGACATTAGCCTCATTTTATGGACTAGAGTGGATATATATAGCCCTACATCACACGGTTTATAAGTTGGCAGATCCAGGACTTGAACCTTGTCTTTCGGGCTTAGGTGTTACATGTCACTCTTGTCACGCTGAAGGGTCCTTCTTTTCCTCTCTTTATATTGATTTCCTCTCTTATATTGACTGAATGGGAGGCAGGGGAGTGGTAAGGGCAGGGGACCAGTTTTGACACCTCTTGGAAAGTTGTGCTGTAGTAGCTGGCATCATGGCTAGAAGCTTGTCGGTGACTCTGACTGTGGACTATTGTGAGCTTTCAGTCATTAGCTTTGGACCTTAGCTGTGATTCCAGGTCAGGAGGAAAGTTCCACTCAACTTGCTATTTCTCATCTAGCTCGGCAGTGTTGAGAGGCCTGGCTCTTTTCCTGAAGCTATTTTCCCCAAGCTGGATATCTTAGGACTTCTCTTCCTTTCCTGCCTGCCCAGATCCCATGCAGGGCAGCTCCCTTTCTCACAGACCCCTGCAAACCCCTCCCTCCACTATCTTTCCTATGTCTTCTGCCAACCTCAGGCCCTGGAGCCCTCTAACATCTGTCTTCTCTGCTATACAGGGTCTGCCAGGAACTGCTGGAGAAAATCTTGTAATTGTGCTGGTGTTACATATTTATGGCTTCAGCTTCAAGATAAGTCACTAATCCTTTATTATGTTCTTGAATGGCTTCCTCTTCCACTCTTTGTCATGGCTCTTGAAGACCCGTTACAGCCCCAAGACCCCGTGGTAGTAGTCCTACCTTCTTGCCCCTTGTCTTCACGCTCTCCTTTACTGACACTTACCTTGAGGTTATCTACCGGGACATCTAGAGCCTATTGTTCGAGGAATGCAGTCTTGCAAGCCTACTCTGGACCCGAGCAGCTGACCTCTTCTTCCACGCCCCCCTTCTCGCTATCTCTTTTACCAATAAATATGGAGGGCTATGTAAAGCTCAGGGCCCTTGTCCACTAGAGGCAAGGTGCCCCCTGACCCCTTCTTCCAAACATATTTTTTTGTCTCTTATCTTTATTCCCACATTCATCCTCCTTTGTTCAGTCCCCTAAGGTCTGTGCAGGTTACAATTAAGCAAGTTGGCCTCTTGTTTAAATCCTTCCCTTGACTCTCTCTCCCCTTAGGCCTCCCCTGTCTCACTCTTTTCTTCATTGCTGGACTTTTAGAAAGCATATCTCTACCCACTGCTTTCACTTCCTGATCACGTATCACTGTCAACCAATGTAATCTACTGTCCCCTCCATCATCACACAATGGATCTACTTCAGTTAAGTTACCAACATCTTCCTAAAAGATGAATCCAGCAGGCATTTGTGTCTTTATTTTTGACAACTCTGCTCTGTTGTGGATTTTGACCATCTCCTTCTGGAAACATCGTCTACTATGATTCCTACCACACCACTGCTGGTTAAACTTTTAACTCTCTGTTCACTATGTTTTATTTTCCAGCCTCTCTTTCTCTGTCCAACTTTTTAAAATCAGTGATCACGAGGAGTTTGCTCTTGGTCATCTAGTCTTTTCACTCAGTTGATGTTTTGTGTATGATACCATGACTCTCATGATAACCCATGTGGTCACCTGTTCATAATTCCTGTCCTGACATTTCTCTTGAGCTTTAGGCAGCCTATCTGGACAGCTCTACTTGGACACCCCCACACACCTCAAATTAGTTTTCAAAAAATATATTTTTTAAGTCCATCCAAACATTTTCATCACTCCAATTTACTAGAAACTATAAAACCAGCCTTCATCTTTGGGCATAGCACTCTGGAGCTGATTACCTCCCCTTCAATCCTGACTCCTCTCTTGATTAGCTGGGTGAGCCTGGGCAAGTAATCCACTTTCCATGTGTCTTAGTTTCTGGAAATTAAGCATATCTTCCTTAAAGGATGGACATGAAGATAAAATTAGATAATAAAGGCAAAGCTCTTGGCAAAGGGCTCAATATGTAGTAACTTCCACCAAATGCTGTGTTTTGTTATTGTTGCCATTATTCTATTCATCATTCATTCAACGCTTCTGAGTATCCTCAGTGATTCACTTGGCATTGTGCTAGGGACTCACTCCACACCCTTATCTCTCTACATTCTGTAGATTTTTACCTCTTAAGTGCTCTAAGATCTGTCAATCTCTCTCTGCACCACCATCACTCCTCAGGGTGGGGCCACATTACTTATTATCTACACTGCCACCTCTCCCACCTATTTTCTCTCCTGCTCCAGGCCATCTTCCTCACTGTGGCCAGAGGGATCTTCCTAAAACAGGAATGGTCACCCCCTACTGAAAATCCTTCAGTGGCCCTTCAGTATAAACTTGTACTGCTTCCATGTTGTCAAGCCCTTGTGTCTGCTGGCCTAGCTCTAGCCATCTGGAGCTACTTGGAAGTTTGCACACTATGCCCTGTTGGGTTATCCCTTTGGACCAGGTCCATGTTCTTCCTTCTGCTGAAATAAGCTTCTCCTCCACCTCCTTCTATTGTCCTCCTGGTGTTTTGCTTTCTCCTCCTTTAAGATTCTGTTGAAGCATTACCTGCTGCTGTAAAAATTTTAGGAATTTTTACCCGTTTCCTTCCTCTTCCCCCACCTGCTGAGGTGGGGGATGGGTTGCTTTGTTCTCCGTGTTCTTACAGCGTTTTATACATATCTTGCCTCTCATGATCAGGGGCTCTATCTTTCTTACCCCTAGGTTTTTTAATGTCTAAGGCCTGGAAAAGGAGGTTTACAGTTAGCAGTATTTTATTAAATACTTAACTCATTAAAGTCATAAATGTAAAACTGATTCTACATTAAACTTTAAAAAATAACTTACAAATTTTATAAATTCATTTGTAAATCTGATATTTATGTTAAAATGAAAGGCACTCCAGCCTGGGCGACAGAGACTCCATCTCAAAAAAAAAAAAAAAAGAAAGGCACTTATCTTTGAACAGTGTTTAATTTATAAATTTAACCAATTAAATCCCTCAATTAATACTATTTATAAATTCTGTTAATTTCCCTTAAACATTTTAAAGTGTAGTCATACGTGTAATCATATGTTCAATTAGTCATCCAGTTCTCACAGAGATCCAAATCTGATCAAAGAAACAAATGTCATTCACTAAATAAATGTTTACTGAGTGCCTAGCATGTGTGGTAACTGCTCCAGGCTTGGAGACTCAGTGATTAATAGTCAATGAAATGACCACTGAATGGTAAATACCGAGAATTGTGCCAACTGTAAACCTGAGTAAATGATTATTAGTGTTTTAACTAGTGTCACTGCAACCTGAGTAAAGTATATAAAATCCTATCAGTACACAGGACCTTAGAACAAACAAATACACAACAATTACACAGTAGGGCCTGGCCACAGAATGAGGAGATCTGAATAAAATCCTGGAAGATGACACTAGAACCCAAGAGCCTCGCAACTCCCTGATATTTAAAAGCTGCATTATTTCAGGAAAAGGTACCAGTCTGCTGAAAAATGGACACATGACACTGGAGAAGATCATCTGAAAGGGAGAGGGTCGGGAAGTCCTGTTGACTGCTGATGTGGCAGCTATTTGATGATAATGAGGGGCTGAACAAATGCCAGCTCAGATGGAATCATTCTGGAAGGTGCACTCACATTCTGAGTCCAGGCCCTAATCTCCAGTCAGTAACATGGAGCTTGACTTTATTGTGGTTCCCAGTATTTTATGGGGTAACCACAGCTGACCTGAGGTGGTTATTGTGCTGTCCTTGATTGGGCGAACTACTTGGAAATTTGAGATAAGGAAATAAATCCCTGGTGTCAATGCTTCTGTATTGGATATAATGATAGTAATAAGATATATTGATAGTAATAAGCTTTGCAGGCATTTTTAGGTGTGTGTTTTGTTGCTGCCTCCTTTTGAGCCCCTCTTCCCGGACCACACTTTTGCTGGAGTTCACAGAGCAGGCTGGAGTTCATCAATGAAGCCCTGGACCAATGTGGCCTTCAGGCCCCACATGCTGAGCCCTATCAAGTGCCATATCTCTCTCCACTATTGGTCTTGGGTGAGATGCTGCATTGGGGGCCTAGAACCTGGCTTCTCGAGTGGCTGTCCAAGGGCTGGAGGGTGAAACCCGGAAGTGTTGGGTCTTTGGCTCCTATGGTGAACCTCAACCAATGGGAGAGGATAGGATGGCACTGGGCAGATCAATTTCCCTTCCTTTCTCCCTTCCAGGGACTACTCTGAGGTGCAGTTTCTTCTTGCAGCTCTTTGTGAGAAAGTCCGGTGTGCTGATGGACATGGTTGCCTAGTGGCCTGGAGTGTTTTGAAGGTGGCTGGTGCAGTTACACCCTTTATCCCACAATCCTTGGACTCTTTCTTGGCCTTGCTCTCTTTCCTCACTCTTACCTGGGCTAGTAACTCGCACAATAAATTGTCACTTTAATCCTTGTCTCGGGCTCTGCTTTCTAGAAGACAGGGGCTACGAAGGCCCTTTGAAAAGAGTTATAATCATGGATTTTGGAATATTTCTTGTCCTCTGTGTATCCCTGAAACTTAGTACTTTTTGGAATTGGCTTATGCTTTTAATGACCTTTAGACCAGAAAATATTATATTTTTAAATTGTTTTCACCTGACGTTTTTAGTGTTCCAAAGTTGTATGCTTATCAGAAATAAGCAAGAACTCTGCAATTCTTTGAAGGCCAACAGCTTGTTACACTGTTTATAGCATAATTAACAACTTTATAACATTTATGAAAGTAAATGGATTAAATTTGTAATTATTGTCTGGAAAAACTGTATTTTTACATTTTATGAAACTTAAGCGACTCAAGTTATGCCATATTTCATACATAAGCTGAACTTTAATTTTAGATTCATGATTAGTACATCATAAAAGTACTTTCTGTGCTAACATTTTTCTCTTCCTGACTTATATATTTAAAAAAAATTCCCTTTGCTAATCATGATCCTGTTTAATATTCTTGGGAAGGTTAGAGGTGGAATTCAGAGTGAGATTATTGGCATCGCAAGAGGAACAGACACTGAAAGGTCAATTTATTCAATTTCGTGTTTGGGTGCAAGATCTCAGTTACTCGTCCTACACATGAGAAAACCCTTCTTGCCTTTAAGATTTACTGGCTTCTGGCTGGGTGCAGTGGCTCACGCCTGTAATCCCAGCACTTTGGGAGGCCTAGGCAGGCAGATCACCTGAGGTCAGGAGTTCATGACTAGCCTGGCCAACATGGTGAAACCCTGTTTCTACTAAAAATACAAAAATTAGCCAGGTGTAGAGGCCCACACCTGTAATCCCAGCTACTTGGAGGCTGTGGCAGGAGAATTGCTTGAACCCGGGAAGCTGAGGTTGCAGTGAGCTGACATCATGCCACCGCACTCCAGCCTGGGCGACAGAGTGAGATTCCGTCTCAAAAAAAAGAAAAGAAAAAAAAGACTTACTGGCTTCTTTTTAGACACAGTTTGCAGGAAAGGAAGGGAACCTAATAACCCATTAGAAAAATAGGTGTTTTATAAATAATGTTAATTGCAGCTATTTCACATTCAGACAGGTATAACCAAGACTAAGCTTCACTCTAGGAATAATATAAAGTTTTAATCAGAAGAATAGTTTCAAGTTCTTAGAAGAAGTGGTGTGTCTTTAGATCAAGTGACAACTATGTGTCTAAATTATAGCCTTTACCCAAGGGTCTACAGACTTTTTAGGAATGACCTTCACCTGGGTGGGATGCATTCCCCTCATCAGTGTGTGGAAATGGACAGCGGATCAGCATCCCAGAGCCTAAGGGTTTGCCGAGTTGGTGATCACCATCAGCAGCACCTTCCTTGGGTGCCCCAGGGCAAGTGAGTAACCACTGCCATGTTTGGTGTAATGGTGAGTGGAGGTATCCCACCCACAGTAGGAGACAGGAGAGGCCGAGGCCTCCACACCCACGTGTGCATACTTCCTGGATTCAGCATGTGTCTCCCAAATTACCCAGGAATAGGATGTAATGCCTTGTATCTGTGACTTTTGGAGGTACCTTATATATGCCTGTGTGAATGAATAAATGGATGGATATGAATAAATGAATGGGCCTGGGGTTTTTGTTTTGTATTGAGGCAAAGTCTCAGTCTATCACCTGGGTTGGAGTGCAGTGTGCCATCATGGCTCACTGTAGCCTCGACCTTCTGGGGCTCAAGGGATCCTCCTCCCTCAGCCTCCTGAGTAGCTAGGAGTACAGGCATGCTCCACCTTGCCTGGCTAATTAAAAAATACATATATTTTGTTGAGGGGGTTTCACTATGTTGCCCAGGCTGGGGGCTCAAGGTTTTCTCATGGGTTTATTTGCTAATTGTGTTTCTCCTGTTATGACTTGTTCACACCCTTGGCCTAGCCATCCTTTGGAGTATTAGTTTTTTTCTTATGAATTTGGATGAGCTCCCAATATATATACCAGAGGCTTATGTGACCAGAGGCTTGAAAGAACCTAACTTCTATTTCCTTTAGGAGCAATGGTTCAGTATTCATTAATTGAGTGTTTGTAGTGGCTTTTAATAGAACATAATTACTTTTAATAATGAAAGTCCACTGTATTTATTTCACACCTCTTGATTTTTCTGTTCATTATTTTGGATTGTTTTTAAATAAATCATGTATTTCATACATCACTTATGTTCATTGATGAAACATTATAAAATACAAAAAAAGAAAAAAACATTATAAAATACAAAAAACCACCAGCAAAACTGTTATCCACATCTCATTACCCTATATTGTTACTCTTAATATTGGATATATACCCAATATTATTACATTTACATATGTTCATAAAAATGCAAAAATGAAATGTACTGGCTTCTAACCTGCTTTTCTCACTTAATATATTGTGATGATTTTTCTATGAGAATATGGATCCACATCATAATTTTTAGAAGTTGTATAATATGGAAAAACTACAATTTATTTAAAGTTTTCTAATTGTTAGATATTTAAGTTGTTACCAGTTTTCACTAATAACAATAAGTGAAATTTATTGAGTGTTTGCTGTCTCAGATTATGAGTTTAAGATGTTTATATGCATTATTTCACCTAAGCCTCAACAACCTTACGGGGTAGGTATTTTGTTCTCCCCCAGTTTTACAGATGAGGGAACTGAGGCACAAAATAATATACCTAAAGTGAAAAATAAGTATTGCAGCTGGGATTCCAGTCCTGGAAACTTGATTTCACATTTGTGTTCCCAACTAGAACAATGTATAATTAGTGATTCTGTGCTACTGTCTTTGGCAATTTCCTAGGGAAAAAAAGTAATCCTGAAATAAAGTTGCTGAGTCAGCACTGGATATTTTAAGGACTTTTGTTATGCATCGCCAAGTTATGTTCCAGATAATTTCTCCCTCAAATAGTGTAAGAAAAGGCGCATTTCCCCATGTCTTTATTAACACTAGGCTGAATATAGTATTTTAAAATCACTATTTTAATTGTCATTTCTTTAATTGTGAGATGAAATGTTACATTCTTATCCACCTTTTAATTCTTTTATGAATCACTGTTTATTTCCATTGTGGTGTTTGTCTTTTACTGGTTTCTAAGAACTCTTTATACATTTTACATATGATTGTCGAATTGCTGCAAATAATTTTCCTGTTAGTCATTTGAAATTTAAATAGGTTTTTCTTTTTACGTTTTTATTGTGGAATCTGACATACCTTGGAACAGTGCATAGAATATAAATGTACAGCTTATCAAATGATTATGAAGTTAACAACTGTACAACCACCAGTTGAAGCAATGGAATCTTGCCAGTTTCCCAGAAGTTCCCTGTGTGTTCCTTCCTGATACAATCTATGCCCAACTTTCTAGAAGAAGCCACAATTGTGGTAGCCAGCTTCACAGATGGCCCCCAGTGATTCTCTCCTTCTGGTCTTCATACCCACCCAGGATTGTTCCAAGGTGGGCCAGTGCGACCAATAGAATATACAGAAACAGTGCGATGTTGTATTCCAGATTGGGTTATAAAAGACTGTGGCTCCCATCTTGGGCTTGCTCACTCTCTCATGGATGAATCACTCTGGGGGAAGCCAGTTGCCATGTCTTGACGACACTCAGGCAGCCCTGTGGAGAGGCCCCGGTATCCAGGAACTGAGGCCCTCCTTCCAAAAGCCCTTAGAGAACTGAGGCCTGCCAACAACCATGTGGGTGAGCTGGGAGGCAGATCCTCTGCCTTTCAGATGACTGCAGCCCTGGCCCACAGCTTAACTGCAGGCTCATGAGAAATCCTGGGCCAGAATCACCCACCTAAGCTGCTCCTGGATTCCTGACTCTCAGAAACTGCGTGAGATAACAGCCATGTGAGCTGTTTTAAGCTGCTGAGTTTGGGGGTAATTTTTTAGCAGAGTAATAGACAACTAACATAACTATTCTGACTTTTATAATAATAATTTCCTTCTTTATCATTACAATTTTACCACCAATATGTATGCATCTCTAAACAAGATAGTTTAGGTTTGCATATTTTTACCTATTTTATACATGTATTTTAAAATTGGGTCTTATCTCGATATTAGGCATATCCCTATAGTTGCATATAGCCAGCGCTCATTTTATTTGCAATCTAGAGATTCATTGTATGAATACACCACTTACATACGTATCTGTTCTCCTGTTCGTGGTCATCGGTGTTGTCCTGGGTTTGAGACTATTATGAAAACTGCTGCAGTGAATATTATGGGCATGTTTCCTGGTGCACATTCCACAGGCTTCTCTAAGTTGACCTTGTAGTGCACTCGCTGGCTAAAGGACATCGGCATCTTCACTTTTTCTTTAACATTACTAGATAATGGCCAAACCTCATCAAATAATGCCAGATTATACTCCAATCTGCAGGACGTGAAAGTTCCCATTATTTTACATCCTTGCCAATCCGTGGTATTATTGGTCTTTCTGATTTTTGCCCATCTGGTGAGTATGTAAGTGATATCTCATTGGGATTTTAATTTTGCATTCCCTGGGAGTCAAGAGGTTGTGCACTCTTTCATTTATTGATTGACTACTTGAATTTCCTTTTTTTTTTTTTTTTTTTTGAGAGATGGAGTCTCACTCTCTCATCCAGGCTGGGGTGCAGTGATGCGATCTCGGCTCACTGCAACCTCTACCTCCTAAGTTCAAGCGATTCTCCGCCTCAGCTTCCCAAGTAGCTGAGATTACAGGTGTGTGCCACCACACTCAGCTAATTTTTGTATTTTTTAGTGGAGACATGGTTTCACTAAATGTTGGCGAGGCTGGTCACGAACTCCTGACCTCAGGTGATCTGCCTGCCTTGGCCTCCTGAAGTGCTGGGATTACAGGCATGAGCCACTGCGTCCGGCCTGAATTTCCTTTTTAGTGACATGCTTGTTCAAGTATTTTATCCATTTTTAAGAAATTAGTTGTCTTTATTTATTTGTAGCAGTTCTTTACATATTCTGGACACTAGCCCTTTGTTGTTATATGCTATACAAATATCTTCTCTTACTCTGTAGTTTATCTTTTCACTCTCTAAAGCCTAATGATGTCTTTTGATAAAAGAAATTATTTTACTGTAATAGGGTTTATTAATCTTTTCCCATATTTGTTTTTTAACATGTAGGTTTTTTTCGTAGTTGATTTTATTAGTCTTTGCCATTATAGTTCCTGACTTTTGAAATCCTGTTTAGAAAGGCATCCCTACTCTGAGATTACACAAATATTCACCTACATGTGGTGGTTTTATTTTTATGTTTTCATTTAAAAATATTTAAACCATTCATCTGAAATTTTTTTAAAGCTTTGGTTATAACATTTTTTTTCCCTGAATGTGATGAATACGGTTAGCAAATTTACAGAATAATCTGACCTCTTCCTACTGTAAATGCTACCCGTATTATGAAGTGGGATCCTATATATTGGCTGTATTTCTGAGCTTTCTCTTTTGTTAATTGCTCATTCTGTTGATTCTGGCACTTTCTGACACCTACTTGTAGTTGTTGTGCTCTGCGGGACACATCTGATAGGGCCTGCTCCTGCACGTTACTCTTGTTTTTCGGCATTGTCCTGACATTTTTTACATTTTTGTTTTCTAGATGAGCTTTAGGATCCCTTTAATATTAACATAATTATTTTTGGCTGTGTTGTAGATTTGTCTGTGACTTGTTAGAAATTAGTGTTCCCACTTAGGAATGTGGCATGTCTTGCCATTTACTTTTGAATCTTTTTATGTCCCTCAGAAAAATTTTGTAGGTTTCATTTCAATAGAGGTCTGGCAAATTCTTATTCTAAGTTTTTAAAATTTTTTGTTTCTGGTGTGAATTGGCCCTTTTCTCCTATGCGTTTTCTGATGCATAGGTTTTCAAACCTCCACTCCTTCAGCGATAAAGGCTCCCAAGGAGTGGCTGAAGGCTGGGGAGCATCGCAGCTCTGCCCCATCTGTTTACCGTAACAGGTTTTGTTTATAGAAATCATTCTCTTTTGCTAAAAAAAAAAAAAATTTCCTGATTGGTTGTTACTGAGGTTTGAAACCCTGTTTTTGTGTACGCTTTTTTTTTTGAGACGGAGTCTTGCTCTGTCACCCAGGCTGGAGTGCAGTGGCACGATCTCCGCTCACTGCAAGCTCTGCCTCCCGGGTTCATGCCATTCTCCTGCCTCAGCCTCCCAAGTAGCTGGGACTACAGGCGCCCACCACCATGCCTGGCTAATTTTTTTGTATTTTTTTAGTAGAGACAGGGTTTCACCGTGTTAACCAGGATGGTCTCGATCTCCTGACCTTGTGATCCGCCCACCTCGACCTCCCAAAGTGTTGGGATTACAGGCGTGAGCCACCGTGCCCGGCCTGTGTACACTTCTTTTTAATGAATGATCTTTACTGATATCTTTTGTTGGTTTTAATTACTTTTTTAGTGATTCATCTTGGATCTTCCAGGTATTCATTCCTTTATTATTATTATTATTTTTTTTTTGAGAGAGAGTCTCGCTCTGTCGCCCAGGCTAGAGTGAAGTGGCATGATCTCAGCTCACTGCAACCCTGCCTCCTGGGTTCAAGTGATTCTCCTGCCTCTGCCTCCCGAGTAGCTGGGATTACAGGTGCATGTCACCACGCCTGGCTAATTTTTGTAGTTTTAGTAGAGATGGGGTTTCACCATGTTGGCCAGGCTGGTCTTGAACTCCTGACCTCAGGTGATCTGCCTGCCCTGGCTTCCAAAAGTGCTGGGATTACAGGAGTGAGCCACCGCGCCTGGCCTCATTCATTTATTTATTGAAAAAATATTTATTCAGTGCCCACCCACTGTGTACCAGACACATTTCTAGGTGCTTGGAATATATCTATGAGCAAAATCCATGTATATCATATGGTAAGCTCAAAATGAGTATATTATACGGTAACTACTTTGGAGAAAAAGAAAATGGATCAAGGGTTCTAGAGGTGGGATATGGGATCCAGGCAGAATTTTATTTTATTTTACTTTATTTTATTTATTGATTGATTGAGACGGAGTCTTGCTCTGTCACCAGGCTGGAGTGCAGTGGTGCGATCTTGGCTCACTGCAACCTCCACCTCCCGGGTTCAAGGGATTCTCCTGCCTCAGCCTCCGGAGTAGCTGGGACTACAGGTGCGCACCACCACGCCCAGCTAATTTTTGTATTTTTAGTAGAGACGGGGTTTCACCATGTTGGCTAGGATGGTCTCGATCTCCTGACCTCGTGATCTGCTTGCCTCAGCCTCCCAAAGTGCTGGGATTACAGGCTTGAGCCACCGTGCCCAGCCCAGGCACAATTTTAAATACCGTGGTCACCATAGGTCTCATTGAGAGGGGGACATTTAAACGAAGACTTGGAGGTAAGGACGCCGGCTATGTAGATATCTGCTGGAAAAGCATGCTTGGCAGAGGGGAAAGCCTGTGCAAAGGCCTTAGAAACACGCTGGAGGTGTTCGAGGATCATGGAGGGGTGTGGCTGGAGTGCAGTGAGTGAGGGAGTCAAGGTTGGTTAGGGAGGGATAGAGTAGGGGACAGATGTTTGTATGGGGCCTTAGTGTAAAGACTGACACTGAGTGAAGAGAGGAGCCATTGCAGAGTTCTGGAATATTGTAGGGACAAGATGGGCTTACTTTTTTTTTTCTTTTGAGATGGAGTCTCGCTCTGTTGCCAGGCTGGAGTGCAGTGGCACGATCTCAGCTCACTGCAACCTCTGCCTTCTGGGTTCAAGCGATTCTCGTGCCTCAGCCTCCCAAGTAGCTGGGATTACAGGCAGGTGCCACCACACCCACTTAATATTTGTATTTTTAGTAGAGATGGGGTTTCACCATCTGGTTGGCCACCATCATGTTGGCCAGGATGGTCTTGATCTCCTGACCTCGTGATCCGCTTGCTTCAGCCTCCCAAAGGGCTCGGATTACAGGCGTGAGCCACTGCTGGGCTTACATTTTTAAAAGATCATTCTGGTTGCTCCTTTGAGAATAGATTTTAGAGGGGCCGGGGTAGAAGCAGGGAGACTGATTAGAGGCGATTGTAACGCTCCTCACCTAGGATCTTACTGTGCATTGAGCAATTGGTAAGGCTTATGGAATGAATGTTTTTACCTACATCGGGCATTTTAGCGTGCATTAAGAAACTACACATTTAAAAAATACATATTTTTCTTGAGAAAGTGATGGGACAGAAAAGTGAGAGCAGGGGAATTGCCTTTGGAACAGGCCATTTTGGTCAAGCCTTGTCCTGGATAAAGAAGATGGGGAATGAAGGCTGACCTGCCGTGGAGGGGAGGAATGGGCAGGCATGCCCTGCCTCATCTCACGGAGTGAGGGCAGAATCTGGGGAGCGCGTTCTTGGATGTCCCACCAACTTTGGAGAGGACCGGAGGCTGGGGATAGACAAGGACTACTATGATGAAGGAAGCTCGTAAGTTCGTGTTTGCTTCTAAATGGTTGCTGTGGCTTTCTGGCTTTAAACTGGTTTATATTTTCTGCAACCTCACTTCTTCCTAACTATTTAGTAGACCAGAACTTCTCGGTAATTTATTGCTCAATAGTGGGAGAAAGGAAGAACTTCGTTTTCAGGTTAAGACTTCATATGTCAAATCCAGTTTTATTGGTGTGATAAATGCTGGTTTCTGTTAAATTTACCAGGTTGGTCAGTACTGGTTCCTGATACAAGAACTGTATTTACCCTTTTAAGAAGATGATTTAAACTTCTGGAGAAAGGAAGAGGGCAAAGATCTTTAAAGAGTATGCTATTTTTATGACGCCTCCCTAATTATTCAGAAATATGAATAATTCAGGAATTTAACTGTAGAATAAGTATAAATTACCCGGTTACTGCCTTGAAAGAGTTTACAATCACCTTGAAGAGAATCCTGCCCTCACCCCCACCAGTTTCACAAAGCCTATTTTAAATTATACCCTTGGAAAAATTAAACCAAAACACTGCGCAAATATGTTTGGTGTGGAGTTCATTTCTTTGATTTAGTCCTTTCACTTTGGGCCCACACACTTTTGCCATCCTTTAGGGAGCATGCCCAGTGCTAGATTCGAAGCGAATATATTAATGTATGTGTTCACCCATCAATGCCTTGTGCTGAGGGAAAAACAGAAGAGAGTGTCATGGAAGGCTTAAGGATTCTTTTTTTTTTTTGCTGATACAAAGTACTTTTTGTTATTCAATGCTTGTGCCATCATCAGACAACTTCATCCAGAATGCACAGCAACTCTGTAATATAGCTCTGCCTGGTGCAAAATACCTCATTTTGTATAGAAATGCAGGATTGCTTCATGTAGATACAATAGAAAGAATCTTTGCTTTATTCATGTATGAATAAAACGTCTTTGTTCATGGAAGAGAAAAGTGCCTCTTATTGTTTGGAAGCTGTGTGAATTTTAAATTAAGCTGATGGCCCACTATATTACATATTTCGGGGGAAAAATTAGCTTTGCTTATATAAGTTTGGAATCTAATGTCTAACCTAGTGGCCTAAATAATTTTTGCTTTGCAGTTTGTTTATTATGTAAAGACATTGTGTTTGCCACAGACATTGCCTGTCAATGAATTGCTTTAGCAAAATTCTATAGTCCTAATTTTAAAAAGTTGTTATTTATTCCCTTGTCCCACATAAGATTTGAAGCAGCTTGCAAAAAATTAAAAATACAATGTAAATAACAGTCATAAATCATGATCAGAGAAAATATAAATATTTTATGGAAAAGTCAAAGCTTGTAGAGGCATGTGTGAGTGTATTTATGTGTCAATATACATGTAAAAGGGTCCATGAAGCAGCTATGTGGATCCTCAGATTTGATGTTGAGCTTCCTGGCAGCCAAAGTGGAAAAAGGAAGGCAATCAGTTAATCCTTTCTCTGGGTTTGCAAAGGACTGCTTAGAGCATATCCACCGCCAAGCAGGGGTATGGCATTCGGGCTTTCCCAAAAGAAAGCTGGCCACTCAGATGTTCTCACTCATAGGTGGGAATTGAACAATGAGAACACTTGGACACAGGGTGGGGAACATCACACACCAGGGTCTGTTGTGGGGTGGGGAGAGGGGGGCGGGATAGCATTAGGAGATATACCTAATGTAAATGACAAGTTAATGGTTGCAGCACACCAACATGGCACATGTATACATATGTAACAAAGCTGCACGTTGTGCACATGTACCCTAGAACTTAAAGTATAATAATAATAAAAAAAAGAAAGTTGGCCAATCGGAAGAACGGATTAAATAAAGGAATGCTGTAGGTCCTGGGACCCCCATGATGGTGCCTTAGGCTTTTCCCTTTGCAGAAAGTACCACCTCTGGCAAGTGACCTGCAGGACTACAGGCAGAAGTAGGGCTGGCAGAGTGCCTGGTGTGCAGTCACAGAACCCTCCAGCTCCAGATGTAAACTTTTGGCTTTCTTCAAAGTGTTCGCTGGTTCTTAACAAAATGAGAAAAAATAAGAACAAATAAGGAAAAAAAGTAAATTTCCTTCAAATCTGAATTTACGTGACGTCAGATATTATGTTCTTCCTATAATTTTAGTATTAAAAGTTCCTTTTTAAAATGAAAACAGCAGCAATAGTTCAAAAGGTTGTGTCCTTTCCTGGGGAAATGAAAAAAGTTGAAAACACTTTGTATACGGTAATAATAATAATCACTATTACTACTACTACGGGTATTTACTGCTTATGAAATCTAAAAGTCTAGAAACTCCTATTTCTCTTGGGCTCTACAGCATCTCAGTCAGCTGCTTTGTCTCCAGGATCACATTTCCAATTTTCTCTCTTTTCTCTCTCCCAGTGTACCGCGCACCTGCTGGTTCCCTCACCCAGTACATCTTGGCTCCCAGGAAGCCACACCCTTGACATTTACCATGCTTCCTGGGCATTTCCTGCTACCATCCCCACCCTGGACAGGGCTAGGATGGTATCAGGACTTAGTGCTGCACAAGCTTTCAGGATACCGGGTAAGAGGGGAGTTTGACACTTGGAACAATACTGGACCTAAAAGGAGCCAGGCCTTGGATGGACAGTCACTCTCCATGAGTTTTTGCACCATGTCAGCACTATAAACTCACTGCAGTGGGAGTTTCGCATTGACAAGGGTCTTCAGACCTAGCTCACCTCAGAAGGTAAGGGGGGCCTTGACAGGTCCTCTCAAGGGGGATAAATGCCACCTGCTATTTAAGGAGACTTGACCCCATCCCTGCTTCTATCCATTAATGGGTGACTTTTTAATTCTTCTGGAACTCTTATTGCCAAGGTCTTGGTGGGACTGAGGGTGAGATCGCTTTTCTGTAACACAGATGCATTGCCATTTTGCTCCTTGATAGTGTAAGATGTTTAAGTCAATTAAGACAAAAATGTGCTTAATACTCTTTTCATTTGCCTTAACAACTCCACGTTTATTTAATATCAGTTTAATTCTTGGCTGCTGCAAGGTCTGGGTAGTTTTCATTTCGAAACTACTCCTAGGGTGAGAAGTCTCTTAAGTGCCTGTGGTATTCCCAAAGAATTTGCTTTTGTGCGGCAGTCACAGCCTGGAAGCGCGCTGCTTTCTTTGCTCCTGGTGTCAGAAAAGCTACTCCTGGTTCTCAGATTGGGCTTTCCTGCACATTAGAATTGGAAAGGTCCTCTTTGTGTCTGCCCCTGTAAGGGAGCCAAACAAAAGGCGCCAGAGTGGTGGTAGGGCAGCATCATCGCTCCCTAACCTCCACCCTCCTCCTTCTCTCTTCCTTCCTCCCCGTCCCTGCCTCCCTGGCCTCCCTACTCCTCCATCCCCTCCAAGACTCTCAATGTAGTCAGCGCTCTGTTTTCCCCACCTTTGCCTGGCTGCCACCTCCCTCCCTCCCTCTCCCTATCAGCTTCCTCCGGATGAGGTGCTATTCTGCATGGACCCCTTAGAGTACTCATTAACTAGATGAATAAGCTGCCAGCAATATTGTTCCTGCTTCCCACATTTTAAAAAGGTTATCTCTTTCTTTTTCCTTCTAAACTTTAGAGCCATTTGAAAATAATCTTTTGGAAATATATTTACATAGGTCTCATGACAAATCCACATACTCCTTTTCAGACAGGTTTCAACGACTGCATAATGAGATGGTCTGGGTCAGCTTTGCACAAAAGTTGTACTTTTCCTGCTGTGAATCTGTATTTTTCCGCTGTGTGTATTTGCAATGACTTTCCCGCCCTACCTTCCACTAGTGATGCATTAATCACAGCATGGAGCTGAGAGGCGTGGGATTGGAAGGGTCTTTGAGAAGTTTTTTAATCGAGCTAGAACGAGGTCAAGGTTTTGAGCATTTAACTTGTGGGATGTTAATTACTTGGCTATGAAAAGGAAATTTGTTTTCTGAAAGTTCAACTGTAGCTACAGAATAAAGGCCATGGAAAGATAAGGCATGGTGTCAAGAGGTTTCATGATCTTATTCCACCTCCTTTTCAGGCCCCAACTCCACTCAAACCCTCCACTGTTGAGCCACACTGGATGTGTCACCCTCTGTCCCTAGACGTGCTGGACATCTGCATCCTGTGGTGCCTCGGCTCAGGCTTCTCTTTCATCTGGGAAAACCCTTGACCCTCTCCTAGACTTCCCAAATGCTGCTTCAAGGCATCATCCCTGCCCTCCTTCCTTTAGAAAGTCTTTTCTACCACTGAGAACACTTCCCTCATGCTCCACCGCAGACTGTACTTCATGCTGCTTTGCTCTTTGTGGTTGATGCATCTGTCTCTCCCACTAAATCATGACCCTCCATTCATTTCTACTTCCCACTCTACCCAGGGCATGGTAGGTGCTCAATAAATCTTTGCTGAATGGAATTTTTTCATCTAACCCAAGAGCAACCTGAGCAGAAAATCATAAATGAATAAGGATCGTAAATGGATGATCATCATAAATGACTAATCATCATAAATGAATGCTTATGGGATATACACAAATTGCAGAACACTGATAGCTATGGCATAGCTCTTATCCTAGAGTGAGTTTCAATTCACTTTAGGTTAGGACATAGAAAAGACAAGGAGAAACAACTAGTCCATGAGGATTTTTTCCATGCTTTGTTCTTTCCATCTGTGCTGTTCAGTAGCTAGTTTCACTGAGCTTCCCTGTAGTGGATGGGTAGAGATTGTGTATTATAAGTACTTGCTCATCAGTGGCTCAAGGGCAAAAATCTCAGTGCCTAGAGTTTGGCATAATATTATGTGAAAAATAATTTTTTGCAATATAATGAGATGTGACACTCCCCACTTTCCAGAACAAGGACTTGTCTCCTTTGGATTTCCAGACCTAAAGAAGAACATCTCCCTTGAAAAACTTTTCCCACTGGCAATTCAGCCCTCTGTTTTCCAAACCCACTTAGAAGCTAAGTTGCACTGGAAATACACAATGAAATGTTTATGGGAAAAAGGGGCATCATATCCACAATTTGTTCTCAAAATGATTTAGTGGAGGGAGAGAGAGAGAGAGGGTGGAAAGGGTGGGTTGGAGGGAGCAAAAGAGAGACAGAGAAAATTGATAAAATAAATGAGATAAAATTGAGGGAATCTGGCGAAGTCTATTGGAGCATTCTTTGTAGCATTGGGGAATTCTTTGTCATATGCTTGCAACTTCTCTGTAAACCAGACATTATTTCAAAATAAGTTTTTTTGAAAAGCAAAAGCAAATTCTTTGAATTCTTACCCAGTTTAAAAGGATGATATGATTGCAAAAAAGTTGTGTTTCTCTATCTATAGGCATAAATGGTAGTGCTTGGCAGTTTAGGATCCATTCACACAGAAACTGCATTTGAGGCAGGTGTTTGTGAGCACCTTTTGACCCCTTGACATTTAAGCAAAGGAGAAGTGGGTTCCTCTTATTCGCAGCTGTCATAGGTCAGACTTCTGCTTGTTGGGCGTGTCAGGCTGGGAAATTCCCCTCACCGCCAAGATGTCCATGTCCTAATCCCTAGGACCTGTGAGTGATAACTTATATGAGAAGGCAATGCGAGGATGGAAGCAAGAGATTGGAGTGATGTGAAGGAGAGATCAGGGTCCAAGGAATGCACATGACCTCTAGAAGCTAGAAAAGGCAAGGACACGGATCCTCTCTCCTAGAGCCTCCAGAAGGAACCAACCCTGCCAGCCCCTTGATTTTAGCCCTGGAAGACTGATTTTAGACTTCTGACCTCTAGAGCTGTGAGAAAATAAGTCTGTATTGTTTTGCTACTAAGTTTTTGGTAATTTTTTATAGCAGCCAGAGGAAGCAAATCTACTGGGTGAGTGGATTCTATGCCCGAGTTCATAAGTGAGAGTGAGGCCAAGGCATGAGTTCTGGATTATTGTCATTAGCATTTCAAAGAATTGTCCTCTGGCTCAAATCAGCGGTGTTCACACTTTGCTTAATTGCCTGTGTCTTATTTTGTTCTCCAGCTTTGATCACATGTATGACAAATGGAATCGGAATGAATTGCAGAACTAGCAGGTCGAGTGCTTGACATCACCTCACAGAGATGTCATGGATGCTTTGGGAAGTGCTTTGCTTGACAGTGCCTGGATTTATGTAGCAAGATATTTTGTCCTGGGGTAAAGGGAGCCCATGCAGGTGGGGGGGGAGGGGAAGGGAATGGGAGCTGATGCCTAGGCAGGTTTCTCAAACCTGTGTGAATTAAGGACCCCTCTCCATAAGGGACTTTTTTGGTGTATTGACTTAAATTTAGTTTTATTATATTGCTACTTAAATCTGTATAAACATAAAACTAAGTGTTAATTTATGCTTATAGCTTTAAGACAACTATAAACTCCAAACATTTCAAATTAAATGCAAATAAAATTACAAACCTAATAAAATTCAAATTAACATCACTGAGTTAATGTCATGGATAACGTTTTGCTGATTTTAAATTGATGTTCTCAATGTGTTTTCACACACACTCGTGAAGTTATGGAACATTATCTTTGTTTCTGCTGGACTTGTTTA
Organism: Homo sapiens; assembly: GCF_000001405.40. Classification (NCBI taxonomy): domain Eukaryota; kingdom Metazoa; phylum Chordata; class Mammalia; order Primates; family Hominidae; genus Homo; species Homo sapiens. The sequence goes on from NW_025791797.1 coordinate 121,693, forward strand.
ATTCACTGTAAAAATATCGTTATGTTGAAAGAAACATATACATCACAGTAATAAATTGATTTATCTAGAACAGTTTTCAGACTCTAATGCAAATATTCAGTTGGTTTCATTCCTGGAAAAATAAAAAACAGACCAAGATAAATCATAGTATTTAGTGATGTACACTTAGGGGATTAAAGTCAGTGTAGTAATAGGCTATGAGAGGAGGGGGGAGGGATACATGGGGGGCTTCTGGATTACTGGCAAGGCTCAATTTCATGATGAGCATGCCTTTCTTGAGTCTCTCTTTTTCTGTGAACATAAAACATAAGTGTACTGACTGTTGGATTTTTATAAAGTGAACACTAATGTTACCCCATCAAGGACAAGAACTAGGACATTGCTAGCATCCCAGAAGCTCCCATGTACCCTTTTATAGTTACATACTCCTCTTTCCCAGCAAAATAACGACTATAGTATGTTTTGTGGCAATCACTTATTGCTTTTATCTATAGTTTTACAACCTAAGTAGGTGTATTAGGCCATTCTTGCATTGCTATAAAGAAATACCTGAGACTGGGTAATTTATAAGAAAAGAGATTTAATTGGCTCATGGTTCTGCAGGCTGTACAGGAAGCATGGTGCTGGCATTTGCTTGGGTTCTAGGGAGGCTTCGGGAAGATAACAATCACAGTGGAAGGCGAAGGAGCAGCAGGCACGTCACATGGCAAAGCAGAACAAGGGTGGGGGAAGGTGCCATACACTTTTAAATGACCAGATCTCATGAAAACTCACTATGACCAAGACAGCACCAAGTCATGAGGGGTGTGCCTCATGATCAAACACCTCCCACCAGGCCCCATTTGCAGCATTGGGGATTACAATTGAACATGAGATTTGGGTGGGGACAAATATCCAAACTGTATCAGGAGGCATTCCTAAATACTGTGAATTGAATTTTGCCTATTTTTGAACTTCTAAAATTAGGGCCATATCGTATCTTTTGTGTTTGACTCTTTCAGTCAACATTTTTTTTTTTAAAGATACATCCATGTTGTTCTGTATGACTGTAGTTCATTTTTATGGCAGTATAGAATACCATTGTATAACTATACCATACTTTTTTGAGCTATTTTCCTGTTGGTAGACTTCTGGGGTCTTTTCAGTTTTTGGCTATTACAAATATTGCTGCTATGAACATACTTATACATGTCTCCTAGAAGACTTGTATCTAAAAATAGAATTGATGTGTCATCTGGTGTTCACTGCTAGATGATGACACATTGTTTTCCATGTGACTTTCTTTCTTTTCTTTTTCTTTTCTTTTCTTTTTTTTTTTTTTTTTGAGATGGAGTCTGGCTCTGTCGCCCAGTCTGGAGTGCAGTGGCATAATCTCTGCTCACTGCAAACTCCATCTCCCAGGTTCAAGCAGTTCTTCTGTCTCAGCCACCCGAGTAGCTGGGATTACAGGCCTCCACTACCATGCCTGGCTAATTTTTGTATTTTTTAGTAGAGATGGGATTTCACCATGTTGGCCAGGCTGGTCTTGAACTCCTGACCTCAGGTAATCCACCTGCCTCACCCTCCCAAAGTGCTGGAATTACAGGCGTGAGCCACCATGCCTGGCCATGAGTTTCATTTTAATTTGTGTTTCCCTCATTTTGATTGAGGTTGAGAACCTTTTCGTATATTTATTGGTCATTTGGATTTCCCTTGTTGTGAAAGGTCTGCCCAACTATTTTGTCCATTTTTCTCTTTTTCAGTCTTCTTATTGATTTGTAGAATATATATTCATTCTGGATATAAGCCCTTGTCGGTTTTATGTCAAAATTATTTATTTTGCAGATCTCTCTCTCTTCTTTTAAAAATAATTTTAACCTTTAATTTAGATTCAGGGGGTACATGTGCAGGTTTTTTATATGTGTATATTGCATGACGCTGAGGTTTGGGGTACAGTTAATCATGTCACCCAGGTACTGAGCATATTACTCAAAAGTCAGTTTTTCACCCCTCACCTCCAGTTCTCCCTCCCCCTTCTAGTAGTCCCCATTGTCTATTGTTGCCATCTTTGTGTCCACGAGTACCCAGTGTTTAGCTCCCACTTATAAGTGAGAACATGCAGTATTTGGTTTTCTGTTCCTGTGTTAACTTGCTTAAGATAATGGCCTCTAGCTGCATCTGTGTTGCTGCAAAGGACATTATTTCATTCTTTTTATGGCTGCATAGTATTCCATGGTGTGCAAGTACCACATTTTCTTTATCCAGTCCACTGTCGATGTGAACCTATCTTTGCTATTGTGAATAGTGCTACGAATGAACATACATGTGCATGTGTCCTTTTGGTAGAATGATTTATTTTCCTTTGGGTATATGCCCAGTAATGGGATTGCTGGGTTGAATGGTAGTTTCGTTTTAAGTTCTTTGAGAAATCTCCAAACTGCTTTCCACAGCAGTCGAACTAATTTGCATTCCCACTAACAGTGCATAAGTGTTCTCTTTTCTCCACAGCCTCACCATTATCTGTTGTTTTTTGACTTTTTAATAATAGTCTTTCTGACTGGTGTGAGATGGTATCTCATTGTGGTTTTGATTTGCATTTCTCTGATGATTAGAGATGTGGAGCATTTTTTTTGCATGTTTTTGGTTGCTTGTATGTCTTCTTTTGAAAAGTGTTTATTCATTTATTTTGCTCATTTTTCAATGGGGTTATTTGTTTTTTGCTTGTGCAATTGTTTAAGTTCCTTGTAAATTCTGGATATTAGACCTTTGTTGGATGCATAGTTTGCAAATATTTTCTCCCATTCTGTGGAGTGTCTGTTGACTCTGTTGATAGTTTCTTTTGCTGTGCAGAAGCTCTTTAGTTTAATTAGGTCCCACTGCTCAAGTTTTTGTTTTTGTTGCCACTGCTTTTGAGGACTTAGTCATAAATTCTTTCCTAAGGCTGATGTCCAGAATGGTGTTTCCTGGGTTTTCTTCTAGAATTCTTATAGTTTGAGGTTTTATATTTAAATCTTTAATCCATCTTGAGTTAATTTTTGTATATGGTGGAAGGTGGTGGTCCAGTTTAATTCTTCTGCATGTGGCTAGCCAGCTATCCCTGTAGGTGTGCAGCTTTATTTCTGGGTTGTCTGTTCTGTTCCATTGGTCTACATACCTGTTTTTGTACCAGCACCATGATGTTTTAGTTACTGTAGCCTTATAGTACTGTTTGAAGTCGGGTAATATGATGCCTCCAGCTTTGTTCTTTTTGCTGGTGATTGCTTTGGCTATTTGGGCACTTTTTAGATTCCATATGAACTTTAGAATAGTTTTCTCTAGATCTGTGAAAAATGATGTTGCTAGTTTGATAAGGATGGTGTTGAATCTTTAGATTGCTTTGGGCAGTTTGGACATTTGAACGATATTGATTCTTCCAATCCATGAGCATGGAATGTTTTTCCATTTGTTTGTATCATCTATGATTTCTTTCAGCAGCGTTTTGTACTTCTCCTCGTAGACATATTTCACTTCCTTGGTTAGATGCATTCGTAGGTAATTTTTTGTGTGGCTGTTGTAAACAGGATTGCATTCTTGATTTGGCTCTCAGCTTGAATGTTATTGGAGTATAGAAATGCTACTGATTTTTGCGCATTGATTTTGTATTCTGAAACTTTACTGAAGTTGCTTATCAGTTCTAGGAGCCTTTTGGTGGAGTCTCTAGGGTTTTCTAGGTATAGAATCATGTCATCAGTGAAGAGAAATACTTTCACTTCTTTTCCTATTTGGATTCCTTTTATTTCTTTCTCTTGTCTAATTGCTCTGGCTAGGACTTCCTCTTCCACTCTCTTACTGGTATCTGTTGGTCAGTGGAAGTTCTTAATTTTAGTGTAGTCAAGTTTATCCTTCTTTTCCGTATATGGTAAGTATCTATACGTGTAAGTGTTTATACGTAGCTGTTTTAGACATCTTTTTCAATCCCAGATTATGAAGCTACTCTTTATTTCATCTTCTAAAGCTTTATAGTTTTGTTTTTCACATTTAGTATTGTAAGTCAAGAACTGTGGAGTGTCTGAAATTTTGCCTTACTTGCAAGCTAACAAGTTAGCCTGCCTTAGTGTCACGAATGTTGCCAGAAGACACAAGACTCCGGGTCAGAGGGTCGGAGACAAATGACTTTGCCAGAGTATCGGCATCTTCTTGTGCCAGTTCCCAGAGCCCAAATTCCTACAGAGCAAATGTGTAGAGGGTCAGGTGACTTGTACACCTGGAGTGAACTGTGTTAGAGGTGAGGAGCCCTGAGGCTAGGGAACCCAAATCTTTTATAATGGGCTGTAAGCTTGCCTGACCTTTGCCCAGAGGGAGAAATTGTCTTTATATACTGGACAGTAAACAAGTCTGTCATTTTCCTTGGGGAGAGACACTATATCTTCTAAGACTGTTTGCCATACAAATATCCTTTGAAGAGATAGCAAAGAACAAAAAAAAGCAGAGTGTCTGCCTTCAAGACTTGCAGAAACATGAGGGATTTAGGGAAAACTGTCTCCCCTAAGGTGTAATCCACCTGTTAGTAATTTGCGTGTGGTGAGAGGTAATTTCCGTCATTTTCTATGCTGAAACTCAATTATCCCAGCATCATGCCTTGGAAAAGTGGGAGAAAGCTGTCTTCCAAGAGATAGGTGCTGGTGAATTAGACTGAGGTTGCTGCAGTGGAGGTGAGGAGTGGGTACAGACTGAGCTACATGCTTCAGAGATGACAGAGCTCCATGGGCTGTTGGGTTGTTGAGGAAGGGGCTGAAGGAAGGACAAGTGTCAGGAGTAAGAGTCTTCTTCGTTGAGTCTTAAAATGTATTGTGTCCCTAGAGAGGAAAAACAATCATTTAAAATAGGCCTTTACTGTATTGAATACTGGAAATTTGCTAAGATGGTAGATTTTAGATGCTCTTACCTCTCCCACCCACCCCCACAACACAGATAACTATGTGAGATGACAGATATGTTAATTGGCTTGAGTGTAGTAATCATTTCACTATCTATATGTATATTAAAACATTATGTTGTGTATCTTAAACATATGCAATAAAAATTAAGCAAAAAATAAAAAGGCCCGTATTTCTCTTAACCTGTTAAATACTCGGTATAAATTTGAATTTAGAATCTGAAGTGGATCATGCACCTGGAATTCCTGCGTGTCCAGCTGGCCTCTTTCTGAGGTGTGTTTCCTCTTACTGATATTTATTCTTCCCTTTCCAGTCTGAAAAGCAGTCTCCATGGCAGAATAATTGGTAACCAAATGTAGATCTATCTGCAATGGAAAGTGACATTTTGTGAGCAAAACCTCAACTTTTTAACAAAAGAAAACAAACCGTAGAGCAAAGGAGATTTTCTTTCATTAGCCAGGGTCCAGTTAGGATACAGGAACCGTGCTAAGTATTTCACATGGAAGGGATTTCATACAGGGATCTGGCTATACAGGGTCTGAAAGTTTGAAAAAATTAAAAATGGACACTACCTTTAGGTGCTGGGTGACAAAAGGGAAGAGGTGGCAATATAAAATCTAGGTGCTCAGAGAAGGAGCTACCTTGGATGGTGCTGAGGATGGGGAGGGGAGAGCTGGGAATGGAATGGCCCAGGAGATACCACAGCGCTCCTGCTTTACCCGCTGCTGGAAGGATGACCGTCAAGGCTAAAAGCAGGAACACAGTCCTTTCTTCCCAGCTCCTTCTTTCCACTGTCACAACATAACCAGAAGCCAGCAGCAAGGAAGCCTGAGAAATGTAGATTGCAGAGTAGAATCACTGAGTGGAGGTTGGGGCTGAGAGACAATAGGCAAATAACCAGCACAGAGTCTAAGCAGCAAACCGTTCAGATTAGCTCCTCCTACAACAATGTGAAAATTGGAATGCTCATTTTGTTGCTACTTCTAGGAACTGTGGCCCGTGGGTCAGTTGGGAATTAATGGCAAATAAAGGAGATTCTGGGGCAGTGTTTGCTTATGTGTTGTGTCTGATTAATTTCCAAAATCAAGCTGAATTAATTTTGGATTTATATGCATTCATTTTTGAGGTCAAGGCTAGAGGTCATAATATCTGAGGTCTCATTCTCGCCACTTTTCCTATTGCTGGAATAGTGGTGCTATGTCGGGGAGAGGACACAGAGAGGAACAGGCACTGAGAAAGGGAGGGAAATAGTGGGTTCAGAATTGGGACATCCAGGAGGCAGCTGGAAACGTGAGTCTGGAACTCTTGGGTGAGATTTGGGGCTAAAGATAACAATTTGGGTGCTTGATGGTAAGCACATCCTTTGAGAGTATATGCAGTTTCCCAGGAGAGAATGTGGGAGAAGAGTTGAGGGAAGGGTTGAAAACCTTGGAGGACACCAACATTTTCAAAGTTAGAGGAGCCAGCAGAGGCGAGCTCATCCTAATGGAGATCACTTCGTTCAAGCAGATTATTTGCTTGAAACTTTCATCTTTGGTATTATTTGCACTGTAGTGGAATGAACAACCATAATGTGAGTTTAAAACCCAGATACCAAAATATTGTTTGTTTATAGTCTCCCTCAAACTCCATCTTCCGTAAGTGCTGGTGTGGGGATTATGTACCTCTTCACTTCTCTTCTCTGCACTGTTGATAAAGGAAGAGGCAGGTTTTGCTGACCACATTTTGGCAAATCTGTTGGCTCTTTCTTGGGCATTCCCATGCTCATGGTCACAATACTGTTACTACGTTAATTTAACTCTAGAATTGAGTTTAAGCCACTAATCACAATTTCTTTTTCTTGCTTTGTCATTATAGCTGCTTTTTGAAAAGCAAAATTACTAAATTTCTTAAGTCAATAATTTCAGGTTGATAAAGAAGAGGCAAAATATATGCAGGCTTTAAAACATGCTCTGAGACCACAGAAGGGTCTTTTTCTGATCCAAATATCCTATTAAAACTGTGTGACTATAGGAAAAAGTCTGTGTAGGCTAGAGCAAGTTCAGTTGAAAACCTATTTTTAAAAACACTTAAATAATTACCTTTCATCCTAAATCATAGACATGGTCAGCATTGTAAGAAAAGCTGATACACCCAAATCTGAATATATATGACAAATAGATCATTAACACCCTTTCATTTTACCAAAGTATTCTTTGATAGTGCCTTTAAATAAGCCAGTTTCTAAAGTAAATTTAAAATGTCTTCAATTATAAAAAATAGATTTACATGTGATGTTTCAAGGACATATCTTGTGAAGGAAGTACAGTTGTAAAGTGTTGAGCAAAGTCATGAAAGTTTTCACAAGAAGGAAAAGAATAACATTTATTTCTACCTTTTCTTTTTTCTTATCAGCATCTCAAAATAGACCAACAGTATATTCCATTGTTACTATTTATTTGCTGCAATACAAATGACATCTCATTTGATTTTAGCCCTTTAACCTTGAGCTAAAATGACCCTGTGGAAACAAATGAGCACTGTAGAGACACCTGCCCCTCAGAAGAGTTTGGAAGGGCAGAGTTCTGTGGGAGAGTTTGCCTAGGAAGTGGTGCGGGGTGGGCTGCCCGGGAAGGGTGTGTGGAGTAGAGACCAAGAAGGGGCTGAACGCCATCTCCCAGGAAGCTTCCCAAGACTGACTTTTCTTATATGTGGCCTCCAGGCAGAGGTGGGGAAATCCCCAAGCCTTCCCAGAGGGCAGTGAGGCTTTCTCACCTTAACTTTTGAGTTAGGAATTAGTTCACATTAGCAGTTTTTGGCTCCCTGAGGCTGAGATTGGGGAGCTTTTCTGAAATCATGGAAATTTCTGGCCCTTATCTCTAGATGAAGATCCCACCTTAATTTTATGTATCCAACATAGCCTAAACTATTGTTCTTTTTTTCTGTCTCTGTCTTCCTTTCCCCCTGCCTCCCTCCTTCTCTCTCTTCTTTCTTTCTTTCCTTCTTCTCATTTCCCAGTGGTCTGGTCTCCAAAAACAAATGAATGTGTGAAATCAGTGAGGATTCTTCTCCCTGGAAACAATGTGTTGTTGGCAAAAGCAACAACTGCCTCTGCAAACATCAAAATCCTCCAAAAGAGTGAATGGGGAAGATCATATTTGGTGTTCAGCAATCTAAAAAAAAAAAAAAAAAAAACAGACAGCAAAAACCCAGAGGAAGTGAAGAAAGTTAGTAGGAACTGGTAATACTATACAGATGATTTCTTCTCCACCTGTTTGGAAGTTTTGCTTAAGTCTGGCTTTTCTTGCAGTATTAGGAAGTGAATATGGTTGGTGTAAGAGAAGGTGACAGTGGATACTATACGCAGGGAGCTCTGTGGAGCCTTGCAGCCCTGCAAGTTTTTATTTGCAAGGTGTTGGTTGAATCAGCCTTTCCTCCTAAAAGTTTCAGCACATACAAGTTGCTGACTTATTGGCTGTTTTCTTCTTTTAACCCAAATTCTGTATTCTTAGTTGTGTTGTCATGAAGGATGCATCTTCTCATTTTCAAAGTGAAATCAAATGGATCCATGCCTTTCACATGTAACTTTCTGTTCAACTGCTTAAAATTATTTTTATTGATCCATAACATTTGTACATGTTTATGGAATACATGTAATATTTTGCTACATGCATACTGTAATGGTCAAGCCAGGGTATTTAGGGTATCTATCGCCTTTGTATTTATCATTTCCATGTGTTGGGAACATTTCAGGTCATTCTCTTCTAGCTATTTTGAAACATACAATACATTGTTGTTAATTATAGTCACCCTACTCTGTTATCGAACATTAAAACTTATTCTATCTAACTGTATGTTTGCACTCATTAGCTAACCTTTCTTCATCCCCTCACCCCGCAACACACCCTTCCCAGCATCTAGTAACTGTCATTCTGTTCTGCCTCCATGAGATCAGTTGTTTTAGCTCCCAAATATGAGTGAGAATATATGATGTTTTTCTTTGTGCCTGACTTATTTTACTTGACATAATGACCTCCATTTCCAACCATGTTGCTGCAAATAACAGGATTTTATTCTTTTTTATGGTTGAATAGTATTCCATTGTGTATATATTCCACACTTTCTTTATCCATTTATTTGTTGATGAACACATGATTCTGTGTCTTTGCCATTGTTAATGGTGTTGCAGTAAACATGGGAGTGCATGTATCTCTTTGATATACTGATTTCTTTTCCTTTGAATAAATACCAAATAGTGGGATTGTTGGATTGTATGGTAGTTCTATTTTTAGTTTTTTGAGAAATCTCCATACTGTTTTCCATAATGGCTGTATTAATTTACATTCCCACCAGCAGTGTATGAGAGTTCTCTTTTTTTCATGTTATTAGCGTCTGTTATTTTTTGTCTTTTTGTTGATAGCCATTCGAATTTGATAAGATATCTCTATTGTGTTTTTGATTTGCATTTCCCTGATGATTAGTGATGGTGAGCATTTTTTCATATATCTTTTAGCCACTTGTATATCTTCTTTTGAGAAATGTCTATTCAATATGCTATTTTAAATGAGATTCTTTGTGCGTGTGTGTGTGTGTGTGTGTGTGTGTGTTTTGCTGTGGAGTTGAGTTTCTTTGTAAATTCTGGATATTAGTTTCTTGTTAGATGAATAGTTTGTGAATATGTTCTCCCATTCAACAGGTTGCCTCTTCATTCTGTTGATTGTTTCCTTTGATGTGCAAAAACTTTTTACTTTAATATAGTTCTATTTGTTTAATTCTGTTTTTCTTACCCATGCTTCTGAGATCTTAGCCATAAAATGTTTGCCTAGAACAATGCCCTGGAGTGTTTCCCCTGAGTTTTCTTCTGGTAGTTCATAGTTTGGGGTCTTATGTTTAAGTCTTAAATCTATTTTGAGTTGATTTTGGGATATGGTGAGAGATAGGGATCCAATTTCATTCTTCTGCATATGGATACCGAGTTTTCCGAGCATCATTTATTGAAGAGGGTGTCCTTTCCCCAATGTATGTTCTGGGCATCTCTGTAAAAAATCAGTTGGCTGTACATATGTGGATTTATTTCTGGGTTCTCTATTCGTGTTCTGTTGGTCTGTGTGACTATTTATATGCTGATACCGTGATGCTTTGATTACTATAGTTCTGTAATTTTTTTGACATCAGGTAGTGTGATGCTTCTAGCTTTGTTATTTTTGCTCAGGATTGCATTGGCTATTTGGGCTCTTTTTTGGTTCCATATGAATTTTATGACTGATGTTTCTATTTCTATAAAAAATGTCATTGGTATTTTAATAGGGATTGCACTGAATATGTAGATTGCTTTAGGTAGTATGTTCATTTTAACAGTACTAATTCTTCCTGGCTATTATTAAAAAGTCAAAAAAATCACAGATGCTGGTGAGGTTGAGGAGAAAAAGGAACACTTATATACTGTTGGTGGAATTAGTTCAATCATTGTGGAAAGCAGTGTGGTGATTCCTCAGAGAGCTAAAAATAGAGCTGCCATTTGGCCCAGCAATCCCATTACTGGGGTATATCCAGATAAACATAAATTGTTCTATCATAAAGACACATGCACACATATGTTCAATGCAACACTATTTGCAATAGCAAAGGCATGGAATCAACCTAAATGCCCATCAGTGCTAGATTGAATAAAGAAAATGTGGTACATACATACCACGGAATACAATGCAGCCTTAAAAAAGAGTGAGATCATGTCATTTGCAGGAGCATAAATGGAGCTGGAGGCCATTATCGTTAACAAAGTAACACAGGAACAAAAAACCAAAAACTGCATGTTCCCACTCATGAGTGGGAGCTAAATGATGAGAACACATGGACTCTTAGAGGGGAACAGCAGACACTGGGCCTTCCAGAGGGTGGAGGGTTGAAGGAAGGAGAGGATCAGGAAAAATAACTAATGGGTACTAGGCTTAATACTTGGGTGATGAAATAATCTGTACAAAAAACCCCTGTGACAGGAGTTTGTCATATAACAAACCTGCACATGTACCCCTGAACTTAAAAAAAACCAAACCATATTAATTCTTCTAACTCATGATCATAGGATGTCTTTCCATTTGCTTGTGTCCTCTTCAATTTCTTTCATCAATGTTTTGTAATTTTCCTTGTAGAGATCTTTCACCTCCTTGGTTAAATGTATTCCTAGGTATTTCTTTGGTAACTATTGTAAATGGGATTGCCTTCTTGATTTCTTTTTCAGCTATTTATTATAGGCGTAAAGAAATGCTACTGATTTTTGCAGGTTGATTTTGTAGCCTGAAACTGTACTGAATTTATCAGATCTTAGAGTTTTTTGGTGTAGTCTTTAGGTTTTTCTAAATATAAGATTTTGTCATCTGTAAAGAGAAACAGTTTGACTTCCTCTTTTCCAATTTGGATGTAGCTATTGGATGAAATGTTCTGTAAATGTCTGTTAGGTTCATTTGGTCTAAAGTGTAGTTTAAATCCAATGTTTCTTTGTTAATTTTTTGCCTAGATAATCTGTCTAATGTTGATAGTGGGATAAAGTCTTCCACTATTATTGTATTGGAGTCTAACTCTCCCTTTAGATATAATAATATTTGCTTTATATATCTGGGTGCTTCGGTTTTGGTGCACATACATTTAGATTTATTATTTCATTTTCTTTATTGATCCCCTTATCATTATATAATGATGTTCTTTGTTTCCTTTTACTGTTTTTGACTTAAAGTCTGTTTTATCTGACATAAATATAGCCATTCCTGCTCACTTTTGGTTTCTGTTTGTGCAGAATACCTTTTTCCATCCCTTTACTTTTAGTTTATATGTGTCTTTACAGGTGAAATGAGTTTCTTATGGGTGGCATATAGTTGGCTAATGTTTTTTAATTCAGCCAGTCTATATTTTTTAAGTGGAATATTTACTCTGTTTACTTTCAAGGTTATTATTGATATGCGAGGACTTATTGTCATAATTTTGTTAATTGTCATTTGGTTTTGTGGTTCTTTGTTCCTTTCTTTCTCTCTTAGTGTTTATCATTGCCACTTGCAGGTCTTCTGTAGTGGTAACATTTGAATCTCTTTTTTTTTCCTCATTTGGGTGTTTGCTCTACCAGTGAGTTTTATTCTTTTGTGTGTTTTCATGATGGTAGATATCATACTCTCACTTCCAGATTTAGGGCTCCGTTAAGCATTTCTTACAGAGCTGGACTAGTGGTGATGAATTATCTTGTTTTTGCTTGTCTGGAAAAGACTTTATTTCTCCTTATTTTATGAAGGATAACTTTGCTAGGTATAGTATTTTTGGCTGTCAGCTTTTTTCTCTTTCAGCACTTTGAACATAAACCTCAAGCTTATTCTCTCCTTGCTTGTAATCTTTCTGCTTAGAAATCTGCTATTAGTCTGATGGGGGGCAGTTCCCTTATGTGACTAGATGCTTTTCTCTTGATGTTTTTAGAAATCTCTGTCTATCTTTGGCTTTTGACAGTATGCTACAGAGAAGACCTTTTTAGGTTATATCCATATCTATTTGGGGATCTCTGAGATTCCTGTATCTGGATGTCTTAATCTCTTGCTAGACTTGGGAAGTTTTCAGCTGTTATTTTGTTGAATACGTTTTCTATGCCTTTGTCTTTCTCTTCATTTTCTGGATCATCCAGAATTTGAATATTTGGTCACTTTATGGCATCCCATATGTCATGTAGGCTTTGTTGATTCTTATTCATTCCTTTTTCCTTTTTCTTTTTTGTCTGATTGGGTTATTTCAAAACATTTGTCTTTAAGTTCTGGAATTCGTATGCTTAATCTAGTCTATTGTTGAACCTCTTGAATAAATTTTTTATTTCATATATTGAATTCTTCAGTTCCAGGATTTCTGTTTTGTTCTTTTTTTCATATCTGTCTCTTTAGTGAATTTCTCATTCACATTCTGAATTGTTTTTCTGGTATCTTTGTATTGTTTATCTGTGTGCTGTTGTGTCTTACTGAGCTTCCTTAATAACATTATTTTGATTTTTTTCTGATATTTAAAAAATTTCTATTTCATTGGAATCTGTTGCTAGAAAACTATTGTGTTCCTTTGGAGGTGTCATATTTCCTTGCTCTTTCATGTTTCTTGTGTTTTTATGTTGATATCTGCACATCTGATGTAACAGTCACTTCTTCCATTTTTTTGGATTGGCTTTAGAGGGGGAAGACTTTTTCCTGAAGATGTGTTTATGTTGATGGTTAGGTATAGTGCCTTAGCTTTGATTCTGGGTGCAGGCATTGGTGTAGTCTCGGTATGATTTATTTGATTGTGAACAGCATGGTGTCTGTGATTGTCTCAGTGGCCTGGCTGTGGTTGTTAGTGGATGCTGTGGTGATGCTTTGCTGGGGATGCCTTTGCTGGCCCCAGCAGGTGGGCCAGTCCTTTGTGCCCAGTGGTGGCAGTGGTGGGCCAATTATGCCAGCCATTAGGCTGCTGGGCAGTGTACATGGGCACCAGTGTTAGCAGATCCAGGCAGGCTGATTCTTGGGCCTCCAGGTGGCTTGCTCAGATTCCAGCAGTGGCAGCAGTGGGCTGGATGAGTGGGCAGGTCCTGGGGCCCCTGGGCAGTGTGTGTGGCATGGGAGATAGTAGTACCAGTGGCAGGACAACCCTTAGGCTTCCAGGCAGTTAGTGATGTTAGTGATGGTTGTGATGGGCTGGGTGGCCCCTCCTCAGGTCCCCAGGAGTACAAAGATACCAGTGGTGGTGGACTGGGTAGAGTGATCCGCAGGCCCCTGGGTGATGTACTCAGGCACTCAAGTCAGGGGTGGTTGTGCCAGGCTAGGTGGTCCTGTCCTTAACCTTCTGATGGTATGCACGAGTGCAGGCTGTGGTGGGACAATCTGTGGTGGTGGGTGGGGAGAGCTTGTCCCCAAGGTGCAGATAAGTGCGCAGCATCCCTGCTGCTCAGTGGGTGGGGCGGGGGTGGGGTGGCTGTTAGTGGGAGTGACCCTAGGCATTTGGGCAGCTTTCAGGCTCTTGGGAGTGTACACATTAGTCCTTAGCAGCAGCAGTAACAGCAATGATGACAGTGGGCAGGGAGCCTGTCCTCAGAGTGCATGCTAGTGCATAGTGGCCACGCAGGCAAACAGCTGTCAGGCTTTGGGGAACATGCACATTGGCTCCCCTTGTTTCAGCAGCACAGCAGCAGCTTCCCTGGTGTGCCACACCACCCATTCCCTGTGGTGTGGGACTCTTGAGTGGGCTAGAGTGCTAGGGACCCTGCTGCACTGCTGGGTCCAGCCAGCATCATGCTACTGCAGTCCTCCAGTGTAGGGGGTTGTTAGTGGTGCTTCAGGGATGTCGAGATGCAGGGGCTATGGCATCCCAGGGCAGGATGCCCTGGTTGAGGTTAGGCACTCAGAATGGTGCTGTTCTGCAGTTGCTTAGGTATCAGGGGAGTGTGTAGAGCACTGTTAGTTCTCTTTCTGGAGCAAGGCCTTTGCACAATCTCTAGGCAGCTCCCTGTGCTAGTCTCAGGGCCCAGGAGGATAGAGAGGCTCTTCCATGGCTAAGATGACAGGAGTCAATGGTGGGAATGTGGACTTCTTGGGATCTCTTACCCTTTCCCTGCACCGGGAACCTCTCCAGGCTTCTAGCTGATGCCAGCTGAACTGGCCGCCTTGCTTTCCCTTACTTTCTGTGCCTCAGGTGTTTCCTGTCACTTCTCTGCTAAATTCCAGTGTTTTCTTTTAGATGTTCTATTTGAAATGTGATTATCTATTTCCTATTTTGGTTCTTTTTTGGGGAGGTGGTGAGTGCCAGATACCTCTAGTCAGTCATTTTGAACCTCCCCGGCCCCTCCTCAGGTCAACTGTTTTTTTTTTTAATAAGAGGATTTTTGCCCCTTAATTTTCTGGGATTATGTCCCATATAATTCTTGTAAGGCAATCTAGACAAAATTTTCAGTCATTAATTTTGTGCTTTTTTTCTTATGTTGAAACTACTAAAACAACAGGTTGGCTTTTCTTCAGTTAATCATCATGATTCATCTTTTCCATTATTTGTTAATTTGCCATCTAGCAATTGTATGATGACAAATTCTTTTTTACCTTTTAAACTTTACTGAAGGCACCTAGGCCAGGAGATCACATGGTTAGAGACATTACATTTATTTCCTTCCAACACAAAGAAAGACAGCAAATAGTAACAACCCCCCACCCACACCTATACCCAAGCAAAACAATATTATCATGTTTGCTATCCTACAAGATCCAATTTCCCTTGACTTTTATTGGAGAAAAGTGTCAGTACTAGAAATTCAAACAGAATCCTTAACATGCCCACAGATTATTTCAGGGATCCTTCAGTTCATTTTCTTGAGCAGTAGCTGGTCAGAGGGCCTACTACTTTGTGTGCACCATTCTAGTGCTGAGGATACCATAATGAGTAATATTCATGAGTAAGACCGTAATGAATATAAGACCCTGTCCCCAGGCATCTCATAGGCCACTGTGGGAAGCACATCAATAAATTTCAGCGCAGAATGGTTAAGTGCTGTGTAAGCTTTTAATGTATTCAGGAGATCTGCAGAAGGGGCACCCAACTAGGTCTGAGGAGTCCTAATGACCTTTGAAGGCTGTGTAGGAGTTAGCTATATGGAAAAACTTCCAGGCAATGGGAACAGCATATAAAACGGCAGAAAGGAACAGGGTGATTCTGAGTGACCAAGAGTTTAGGAATGGAGAAGTGTGAGGTGTTTATGAGGAGGGCAATGAATGAGGCTGGAGAGAGGTAAGTGGCAGGCAGATCGTGGAAGGATGGTACACTGTGTTGAGTATGGATTTTATTTTAAAGGTGATGGAATCACTGAATCACTTTGGGGAATAGCATTATTCAACGGGTGTTTTGGATAACTCATTGGCAGTTGTATGGAGGAAGAATTTGAGGAGTCAGTTAGGAGGCTGTTAGAGCAGTTCAGAGATGAGATGACAGTAGCCTGGACTGAGGATATGTTCATGGGAATGGAGAAAATAAAATGGAATCAAGAGATGTTTGGGATGTAGAGTGGATAACACTTGGGGTGGTGTGTGTGTGTCTGAGAGAGAGAGAGACAGAATGAGAGAGAGAGAGAGAGATGAGAGAGATGGAAGACATATATGTTAGGGAACTCTATGCAGCATTTGTGGCTCTGAAGGTTTTTATTTGGAAGGTGTTGATTGAATCTGTCTTTTTTTCTGAAAACTTCAGCATGTACAAGTTGCTGACTTATTGGCTGTTTTTAAAAACATCTGAATTCTATATATACTTCTGAGAGTCCATTACATTTTTCTTAGGTCTAGGACAGCTTTTAGTTTCCAGACTATCAACTGTGTGGGTGGTGATTCCACTAATTGAGAGAAGGGAAGATAGGCAAATAAGTAGAATGATGAGTTTGTAAATTGTGTTTGAGGTATCTTTGGAATATCTAAAGAAAATTTCCAAAAGGCAATTGGATGTGAAAAAATTGAAGTTTGAGAAGTTTGGGTTGGAGTTATGGATTTTCAAGTCAGTAGCAAAATAGGTGATTAACGAGTTCATGGTAATAGACAAAATCATCCCAGGAGATTATTTAGGGCAAACATGATAGAAGGCCAAGGTTGTAACACTAATTGAGAAAAAGAAATTATAAAGGTAATTGAGAAGTGTCTAAGGAGGAAGGGGATGATATTTAGACTGCAGAGGCCAAGGGAAGGGGTGGTTTCAAGGTGGGAGTGGACAGTAGATTTAGAATGTCTCAGATCATCTAAGCTAGGAGCCTGAATTTATCCTGGGTATGAAGGAATTGGATGGTCATTAATGACAGCAGTTTTAATGGAGCCAGATTGTAAGGTGTATCAGTTAGGAATGAGTTTGGCTGCAAGTTAAAGAAAACCTAACCATAGTGGCTTACAGATCTAGGCTTATTTTTCTCATCTAGCATGAAGTCCAGAGATGGGAGGCTGCTGGTGTTTGTTCAAGAACTTAATGATCATCAGGGTCTTCTTGCAATTCTCGAAGCTTATTCCTTATAATCTCAAGCTGATTGATGCAGCCTCATACATGTTCATGTTCAAGATAGGAAGAAGGGAGGAAGAGTGGCATCTTCAAATCAGGAAACCAGTAATTTCCAAGAAATCCCCACCTGCAGCTAACTACTTAGGTCTCATTGCCCATAATGAGACATATGACTACCTGTAGTCACAAGGAATGCTGGGAAAGCAGGGAATGTTCTGGCATAGTGATCATTGCCTGGGCTGGGCCCATTGACACTGTATGCAAAATTTGGGTTCTGTTAGTGAGGAAGAGGAGAGTGTTTATTGAGTGGCCAGCTAACAGTGTTGGACTTACATAGGTTGAGAAATGAATGGGAAGTGAGAAAATGGGGACAGTCCATGTCTATGACACCTTAAGAGGCAGTTCTGAGGAGTATGGACTAGAAAGGGTGGTAGCCAGAGTAGAATATGGGGAAATAATGGAAGGTTACATTCTAGAATATGAAAGGCTTGAGTACATGTAAATGTTGATGTGAGTGGGAGAGATTGAAGATGCACCGGAGCTTTCACACCCCAGGACAATACCTAGAGACTTGGGATGGGTGAGGGCTGTGCTTTTCTATTGTAAAATGGCAGAAGGGGTTCATATAGGAGCTTCTGAAGACAAATCGGTTAATAGGAAAGAGCATATACAGAGGCTTAGGATCTGGAAATACAGTCATTTAAAACTATCCATGTTCAGTATCCATGTGTTTCCAGTTTAAAGACTACTGCTTTAAATCATATAACAGTTTCTGTTCAGTCATTAGCATTTCCAGTTCTATGTGATAATCACAAGTTGAATGCTGACTTGATGTTAATTTTCTCCCCCTCCCCAGCTAGGGTTGGCCTCGGGTAGGGCATTGCCACAGGGAGGGTGTGTGCTCCCTTTGAGTCTCTTACCCCAGAGTTTCTTGCCCTCTGGGTTTGGAGTGTAGGATGAAAGGAGGGGAAAGTGGGGCAGGGAAGTTTCTGTTTCTTTGGTGATTGCAGTATGGCTTTGATCTCTCTGGTCCCTGGCAGGTGTTCAGAGCTGACTTATTCGCAGGTGTCCCATTTCCTTGCTGAGCCAATTTGTCTTCCCTCTGGTTAGTATTTACTTGACTCATGCAATGTACGTTTTTATTTCTGGTGGTACTAACTTTTTAAGGATCCTCTTGGGAAGTATCTCCTTAACTTGGGACTCACTTCTGGTCCCAGGGTTTACCAGGCTTTGATCTGCCTTGATGTTTGGGGTGCTGTGTTTCAATATGTTCCCATAGATTGTGTTGGAAGCTCAATTGCTACTGTAACAGTATTAAAAGGTGGGCCTTTAGGAGGTGATTAGGCCATGAGGTCTTGCTCCCGTGAATGGAGAGAGTTTGGCCTCTATTTTCTCTCTATCTCATGTGCTCCCTCCTCCCTTCTGTTTTCTGCCATGGGATTTACCCTTGCCAGATGCTGGTGCCATGCTGTTGGACTTACTGGCCTCCAAAACTGTGAGCTAAATAAATATCTTTTCTCTATAAATTACCCAATTGCTGGTATTCTGTTATAGCAGCAGAAAATGGGTCAAAACAGGAGTGGAGTTACTTCTAGTGCAGCAGTGTCTCTCTGTCTTCCCCTCTCTCTCCCTCTCTCCCTCTCTCCCTCCCTCTTGTTGGCTTAGGCCGAAAGATTCGAAACCTTTGTGTCTATGTATTTTTAAAAGTTCACAGATCCATTGACCTGATTCTGATATTCACAGGGGCTCCCTACAGACCAAGCAAATTTAATGGGAAAAGAACACTTGACTTCATAAAGAAGAAATTTAAAATATATTTTATAAGAAAAATGAATAAAATTTAAGAAAATAAAAATTAACTCCAGGTCCTAAAAACAAAACATTCAGAAAAATAGTTACCTACTTCTGTTCCCCTCAGACTTGTTCTCAGCAACATTAAATGCCAGAAAGCAGCAGAAATTGCAATATTTCCAGAGTATTGAGGAAGGAATAGAATGACCCTCAAATACCATACTTAGCTTGATGCATAGAAGGCACTAATTTTGTTGTTGTTGTTAAACAAATACCAGAATGCAAATGTCTTTTCTCTGGGGATGGTTGCAGAAAAGTATGTGTAACTCATTGTACTTTTGTAAAAGAAAAACATGTGTTTGTATATGTAAATTTAGGAAAAAGGTGGAAAGAATTGTCTCAGACTGATTAAACCCAGGAATGGAGGGAACTTTACTTCTTAATTCTTATAATGAAGTCAAAGTTTTAATAAAATTTGGTAATATTTTACATTTTGTATTTTTTAGTTTTTGAAAAATACCATCTATGTAAAAAAAAGGCAAACACTATCATAGATCAAAGCCTAATTATACAGTTTTTTTATTTAAAACAAGCTGTTCTTGCATATTCATTAAAAAAAAAACTCAGGTATATTATTTGTGCCAGAACAGTCTTTAGACCTATATTTATTGGTGAACTTTAAGAATAAAACATTGTCAGCTTCAACCTTCTATGTCCTTTTAAAGGTGATTAAACTTTCCTAGGTTGGACAGGATGGCTTGAGGAGAATGACGTACATTAATTTTTCTAGCCAAATTATTTCATGTGGCTCAGAACCCATTCAGTCATTCTATTATACAATCTGATCTTTTAAACTCATCTAAATAGCTACTCGACATTGTCCTTATCAGGCCTAGGTCAATGATAAAGGTACATAACAGAATAAATCTCCCTAAAGGAAGAAAGGAAAAGATTAACTCTCTCCCAAATCCCCATGAAACTTCATGTTCCTACATGGACCTGTTTGTAGTCTGGTCCCCAGACACTGTTGAGATCTGGGAACACGGGGTCCCAGAAAGAAAGCAGCCTTCATGATTAATTCACTTTCAAAGGTTCTGCCTTAACCATTCAGGGTGTTCTAAAAAGAATCTTCTGAAAGACCACATTTTGCTATGAAATCAATCAAAAACAAAATACCAGTCAGAATCAAACTTTTTAAAAGGTCACACTCATAGAGGCCTCCAATTCATGATCATTGGGTACATGTTGACAAGCTTTTTAGGAAACTTTAGAGATATATGGGGAAGATATCAATCTCATCTGTCAACTGTAATTGAAAATGGGCAAAAAAATACAAATATATAAAAACTGGCATCAGTGCTGGAAACTAGAGAAGGGCATTGCCCAACTTGGAGAAGTTCTGCCTGATATGATGCAAACTGTAGGAAGCCACATGGGCCAAATCGTAGACATCCTTTCTGAAAAAAAGATAGGATATGCAAAAAGTGAATACAAGTAAATCCTACCAGACCAGGCTGTTACTGCGCAGCTACTAATTTCTATGTGTGAGAGCTCAGAGGGGTCAGCCCCTGTACATATTGGGAACATTTATTCTAGTTGGAACCCATTTTCCCAGAGTGGGTCCACACTTACAATCATTTGCAGGAAGCCCAAAGCCGAGCCTGAGGACAGCAAGACTTTTTCTGGATATGGTGGACAGGGCATCCAGGAAGTGTGGGGTCCTGGGCACACTCAGCCAAGACTGGGTGGGGCCAAACCTTTTTCTGTTTCCTGTCTCATGTTCTTGTGCTGGGACATTTCCTTGATTCTGCCTTTTTCTTTTTCTTTTCTTTTCTTTTCTTTTTTTTTTTTTTTTGAGACAGAGTCTTACTCTGTTGCCCAGGCTGGAGTGCAGTGGCACAATCTTGGCTCACTGCAACCTCTGCCTTCGGGTTCAAGTGATTCTCCTGTCTCAGCCTCCTGAGTAGCTGAAATTACAGGGATGTGCCACCATGCCCGGCTAATTTTTATATTTTTAGTAGAGATAGGGTTTCACCATGTTGGTCAGGCTGGTCTTGAACTTCTGACTTTGTGATCCACCCAAAGTGCTGGGATTACAGGTGTAAGCCACCATGCCCAGCCAACTCTGCCTTTTTAATAAGCAATTCTGATTTCAGTTTTGTCCATTCTGTGCTCACTCTTTTTTATTGAGTTTTCCTCCTTTCATTTTTCATGGTAGCCTTTTCTTGTTTTGTGCATATGAAATCGTCTCAAATTTTCCTATTAGGTATTAATGAAAACTTTAAAAAGTTCCCCTCTATACTTTGATTATCTCTGTTTCCTTTGGATCATTCTAAAGTTTCCTCTTTGACATTTCCTGTCGCACTCCTGGTTTTCCTAAAATTTCTGTGGTTTCTGATTGTCAGTGTATCAGAATGAAGGACTAGACCCATCACTGTAGGTAGCTGGGGTAGGTTTTTGTCTGTTTACCTCACAGTCTTCCCTCCCTACTGGAAGGACTGAGTATAGGGGTGGGTGTGGTGATCAGTTTTATGCTAGGGTCAGTGGCCAAGGGGGACTCAGGGAGGCTGGAAAGAAGGGTTTTACCTTGGAATGCAGGGCTTTGCTCTTGGGCAGGGCTGCCTCTTCATGTTGCCCCTTCTGTCTGTTGGAATGTTGGGAAAGATCTCTAGCTTCTCTCAGATCTCCACATCCACTTTGGGGCCATCAGCAAAGTCCACTCTCTTTAGAGTGTGGGTACAGTCTTCAGCCTGGGGACAAATGCCCCAGTTGCCTGTTGCTTAGTTGATAATATTAATGGCTAATATTTAATGAGACTTAACAGTGTCAGATACTGTTCTAAATACTTTCCATACAGTAATACTTACAAGGCAGATACTGTTATAATCCACATTTTGTAGATAAGGAATTGGAAGCACAGAGAAGTTCACAGTTGCAGTGGAGCAGAGATTTCCAATCAAGGTGCTTTAACTAAAGAATTTGCCTTTGGGTATAGAGATGGCGTGTGGGGATGGGGGTGGAGGGGCTCTGTTGATCCTTATTGCTTTCCACCATACAGTTATTTTATTAAGTCCCCTGATGATTCCCCAGGCTCACTCTGTTCTTTTTATTTTTACATTGTTTAGACTTGGAATTTCTCTGTATCAACTTTTATCTTGGGAGCAGTTTTCTACTATGCATATATTGGTTGGCTTTATCCTCAGCTCTCTAATCCCATCTGCTCTCTGTCTTCTAGGAATTTCTCACCATTTATGATCTGTCACTGGCACCCTTTCTTGTTTTTCAGCCCTGTTATAGATGTTATGGATATGCCTCTCTCTCTATAGATATATCTATATAGATATATGTAGAGAGGAATGTGGTACACAGAGAAGATGTGTGTATTTGGTCCGCCATCTTGATTCAATTTCTGTAATATTTATTATATGTGTTTTATCGATTTACTTCCTGGAAGTGAGATTAATTAATTTTTTATCGTGCTGCTATAATGATTAAATTTTGAAGTAGCATTTAGCGTGCAGGGAGTACAGTCACAATGTAATAGCCCCTGGGATTTTTGTTCTCTTGAGTATAGGTTATTAGACTCTGTATGGCTTTGTTGTGATTCTGCTAAACAGAGACTTCCAGATGCGGATTGTCAGACATGAACATTATTTCTACTATTCAAACAGATAGGGACGAAGTGGTCCAGCATTGCTTGTTAAACTTCCTTCTAGAAGAATAAATCAGGATAAATGCAATCAATGTAAATATTAAACACATTGAATGCAGGGCTTATGGAAGGGGTAGTTTAATATTTTAAAAATTGAAATAAAATGTACATATAGGAAAGTGACAGACCACAAGTGTACAGTATGATGTATTTTAACAAAGTGACACATTCATGTGATCAGTTCAAGATATAGAACATTAGTGGCACCCAAGAGGACCCCTTATAACCTTAATTTACAAGTAACTACCACACCAGCTTCAATCACCATAGATTAGCTTTTCCTGTTTTTGAATATTGTATGAATGGAATAATGCAGTATGTTCTCTTTTTTGAACTTTATGTAATTAGACATAAATATATTGAGCTTCTTTCATTCAATGTTATGTCTGAAATTTACCCATGTTGTTACATATTATGGGAGCAGTTAATTCTTTTTCATTATAATACTATATAGTGTTGTATTGTAGAAATAGCCACAATGTAATTATTAATTAATATGGGCATTTGTTTCTAGTTTTTTGTTATTATGAGTAATACTATTTTTACATGGATTTTGGTGCACATATGTAGGAATTTCTGCTGGGTAGATACCAGCAGAATTGCTGAGTCATAGGGTATGGTTATTTTTATGTTCAGCTTTAGTAGATTCTGCCAAACTGTTTTATAAAATAGTTGCACCAATGTATACTCCTACAAATACTGTATGAGTGTTCCAGTTGCACCATTAATCCTTGGAAACACTTGTGTTGTTGTTGTTGTTTTAAAGTAATTTTGACCATTCTGATAGTAATGTAGTGGCATCTCATTGTGGTTAATTTGTATTTCCACGATTATAATTAGGTGAAAACATTTTCTTATGCTTATTGGCCATTTGGATTATTGTCTTAGTCCTTACAGGCTGCCACAACAAAAATACCATAGACTAAATGGTTTAAATAACAAATATTTCTCATGCTTCTGGAGGCTGGTAAGTCCATAATCACTGCACTACCAGATCTGGTGTCTGATAAGGGCCTTCCTGGTTCACAGATGGCAGTCTTCTTGCTGTGTCCCTGTATGGTGGAAGAGTGGGAGAGCTTTCTCTGAAGTCTCTTTTATATGGTCACTAATTCCATTCCAGAGGGATCTATAATACCTCCATGGCCTATCATCTTCTGAAGACTCTACCTCCTAATAGTATCATTGGGCAGTTAGAATTTCAATTTATGAATTTTGAGGGGACGCAAACATTCAAGCCATAGCAGAAATCTTCTTTTTGTCAAATTGCCTATACAAGGCTCCTTTGACTGTTTTTTAAAATATTGAATCTATTTGCCTTTTTCTTCATGACTCATCAGAGTTCTTTTTAATATTTGAATGTGATTCTTTGTCAGATAGATGTGTGGAAAACATCTTCTACTCTGTGGCTTGATATTTCTCAGTCTTCTCTTAGGTTTAATGAAATACAACATATGAATCCTTTTCTTGAGAGTTAGTATTTTGGGGTCTGGTTGAGATATCTTCTATCCTAGGGTTATGTTATCTTGTAGATATCATAAGATTCTAAAATCTTTAAATTTTTACCTTAAACATTATTTTAAGGTCAGTGAGGAATTATTTTTGAGGTATGGTGTAAAGCAGGGGTCTTAAATTATTTTTAAGAATAGAAAGGATACCTGAAATCAGAGAATTTGAGAACTGGTGATTTAAAGCTATAAAATTCCCAAACAACAGCTTTAGCTGCATCTCGTAAGCTTAGGTTATATCTATATATTTGCATTCCTTATTTAAAAATATTCTCTAATCTTCATCTTTGACTCAGGCTGTTTATGCATGTGTTGTTTAATTTCCAAATAATTGGAACATTTTCAGATATTGATTTCTATATTAATTTTTATGGTCAGAGAACCTACTCTGCATGATTTTGGTCTTTGAAATTTTAGAAATGTGCTTTGTGATTCCGCATATGGTCTATTTTGGTAAATGTTCCATGTCTACTTGAAAATAATCATTATTTTGTAGTTATTTGCTACAGTGTTCTACATATGATGGTTCAAGTCATGTTAATCTACTGATTGTTTTCGTCTGCTTGTTTTATAAGTTGCTGAAAGGTGTATTAAAATATTTAAAAATATTTGGAATTGTTTCTAGTTTTAGTTTTATAAGAGTATGCTTTATACATCGTGAGGCTGTGTTACTAAGTGCTTAAAGATTTAGGATTGTTATGTCTCTTTTAAATTGACTTTTTACAATTGTTTAAATGTTCTTTATTCTAGTAATAATGTTTTCTGTATAAAAGTCTATTTTGTAGGATATTAGTATAGATTCTAAAGGTTTTTATTGTTGATGTTAGTGTTTTCTTTTTTTAAATTTAAAATTTCTATGGGTACATAGAGGCGTAAGTATTTATGGCATATATCAGATATTTTTATACAGGCATACAATAAGTAAGGATTATTACAATGTGTAATGATTGTCAGGGTAAATGGGGTATTCCTCACCTCAAGCACTTATTTCTTTGTGTTATGAACATTCTAATTGTACTTCCTCAGTTACTCTAAAATGTACAACAAATTATTGCTGACTGTAGCCACTCTGTTGTGATATCAAATATTATCTCTTATTCATTATATCTGACTATATTTTTGTGCCCATTAACCATCCCGATTCCCTCTACTCCCCTGCTACCCTTCCCAGCCTCCGGTGACCATCGTTCTACTCTCTGTCTTCATGAGTTCAATTGTTTAAATTTTTAGTTCCCACAAATGAGAACATCTGATGTTTGTCTTTCTGTGCCTGGCTTATTTCACTTAACATAATGTCCTCCACTTCCATCTGTGTTGTTGCAAATGACAGGATCTCATTCTTTTTTATGGCTGAATATGTACCACATTTTCTCCATCCATTCATCTGTTGATGGACACTTAGATTGATTCCAAATCTTGGCTATTGTGAATAATGCTGCAATAAATATGGGCAGCAGATATCTCTTTGATACACTGATTTCCTGTCTTCTTTCCTAGCAGTGGGATGGCTGGATCATATGGTAATTCTATTTTTTTTTTTTTTTTTTTTTTTTTTTTTTTTTTTTTTTGAGACGGAGTCTCGCTCTGTCGCCCAGGCTGGAGTGCAGTGGCGCGATCTCGGCTCACTGCAAGCTCCGCCTCCCGGGTTCACGCCATTCTCCTGCCTCAGCCTCCCGAGTAGCTGGGACTACAGGCGCCCGCTACCACGCCCGGCTAATTTTTTGTATTTTTAGTAGAGACGGTAATTCTATTTTTTGAGGAAATTCCAAACTGTTCTCCATCGTGGTTGTACATCCTTACCAAGGGTGTATGAGGGTTCCCCTTTCTCCTTGCCAGCATTCGTTATTGCCTATCTTTTGGATAAAAGCCATTTTAACTGGGGTAAGATGATATGTCATTGTAGTTTTGATTTGCATTTCTCTGGTCATCAGTGATGTTGAGCATCTTTTCATATACCTGCTAGCCATTTGTATGCCTTCTTTTGAGAAATGTCTATTCAGATCTTTTGCTCATTTTTAAATTTTATTATTAGATTCTTTTTCCTATAGAGTTATTTGACCTCCTTTTATTCTGGTTATTAATCCCTTGTCAGATGGATAGTTTGTAAATATTTTCTCCCATTCTGTGGGTTGTCTTTTGACTTTGTTGATGTTGAAAAGCCTTTGCTATGCAGAAACTTTTTAACTTGATATGATCCCATCTGTCCATTTTTGCTTTGGTTGCCTGTGCTTTTAGGGTATTACTCAAGAAATCTTTGCCAAAATCAGTGTCCTGGAGAGTTCTCCCAATGTTTTCTTATAGTAGTTTCACGGTTTGAGGTCTTAGATTTAAGCCTTTAATCCATTTTGATTTGATTTTTGTATATGGTGAGAGATAGGGATCTAGTTTCACTCTTCTGCATATGGATACCCAGTTTTCTCAGCATCATTTATTGAAAAGACTGTCCTTTCCCCAATATATTGGTTCTTGGCACCTTTGTTGAAAAGGATTTCACTGTAGATGTATGGATTTATCCCTGGGTTCTTTGTTTTGTTCCATTGGTCTGTGTGTCTGTTTTTTATGTCAGTATCATGCTGTTTGGTTACTACAGCTCTGTAGTATAATTTGAAGTCAGTTAATGTGATTACTCCAGTTTTATTCATTTTGCTCAGGATGGCTTTGGCTATTCTGGGTCTTTTGTGATTCCATATAAGTTTTAGGATTATTTTCTCTATTTCTGTGAAGAATGTCATTGGTAGTTTGATAAAAGTTGCATTGAGTTTGTAGGTTGCTTTAGTAGGTATGAAATTTTAACAATATTGATTCTTCCAATCCATGAACATGAACTATCTTTCTATTTCTGGTGTCCTCTTCAATTTTTTGCATCAATGCTTTATCGTTTTCATTGTAGAGATATTTAACTTCTTGGGTTAATTCTTAGGTATTTTATGTAATTTGTAGCAATTGTAAATGTGTTTACTTTATTGATTTCTTTTTCAGATTGTTTTTTGTGGACATATAGACATTCTACTGATTTTTGTATGTTGATTTTGTATCCTACAACTTTATTGAATTTGTTTATTGGTTCTAATACCTTTCTGATGGAGTATTTAGATTTTTCCAAATATAAGATCATGTTATTTGCAAACAAGGATAATTTGACTTTTTCCTTTCCAATTTAGATCCCTTTTTTTCTTTATCATCTGATTAGCTACTTTTTTTTCTTTATCATCTGATTACTCCAGTACTATGTTGAATAACAGTGGTGAAAGTGGGCATCCTTGTCTTGTCCTTTATCTTACAGGACAGGCTTGCATTTTTTCCTCATTCAGTATGATACCAGCTGTGGGTCTGTTGTATATGGCTTTTATTGTATGGAGATATGTTCCTTCAATATCCAGTTTTTTTAGGGTTTTTATAATGAAGGGACATTGAATTTTATCAAATGATTTTTCAGCATCAATTGAAATGATCATATGGTTTTTGTCCTTCATTCTGTTGATATGATGTATCACACTAATTGATTTGCATATATTGAACCATTCTTGCATTCCTGGGTTGAATCCTACTTGGTCATGATGAATAATCTTTTTCTTGTGTTGCCAAATTCAGTTTGGTAGTAGTTTGTTGGGGATTTTTGCATTGATGTTCATGAGATATATTGGCCCGTAGTTTTGTTGTTGTTTTGTTTGTTTGTTTGTTTTTTGATGTATCTTTGACTGGTTTAGGTATCAGGGTAATACTGGCCTCATAGAATGGGTTTGGAAGTCTTCCCTCCTCCTCTATTTTTTAGTATAATTTGAGTAGGATTTGTATTAGTTCCTCTTTAAATGTTTGGTAGAATTCAGCAGTGAAGCCATCATGTCCCAGGCTTGTTTTGCCAGAAGACTTTGTATTTCAAACGAGATCAAATGAGAGGTTTGATCTTGTTACTTGTCATTAGCCTATTCAGACTTTGGATTTCTTCATGGTTTAATATTGGTAGGTTGTACGTGTCTAGGAATTTATCTGTTTCTTCTAGGTTTTCCAATTTATTGACATATTGTTGCTCATAGTAGTCTCTAATGATCCTTTGAATTTCTGTGGTATTGGTTTTAATGTCTCCTTCTTCATCCCTGATTTTATTTATTTGGGTCTTCTCTCTTTTTCTTAGTCTGGCTAAAGGTTTGTCAATTTTGTTCGTCTTTTCAAAAAAACCAACTTTTTGTTTTGTTGACCTTTTATATTGCCTTTTCTTTTTCAATTTTATTTATTTCTGCCTGATTTTAATTTTTTTTTCTTTACTAATTTTGGGTTTGGTTTGCTCTTGCTTTTCTAGTTCTTTAGATGCATCATTAGGTTATTTATTTGAAGTTTTTCTACTTTTTTGATGTAGGGGCTTATTGCTATAAATTTTCCTGTTAGTACTGCTTTTGCTGTATCCCATAGGTTTTCGTATGTTGTATTTCCATTTTCATTTGTTTCAAGGAATTTTAAAATTTCCTTCTTCATTTCTTCATTGACCCACTGGTCCTTCAGTAGCATACTGTTTAATTTTCATGTGTTCGTATAGTTTTTAGAGTTTCTATTATTGATTTCTAGTTTTATTCCATTGTGGTCAGAGAAGACACTTGATATGGTTTATCCTTGAGAATGATTGCTGAGGAGAAGAATGTGTATTCTGCAGCTGTTGGATGAAATGTTCTGTAAATATCTATGAGGTCCATTTGGTCTATAGTGCAGAATAGGTCTGATGTTTCTTTATTGAAATGCTAATGAGTAGTTTACACACCACAATTACAGTGTTATTATAGTCTGTATTTGTCTATGTACTTACTGTTACCAGTGAATTTTGTTCCTTCAGATAATTTCTTATTGCTCATTAATGTTCTTTTCTTTCAGATTGAAAAACTCCCATTAGCATGGTGAGTATTAGGGAGTGAAAAGCTCCCATTAGCATAGGTCTGATGTTGATGAAATACTTCAGCTTTCGTTTGTCTGGGAAAGTCTTTATTTCTCCTTCATGTTTGAAGGATATTTTTGTAGGATACAATATTCCAGGATAAAATCTTTTTCCTTCAGCTCTTTAAATGTATCATGCCACTTTCTTCCAGTCTGAAAGGTTTTTACTGAGAAATCTGCTGCCAGACATAATGGAGATTCTTTATATGCTATTTTTTTCTTTTATCTTGCTGCTTTTAGGATCCTTTCTGTATTCTTTACCTTTGGGAGTTTGATTATTAAATGTCTTGAAGTAGTCTTATTTAAATTAAATCTGCTTGGTGTTCTATACCCTTTTTGTACTTGAATATTGACATCTTTCTCCAGGTTTGGAAAGTTTTCTATTATTATCTCTGTGAATAACCTTTCTATGCTGATCTCATTCTCTACCTCCTCTTTAAGGTCAATAACTCTTAGATTTGCCCTTTTGAAGCTATTTTCTAGATCTTGTTAGGTTTGCTCTATTCTTTATTATTCTTTTTCCTTTTGTCTCCTCTGTGTATTTTCAAATAGGCTTGCTAATTCATTCCTCTGCTTGATCAGTTCTTCTGTTTAGAGACTGATGCATTCTTCAGTTTGTCAGTTGAATTTTTCAGCTCCAGAATTTATGCTTAGTTCTTTTTAATGATTTTAATCTCTTTGTTAAATTTATCTGATAGGATTCTGAATTCCTTCACTGTATTATCTTGGATTTCATTGAACTTCTTCAAAACAGTTCTTTTGAATTCTTTGTCTGAAAGGTCACATATCTCCATCACTCTAGAATTGGTCACTGGTACCTTATTTAGTTCATTTGGTGAGGTCTTGTTTTTTCTGGACGGTCTTGATACTTGTGGATGTTCATTCATGTCTGGGCATTGAAGAGTTAGGTATTTATTCTAATCTTCACAATCTGGGCTTGTTTATACCTATCATTCCTCTGAAGGCTTTCCAAGTATTCAAAGGGAATTGAGCATTTGATCTAAGTCTTTGGTCACTGCAGCTATATGTGCATTAGGGAGTGCCCTAAGCCCAGTAACTCTGAGTCTTGCAGTCTTGTATAGGTGCTGCCTCAGTGGTCTTGGGTAAGATCTGGGAGAATTCCTTGGATTACCAGGCAGAGTCTCTTGTTCTTTTCCCTTACTTTCTTCCAAACAAATGCAATCTCTCTCTCCATGCTGAGCTTCTTGGAGTTAGTGGAGGGGTGATACAAGCACTCCTGTGACCATCACTGCTGAGATTGTGCTGTGTCACACCTGAAGCCAGAACAGTACTGGGTCTTGCCCAAGATGTATTACAACTATTTCCTGAATTCTGCTGATGTTTATTCAAGGGCCAAGGACTCTTTAGTCAGCAGAAGTTGATTCCTGCCAGAAATGGATCTTTCCCTTCAGGGCAGTGGATTTCCTTCTGGCCCAGGGTGGATCTAGAAATGCAGTTCAGGAGCTAGGGCCTGGAACTGGGGGCTGCAGGAGTCTGCTTGATGCTTTACTGTACTGTGGCTGAGCCGCTACCCAAGTTGCAAGACAAAGACCTCTTTTTTGCTCTCCTTTCCTCAAGCAGAAGGAGTCTCTGCCCAGACAATCACTGCCTCAGGCCCATGGCAACTATAGCTTGGCTACTGCTGATGTTTATTCAAGGCCCAAGGGGTCTTTATTCAGCAGGTGGTGAGTTCTGCCAGGTCTGGGTCTCTCCTTTCAATGCAGTGGGTTCCCTTCTGGCCCAGGGTGGGTTAAGGAATGCCCTCCAGGAGCTAAGGCCTGGAACTGAGGAAATGAGAAATCCTCTTGGTGCTTTAGTTTACTGTGGCTCTGCTGGTACCCAAGTCACAAGATGAAATCCTTTTTACACTTCCCTTTCCTTTCTTCAAGCAGGAGCCTTTCCCTGTGGATACTATAGCTGAGAATGTGCTGGGTCACACATGAAACCAGCACAGTACTGGGTCTTGCCAAGGCCTGTGATGACTGCTGCCTGGCTACAGATGGTGTTTATTCAAGGCCCAGGGGTGTTTATTCAAGGCCCAAGGGCTCATTAGTCAGCAGGTAGTGAATTCTGTGACACTGGGTCCTTTCCTTCAGGGTAGAGTTCTTTTCTGGACCAGGATGGGTCTAGAAATGTTGTCTGGAAGCTATGGCCTGAAATGGGGTCTTTAGGACTTTGCTTGGTACTTTATTTTACTGTGACGGAGCTGGTATCCAAATTGCAAGACAAGGTCCTCTTTACACTTCCCTCTTCTTACAGAACTGTGAGCCGCATTGCCTGGAGTTGGGGAAGGGGTGATGCAAGCACTCCCTTGGCCACTCCAGCTGGTGTATCCCTGGAAAGTTCTCTATTAATAAAGTTTCCTGGGTTGCATGCACCCCAGTTCCACTGGCTGTAGGCCCAGCAGAGCACCAGTATTTGTCCAGGAATTGCAGTCCTTGTGGCCTAGACTGCCTTTCAAGTTTATTTAGGACCCCAGAACACTTTATCCCACAGTGGTGGGGCTAGCCAGAACTCAGTTTCTGACTGCTGGGATGGACGATTGCCCTTTGGCTAGGGCTAGTCTAAGTGCTCCCTCCACGGGCACTGGCCAAAGCCAGTGGGAAACACTAGGAAAGGCCTGTGTTGCTTTCCACTGTGACAGGGCAGCACTGAGTTCCAATGCAAATTCCCCAAATTACTTTGCCCTTCCTCCCGCAAGTGCACAGATTCTCTCTCCATGCCATGCTGCACTGCTGGGGGATGGAGGAGGAGTAGTGTCGGCAATTCAAAACTATCATTCCTATCCTCTTCAGTGCCTCTTTCTTGGATACAGAGTTAAAATCAGGTGCTGTGATTGCTCACCTGATTTTTGGTTCTTATGAAGGTGATTTCTTGTGTGGATAGTTGTTCTATTTGGTGTTCCTGCAGGGGGGACGATTGCTGGAGGGTTCTGTTGAGCCATCTTGCTCTGCCTCCTCCTCCAGAAATCAGTGTTAGTGTTTTTCTGATGTATCTTTTTGCACCTGTTTATTTTTCTTTCATGTTATTACCTTTAGTGTGCATCTCTTATTAGCAGGATATAGTGTAGCTTTTTTTTTTTTTTTTAAATGCTGGCTGATGCTTCTTGTCTTTTAATTGGAATATTTAGTCCATTTTCATTTAATGTAATTATTGATATTTTTACATTTAAATCTGCTATGTTATTATTTGTTTTCTATTTATCTCATTCATTCTTTGCTTCTTTCTCCTTTCTTGCCTTCTTTTGGATTAATCCCTTTAAAGAATTATTCCATTTTACTACTCTAGTAGCTTGCTAGTTATATATTATTTTATAATTATTTAAAAAGCAATACTAGAAATTATAACACACTTTTTTTTAATGTGGTGGTGTCTTCATTAAATTAGTACTGTATCACTTCCAAGCAATAGAATAGACCATACAACAAGAGTCTCACTTAACTCCCTTAGTGGTGGCTTTTGTGCTATCATTTTTATGCTTTTGAAATTCTACATACATTTAAAACCTCACAAGACATTACTTTTATTTTAAGCTGTGAATATTCATTTAGATTTATCTTTCTGGAGCTCTTCATTTCTTTCCCTATTTTCTTATTTCCATTTGTTTCCATTTATATATGTGTGTGTATATATAATAAAAAATTATATGTGTCTGTGTTTCCATTTATATATATTTATATATATAAATTCACATATATTACATAAATGTGTATATATATAATACATACACACTACATATATAATTTTTTAAAGAACTCCCTTTAGTGTTTCTTTTGGTGTTTGTCCGTTGTGAGAAATTCTCTCAATGCTTTTGTCTGAAGATTTCTTTGATGTTGCCTGTTTATGAGGGATATATTCATTGACAGGGAATAGAATCTAAGATTGGTAGATATTTTCTGCCAGCATTTTAAAGATGTGATTTCATTGTTTTGTAGCTCCTTGATTTCTCTTGTAACATCAGCTAAGAATCTTTTTGTTGCTCCTTTGAATGCAATGTGTATCTTTCTCTTTGTCTTTGGTCTTCAGCAGTTTGACTATAATGTGCCTAGGTATGTTTATCTTCATATTTATCCTGATTGGTATTCATAGAGAAGTTTCAATCTGTAGCTTGGTGTCTTTTTTCTATTTTGAATAATTATTGTCCATCTCCTCTTCAAATATTGTTTCTTTTCATTTCTTTGAACTCTAAAATACACTTGTGTTAAGGTATTTTCACCATGTCTGATGTGCTTATAGTGCTCTTTTTTGTGTTTTTCATCTTCTTTCCCTTTATGTTTCAATTTAGATACTTTCTACTGACTGAACTTCCAGTTCACATATTCTCTCAGTTGTCGTCTAATTGTTATTAAACACTTCTGTTGGGTTCTTAATTTTAGTTATTGGATTTTCATCTGTAATTTTCATTTGCTTTCTTTTTATGTATTCCAATTTTTGATAAAAATTTTACATTGTCATTTATTTTATTCAACATATTTATCATAGTTACATTAAAAATCATTTCTGATGTCAATACTGGGATTACCTGTTGGATCATCTAATTCTTTTCTTAGTTTTCCATTGTTGGTTCAGTATCCTGGTATGCCAAATTATTTTTATTTGAATGGCACATATTGTGTGTGAAGAATTGTAGCAGGTCTGAGTAATGTATCTTCCTCCAGAGATTATCTAGTTTTATTCTGGCGGATAATGAGGGTAAAGGCTTGTAACCTTGCTACAGGTGGATTGAAATGATTCAAGTTTGCATTCCAGGCTTTGTGAGGGCATGTCCCCTTGCTTGCTTTTACTCCTAGGGTTTAGGCATTCAGGGATGAATTAAAATCCCAGATGTTTTTCCTTATTGGGGAGTCCTGACTCCAATTTCTGTCTCTTGATCACTGTGATACTGCAGAAATACCTGCTTAGATATTTAGCCTTCTAGCAGCCTCTTTGTGCTGGTTTCTTATCATCTGCCTTGTGTATTCAGCTTAGGAAATGTCAAAAGCCTCAAGAGGAAATTGAACATAGCTTGTCAGGTTTGCTTCTTTATGTTTCCCTTTTTCCCAGAAATTTGGCCTCTTATATCCTGGTTTCCTTGGTTACAGTGTATTCCAATTTTTCTCTTACACAACCTAGTAAGACTGCTGCAAGTTCCAGGCTGGTGTTTTCTGCTCAGACTTTATGTCCTATGTTGCAAGACAGAACATTTCCTAAAGAGAACAGTCAGCTGTAGATGTATCACTCCCCTCAATGCATTTCCCTTCCTCCAGATTTTGGCCCCTCAGATTGTGGCTGTCTTGGTTGCTCCGATGACCTCAAGATCTCTTTAAACTTGGAAATTTGAAAAAATTTTAGACTTACAGAAAAGGAAGTTGCAAAACTAGTACAGAGAGTTCACATATACCCTTCACTCGTCTTTCCCTAATGTTAACAACTTACATATTACCTTTACTATTGATACTTAAAATTGTGTTGCCATGTTCTCCAAGCTGATAACAACAGAGCATGACTGCCAACTGGTTGAAAGGAGAAAAAGGAACCTTTCAAAAGGGTGACATTTTTGGCACAGGGCTTCTCAAAATGTGTTCCTTAGAACACCAGTCCTTGGAGATTTTCCTATTAGACAACGTCCACAGCCCAGTAATTGTAGGAAATGCCACATCTTACATATATGTGCCCCTTTGGAAATCCACAGTGCCCATTACCATTTTATTTTATTTATTTTTTTTGAGATGGAGTCTTGCTCTGTCACCCAGGCTGGAGTGCAGTGGTGTGATTTCAACTCACCGCACCTCCACCTCCTGGGTTCAAGTGATTCTTGTGCCTCAGCCTCCCGAGTAGCTGGGATTACAGGTGTGCACCACCATGCCTGGCTAATTTTTGTATTTTTACTAGAGATGGGGTTTCACCATGTTGGCCAGGCTGGTCTCAAACTCCTGACCTCAAGTGATCTGCCTGCTGTGGCCTTCCAAAGTGCTGAGATTACAGACATGAGCCACTGTGCCCGGCCCTCCATTACCATTTTAAAGCCTCTGAAAATGTTTCAGTAAAGAAATCTGCTTAATTTTGTTTTCCCTGTGTTTCCAAATATATATAGTCAAGAGCTGTTTTTGTTTTTGTTTGTTTGTTTGTTTTACTTTGCCTGGCCCTTAGGTACATCCCATGGAGCTAGTGTTTTGTGGCACACATACTGGAAAATACTATTCTGGAGCATTTTCTAAAATCCTAAGTTACAAATTTTGCTTTTTTACATTTTCTCTTAGGTTCCGGCTTTCTTGCTGTTTAATTTCTTGCTTCATGAAAGGGAAGAAGATGGAGACGCCAAGGTTTCTTTGAAAACAGATATTTGCACGAGAAGGCAGCCAAGGCTGTGTTAACATTCACCATTAAAAACCCAACACATCTAGACAAAACACCAAATGCAAAAGCTTCACGTTTCCCAAATAAATTTCTTTTATAATTTGTCACTGCTCGGTTGTAGGCTTTGAAAATAGTTTTCATTTTCCTGTTATTGACAAAATTAAAGCTGCCAAGAAGTAGATGGTGAACAAGGATTTTATCTCTGACTGTAGCACCAAGGCAACCTGAGATAGGTCTAATTTGCAGCATAAATCTTCTTTTCCACTGGGGGAAGAACACACGAGCCACATTGAGTAGCCACCCATTTGTATTTTTGATTTGCAACTTCTGTCTAGTGAGCCAAGGTCAGGTGCGATATTTGTGATGGGGAAGCTGAATAGGTGAGTGAGGGTAGCTTGTGTTTGAAGCTGAAGAAGGTAATTAAGAGGGTTTTAGAATGTAATTTTGGCATTTTTCCCCACTCCACCTCTTCAAACTATGTGTCCCCTGTCATCGCCTAACCGATCTGCCTGTCCACCTTCTGGTTCCTCTCCAGTCCATTATCTCATGGCCCACTTGACTAATCTTTCTGAAACTCAGATCTGTTCTTATCACTCACCTTTCTAAAAGTCTCCATTGTCCCCAGAATTAAGTTTAGCCCCATGGTCTGGCCCCTGAGTGTATGCCTGTCTGCTCCTTTTCATTTAAGCTTCTGTTACCCTTGCTGAATTATTATGCTGTTTCCTGTTATGTTGTGTGCATCTCTTAGAAGCTGCATATAGCTGGATTTTTTAAAATCCACTCTAGTATTATTTAGTATGTTGAATGTAATCCAATTGTGTAGATAATCATTACTGATCTATTTGGACTCTCTATTTTTTAATCAGCCATTTCTTTGCTTATACTATTCTTTCTGACAGAAATGCCACTTTTCTTCTTATCTCCCTGGTGAACTCCATATATCCTACTAGGCTTTGTTCTGGAACTTTCTTGGCACCTTCTCATTTATATAATTGCTTCCTTCCATCTGGGTTTTAATGGCAAGTTCTGCATCTCTATTACAGAATAGTATTGATCTCATTGTGGATTGCTGTTTGTGTTTCTGCTTTCCAGTGGGCCTGTGAGAGTGACTGATCTTTGCATCTCTAGCAAATTGGCACAGTTGGTAGACTTTCCAACCTGAGATATTAGATGTTTCAGAAATTAGATTGAATGACGTGGTGTCAGTTTGAAACATTAAATTGAGGTGTTCTTTGAAATGTATTTAAGGTTATACAATGATTTTTGAATACAGCTTTAGCTGCATACCACAGATTTTGATGTATAATATTTTTATTGTTGTTAAATTTTTTGGTAATTTCTATTGGGGTTTTCTTTTTAATCTGTTATTTAGGACAGAATTTTAAAATTTTGTGCTGATATACTTATTTTTATTGTTGGTTCCTAACTTAATTGCATTATGGTTAAAAAACCCCAAAACCTAATAAACATGCTCTATATGGTATTGATTGACTTTGTTACGTAGTATTAGGTTGGTGCAAAAGTAATTGTGGTTTTTGCCACTACTTATAATATTTTGCAGCAACATAATATATGGT
Source organism: Homo sapiens (assembly GCF_000001405.40). Classification (NCBI taxonomy): domain Eukaryota; kingdom Metazoa; phylum Chordata; class Mammalia; order Primates; family Hominidae; genus Homo; species Homo sapiens. Next base: position 158,411 of record NW_025791797.1, read on the forward strand.
CAGTTTTTGTAATGTTCTATCTGTACTTGCAAGGAATATACATTTTTTAAATTTATTGGCTGGGGGATATAGGTATATGTGCATAATAGTTGACCAAGGTTATTATTTTGGTCATTCAGATAATCAATATCTTTTTCAATTTTTTATCATGTTTGATATGTCAGTTTTCTGATGGAGTTGTGTTAAATCTCCTGCTGTAATTGTGGGTTTATCAGTTTCACTATTTCAGTTTTGCTTTATATTTTTTGGAGGTTATACTAATAGTGGAAACAATATCATTATTATAAAAATTTTGGTGGATTGCTCCTTTTATTATTACATTGAGTCTCTATTCCTATTAATGCTTTGCCTTAGGAAGGTATTTCTTAGGTCAGGCACAGTGGCTCATATCTGAAATCCCAGCACTTTAGGAGGTGGAGGCAGGAGGATCGCTTGAACCTTGGAGCTCAAGACCAGCCTGGGCAACATAGAGAAACCCCATCTCTACAAAAATACAAAAATGAGCCAGGCATGATGCTGTGCACCTGTGGTCTCAGCTACTCCTGAGATCACACCACTGTACTCCAGCCTGGGCAACAAAGCGAGACCCTGTCTCAAAAAAACAAAAAACAAAGACAGGTAGCTCTTGTCTGATATTACTGCTGCAGGCTTTATTTTGATTAGCATTTTCCTAGTATGTACATTTTGTCTTTTCAGTCTTTCTATGTGTTGTGTTTTAGTTGTGACTCTTAGAAGATGTATATAGCTAGATTGTTAAAATTCACTCTATTATTATTTAGTATGTTGAATTTAATCCAATTATATAGATGATCATTACTGATCTATTTAGACTTATTACTATCTGATTTTGTGGTTTCTGTTTGCCATTCCTTCTTCCTCCCTCTCCCTTTATTCTCCCTTGTTTTCTTTTGGATTGAAAAATACTGGTTTTCTAACAGTGTGCTGGTATGGATACTATGTTATAACATGCATAGTTCTATATGGGTATCATAGTTTTGTGTTTTTAGGAGTTACCATTAGTTATATAACACAGATACCTGCTGTGCATTATTGTAATGATGTCTAAAGTTATACCCATTTCTCACCTCCTCCTGAACACACATGAATCTTAGTGTGCTTGAAATATCCACTCAACACCCTTCCCCATTTCTGTGTTATTATTGCTGAAGGTTTTAATTTTGCCCTTGTGTAAACTCAGACACATTGGTTTTTGCTTGTTTGTTTGCCTTTACTCAATGGTAAATTTACCACCATAGTTTCTCAATTTTTATTCTCACCGTTGTTTCCTATGGTCCATACTTTCCCTCTTGGTTCGGTTTTTATTTCCTTGATGTAATACTTTAGCATCACTGTTATTTGAGTCTGTGAAGTCTGAATATGTCTTTATTTTCTTTCTCTCGCTCTTTTTTTTTTTTTTTTTTGAGACAGAGTCTCACTTTGTCACTCAGGCTGGAGTGCGGTGGTGTGATCTCAGCTCATTGCAACCTCTGCCTCCCGAGTTCAAGTGATTCTTCCATTCTCCCACCTCAGTCTTCTGAGTGGCTGAGATTATAGGCACGTGCCACCACATCCAGCTGATTTTTTTTTTGAGACGGAATTTCACTCTTATTGCCCAGACTGGAGTGCAATGGCGCGATCCCGGCTCACCGCAATGTCTACCTCCCGGGTTCAAGCGATTCTCCTGCCTCAGCCTCCTGAGTAGCTGGGATTACAGGCATGCGCCACCACACCCAGCTAATTTTGTGTTTTTAGTAGAGACGGGGTTTCTCCATGTTGGACAGGCTGGTCTCAAACTCCTGACCTCATGTGATCCACCACTTCGGCCTCCCAAACTGTTGGGATTACAGGCATGAGCCACTGCACCCAGCCTTGCTCTTAAACAACAGTTTAGGGAGACAGAAAATTCTAGATTTTTATTGCGCCACCACACCCGGCTAATTTTTGTATTTTTAGTAGAGACAGGGTTTCACCATGTTGGCCAGGCTGGTTTTGAACACCTGACCTCAGGTGATCCACCCGCCTCAACCTCCCAAAGTGCTGGGATTACAGGCATGATCTGTAATCCCGTGCCTAGCCGATTTCTTCTTAACACTTTGATGCCATTCCTTCATTGTCCCTGGCATCTGCTGTTGCAGAAGAGAAATCTGCTGTCAATCTTATTGTTGCTTTGGATGTTTTTTCCCCTGCGATAGTTTTAGGATTGTTTATTTTTGAGGTTTTGCTGCGTCTGGGTGTGAATTAATATTCATCTTGCATGGTACTTGAGTGTGCTTCCAAACTGTAGACTCCTATTTTCCTTCAATTACAGAAGATAAAAGAGCCATTTTACTTGTAAATATTGATTCTCCTATATTCTGTTGTTTTTTTCTGGAGTGCCTGTTGGATATATCTTGGAATCTCTCACTTATCCTTCATATCTATTAACTGATATTTCCTTAAAAAAACTCTTCATCTCTGTTTATTTTATGTTCTTTAAGTTCCTTAATATTTTCCAGCTTACCAGTTCTTTCCTGATTGCGCCCAGGCTGGAGTTTGTCCCATCTATTGGGTTTTTCATTTTTATGACTATATAATACTTTTTGTTTCTAATGTTTTATGTCTATCTTGAAAATTTCTTCCCTTTTGTATAATTGTTTGCTCTTCATTAATAGAAGTTATTCCTTTATCTATCATTTTAATAATATCCTAAACACACATTAAAAAGTCTATATTGTTTCATAAAACCGTTTTCTCTAGAAGTGAATTCATGTTATGTTATGTGATTTTGTCGGCTCTCTTTCTTGGTGTTATATTTTATTCATGTGCCTTGGAATTTAGATCTAGGATGAATTTTAATTCCAACTTCTTGTGCTCACTTCTCTCTAGTGATTGTGGCTTCTTCCACCCAGCTTCCCAAGGCCCCAGTACAAAACCGTGGTTTCTGTTCTGTGGTGATATTGGGGCTATCTGGATCCAGTCACAGAGCTGGAGGGGGTGGGGATGTGACTTGACTGATTCTTTGTTCTTCAGTCTCCTTGGGCCTGCAGATTGCCACATGTGGTAGCATCAGACAGGGGTTTACATCTGAATTTTTTTTCCCAGCCTCATTTGCTTTTCCATCCCCAGCTGTAAGCAGAACTTGAACCCAGACTCTGGTCTCATGGAGCACTTTTAGATCCTTTTGTACTCAGCAGGAACCAGACTGCTGGCTGTCATAGCCTGTGTGCAGGCAAGAAGCCCAGCAGGCCCGAGGCTTCAACCTTGTTCATCATGTTGTGTTTCTGTTCATTTTCAGATTCACAAAAATGTTTATTCTGTTTTTGAGCATTGCTTATCTTTCTGGTTTTCTTTTTTTGATATTTAATTTATCCTTGCTATGTATTCAAGGCATAAAGAGTGCATATTTTGATATTTAATCTATCCTTGATTTGTATTCAGAGCATAGGGAGTGCATCGGAGTTGAATTTGAATAGTCATCTTCACCAGAAATAGAAGCTTGAGTATTTATATTTAGCTTCCAGCACCTAGAGGAAATAACCTTGTAACCTTGGAAGGAGGCCAGGTGCCCTGTAGGAATCACGTCTATCTTTTTTTATCTTTCTATCCCAAGTACCAGTCATGTCCCTGCACATAGTAGATGCTCAACAAACAATATTTGTTCATTGACTGACCTCTGAAATATAATTACGTGGCCTAAACAGCTAATGCTATATGTGTATTTATACTTAATGTATCAAAACAGTAAACACCACTGGGAAATTCAGGAAAAGCAGAAACGAATGATCATGACTCTTAACCTGTGACTCCTGTTGAAAATGATCCCATATGTTGTCTTTTCAAACAAGATATATTCATGTCACTAGTTTCTGTTCTTGAAAGTAGAAACACTACTCCTTCTATTAGACATTTTGGTTTCTGAAAATAGAACAAGTAAAACCTGAACAAGTGCGAACTCGTTCGGATTAAAGGGATTTCGGGTCCAACTCTCCAAGCCAAAGGGATTTTCAAATGGTTATTTTAAAACGTGGATCTACATGTGGGCTTCTGTGGTTTCAATAGTCACAGGAAATGCAGGCCACTGTATCAGTCAGCTTTTGCTATATAACACACCATCCGAAAACACAGCGACTTAAGACAAAAAAAAAAGTTCATTTAGTTTATGATTCTGTGGGTCAGCAATTTGGGCTGGGAGCACTGGGTGGGTGGATGTGCTGGTGTGGTTGATCGCTGCTGGGCTCACTCACCTGTTGCCGGTCAGCTGCCAGGTGAGCTGAGGGCTTGATGGCCCGAGGTTGCTCAGGTGGGATGGCTGATCTCTGATCCACGTGGTCTTTCATTCTCCAACAAGGCAGCCCAGACTTGGTCAGGTGGAAGCAGTCACAGCGGACCTGACAGAGTGAGCAGAAGTATCTGTAGAGCCTCTTTGTGAGTACTGATTTGGAATTTATAGCTATACAGTGTGGTTTACACTCTTCTATTGGCCAAAGCAAGTCGAAGCGTGGAAAAATAGACTTCTTAATGAGAGGAGCTGCAAAGCCTGTGGCCACTTTTGTACTCTACCATGGCAACAAAACGTGGAGGTGCCACTCCCCACCCCAGGAGAGATTGTGTAACTTTCCTTAGATCCTCAGGCTATTACCTCCAAAGTTGAGAACCAATATGTTGGATGATTTCACTACTGAACAACAACAATGAAAATGTTTAGGAGAGTTAACTGATGGACACATCTGTTAAAACACTGCTTGGTGTGTGGAAATGAAATTTTTCATTTTTTCTATTGGAAGTTATGCCTTGTATCAAGACATTAGGTTAATTCTCTCTGACTTCTGTACTCAGCCTGAAAAGTAAGGATTCTTGTTCAGTGTACCAGATAACTTCTATTATGTGGCAAACCACTCCAAAATTCAGTGGTTTAAAGCAATACCGTTTATTGGACTCCTGTTCCCATGCCTCAGCAGATGGGGCTGATCTCAGCTGGGGTCTCTCACGTTACTGCAGTCACCTGCAGGTCAGCTGGGTGGCTCTGATTCTGGGGATGGACTGGTTGTACCTTGGTGGGTGTCTGGGCCACTTGTTTCTCTCCATTCAGTTAATTTGCCTGGGCTTGCTTGTTCACAGGGTAGCAACAGTGTTTCTAGAGAGTGAGTAGAAGCACACAAGATCTCTTCCTGCCTAGCTAGGCTTGTTTCTGTGGGGTCAAAACAAGTCACAAGCCCAGCCCAGATTCACTAGGTGGGAAGATAGACTCCAACTCTAGCTCGGAGGAACTGTAAAGACGCAGGACAGGGAGGATGGAGAACCCTGGCCATTTTGTAGTCTTCTGTATCTGTTGTCTTCAAGAAATTCCTTCTCACACTTCGAATTTAAGTAAAATACTATCTCCACTTATATTTTTCCTATTAAATAGTAATACCGCATGTGTAATAGTAGTAGTAACTACACTTGTATTTAAAACAACCTGCCATCTTTTCACCTTTAATTGATGGCACCTCCCTTACTGTGGATTTGCATATTCATATTACTATTTTAAGGGCGTAGATTATGTTAATGTGTTTTGCTAAAGAAAATGATTGAACTTATTTTCTTCTTCCAATTTGTCTTCCTCGTTCTTTAATCCAACCCTACTGGTGCCAGACTTGCTTTTCTAAAGGGTTTCTCTGTGTTTGATGAAGACTCTTTAGGGATCTCTCACTCGTACTCTTTAGCTTGGCATTTGAGAATCCCTGTGCTCTGGGCGTTGCGTAACTTTCAGATTTTATTTTCCTCCATTCTTCCTTGTGCACTAGTTTTCACAGTTAAACACAATTTATTGCTGTTTTTTTTTCTTAGCACATTGGCCATACACAAATTGTCCTCAGCTCTTGGGCAACATTTTTGGTTGTTACAACCGTGTGTGTGTGTGTGTGTATATGTGTGTGTGTGTCCATGCTTGTAGTACTGGCCTTTAGCAAGCAGAGACCAGGGTTGCTGTTAAACATCTTGCAGTGCACAGGACAGCCCCCACAACAGATAATTATCTGCTACAAATATCAATAAAGCCGAGGCTGAGAAAACCTGTCCTATCCATTCCTGCCCCTGGCTCTTTTTTCCATGCCTCATCCCAGAAGGCCTTTCCTTCAGTGCCGCCCGATGAAATGTTCTCTATCCTTAAAATGCCAGCTCAAATGCCACATCTTCTAGGAAACACATCCCGCATGAACCTACTCCCAGTGCCGTGGGCTCTCAAAGTCCATTCTGTGCATCACTGAAGTGACTACCACTTAGTTCATTTACAGTAATTTGTCTCTAGTACTATTATTTTTTAATGGTTCTTATTGTTCTTTTCTTGTTTTTTAATTGAATGTTTGTGTGTTGACTCTTTGGGTGAACTGTGTGTTCCTTGATGACAAGTATCTCTCTTGTCTATGTCCTACAGCACTTACCATGTGTTTTACACATAGTAGGTGCATAATAAATATCTGTTGACTGCATGAGAAATGTATGTCTTCCTGTGCCTTTAGATATGGTTACCCCTTCCAACAATTTTCTTAAAGGAGTTAGTTCAAAAAATCCAACAAGTTGAATCCAAGTTTTTTTGTTTCTGTTTTTAATAATTTAGGTAAAAAACTGTGACAAGAAATCATTGTACAATGCAATTATTTATGTTTATTTCTGCAGCTATTTAGTGAAAAAATAAGTGGTGCTGAAGGAACTAAACTAGACGATGAATTTCTTGACATGGAAAGGGTAAGAGCATTTTAATATGTAAATTGATTAGAAACTGACTTTCATTGTGATATGAGATATACTGCTATTGTAAAGGATATTCGAGTGGAAATCTAGGATGTTTAAATATAGGTGTGGATTATGCAATCTACAAGGCAGTACTTTCCCACGTCCCAGCCCAAATCAGATCCTCCCCCTGTAGCCACATGCAGTTTGGGCAGGTCGAGTAATGAGATCGATGTGGCTAACTGGTACCCTCTAGTGGCCAGAAGTCAGAATGTGCAAAAGATGGGCAATCTTGGCAGTTACTGCAAGGCCAAAGTAATTGGTAGTATATGTTTTGGAGAATCAAAATGTATTTCTGGGACAAGATTTTTTGAAATGCAGAATGATTTATTTACCGTGTGGAAGACTTGGGCTCTGCTCCCATGTGTTGCAGGAGCTGCATAGCAAGTAACTTTTATCCTGGTTCTGCCTGTAGAACCAGAGTGTGAACTTGGATAAGTGAATTCATCTTTTTGAACTGATACAGAGATGACAAGTGTGCCCTGCTTGTCTCACATGGATTTTGTGAGAATTATGCAAACATTAACGTATTTGAAATAACTTACAAAAAATATGACGGGCTTGAGACAGAAATGATTGTAACATGCTCCAAAGAAAAATGGTATCATCTCTGTCCCTTAACATGTTTCCCAGTCAGCTGTGTGGAGTTGCTCAGGTGGAGGCAGAACTAGAACCACCAGTATTAACAACATACTGTTTCTTTGCTCATTGTCTGGGCCCTTTAAACATAGCCTTGTTTTAATAATTAGACCCCCCACCCCAGAGGAGAGAGGGAGGAAATGAAGCAAGGCATCCACCCTCAGGTGTAACATCAAGGCTGCAGATACAGTAGGTAGCAGAGATGTCAGCAGGTGCTGGGGAAGGAAGTCCAGCCCCAGGCTGCGCACTGCCTGGGAGAGTATCTCCCCAGGATACCTTGGCTCTGGCCAGCTCATCTTCCAGGGAGTTCTCTGTTTTCTGGATGAGAACTATTAAATGTCTAGAAATGTTAATGCCTTGAGGGAGAAAAGCTTATTTTGTTTTTGCTTTTGAAAGAAAACTTAATTTCTGAACCTTAAAACCATGGAAACATGTTCACACCATTGACATACCTTAAATTACTTAAAAAAAACTCTTAATATACAAATAGGTGATGTATAGCTTTGTTACTAACAAAATGATTCAGTTGAAATGTTAAATTTAAAAGCATTTTTCCAGAGTTTTAGTTTTGGTTGATGGATTGAGATCCTTCTTGCTTACCTCCTTTTACCTCCAAAAACCCCAGTGAGTTACAGAAGAAATATAAAGTCTATTATCTGTTTTATTACAGCAGTGAAAAGCATGGAAACATATAATACATGACCAGAAGTTTTAAAACTTTCCAGAAGAGATGCATTAGATGGTATTAGACCCACCTAATAAATGATACAGAAATGAGAAAGTAATGGGAAAAAATATTCTATAATTAATGCTAACCATATAAAAATAGAGGAACAATAGTAAAATCAAAATAAAATTTGATGCAAGAGAAGCACTAAATTAAAAAAGCTTTTTAATTATAAAAAGATACAGTCAATGTAGTCTATCAGGAAATTATAATAGTTATGAACCATTCTGCACTACATAACATAGCATCTGAATTTTTAAGGTAGAAACTGTCAGAAATACATAGACAGTTGATAAAAATAGAAGTAGACTTCACATACCTCTCTCATAAAATAATAGATTAAACTGACAATAATCAATAGGCTCATGGAGGATTTGCATAAAATATGATTAATAACTTTGATTATAAATAAATATAGATATCTGCATTCCCCAAATGGAGAATGTGCATATTTTTCAAATTCCTTTGGAACAAATATGGTTATCAATTATGTACTAGGTTATAGAAAAAAAAACTCGATAAATTTCCCAAAGTGATTCCATAGAACATAAGAATTATAAGGGAAAGTAGAGCTTCTAAATTCTGGATGTTTGGAAATTTAAAAATATGTAAAAATAATTCTTAGTTTAAAGAGGAAATGGAAAGTAAAATGACATTATTTAGGCATGAGTGACAATTCTGTATGTCAAAACCTGTGATATGTGGCTAAACTGTAAATGTATTTAAAGAAAATAAATGTTGGGAGAAAATGAATAAATCATGCAATCCAAGAAGCTAGGAAAATAACAGCAAATTAAATCACTCTAGGTAGAAGGTAGAAATCAATATGGATAAAAAAAGAGATTAATAAAATAGAAAACAATAACCACAAAAGATCGAAACAATGAAGCCAAGAGCTTTAGAAAAGCTGTAAGACAACAAACCTCTACCAAGTGAGGCCAAGAGGGAGAAAAAGGAAAAACACAAACAAATTACATAAAGAAGAAGAAAGAGGATATGCCCACTGATAGCATTTTTTAAAGAGAATGCTGTAAATAAGTGTCAGAAATGAGAGCTGCTAGCAGCTCTCTCACTCAGGGACTGGGCCTAAGGGAGTCAGTGGCACAGGCCTTGGGACACCTCATGGGCAGGGTGCCAGCATTAAACAGAAATTCCAGACTTAACTAACCAAGATGCTGTCATACCAGGTTGACTTCACAAAAAATAATTTTTACCATTCTGCTTCCCTCTATTTTTCTTAATGGTTTGGCAGGATATTTGCATAGCATTTGGTTGACTTGAACAGACACACACACACAACACACACACACACACACACACACACACACACACACACACACACACACACACTATAGTGTCCCTAGTTATTCTAGGAGGGAGATTTTGTTTTTAAGCTACATGAGTTTTTGTTGTTGTTTTTTTGTTTTGTTTTGAATGCTCATCTTGACTCCACATTAGCCAATATGTTTACTCTTCAATTTGTAAAGGGTTTATTTCTAGTTTTGATGCTTGGGCTGGTGTGGAGGCAGCTCCAGTATGTGCATGTCAGGGCCTACAAGGTACCTGCAAGTTTTTGGTCATTTGTTTCTTGGGCTTTTTTGTTTCAAAAGATATAAAAAAGATCTGAAGTAGAAAATATCCCCATTCTAATTCCTCTCATCATCATCTTTCAGAGATGACTCTTAGCTTTGTGGTGGCTTTTCATGTCCAAAAAGGGTTGTATATATCAAAGGGAGCACTCTAAGTTATATTTTAATTAATATCTAATTTGTTACATTATAAATCTAAAATCCTCATTTTTCTTAAGCTTTAAACTGAACTTATGAATCTTGTTTCCAAATTTAGTAATTTTGCTATATGATGAAAATCATTATAGTTAATTTTCATTTGAGGTTGCATTAATTAACACATAAGCTTAACAGATTCAATCCTTAAATATTTACCACCAGTTATATAATTAAGCAAATTCCCTTAGACATTTCAAGCTATAATCACAAAGGCAAGGTACAGGACTCCCTCAAACTTTACATAAAATCTATTAACAGCATTTTCCTAAGCCCTTACATTTCTTGTGACTAATAAGACATATTTAGTTAATCAGATTCTCTTAAACATTTCAACAATCTTGGCAAATAGCTGAACATACCAAAGAGAGCTCAAAGTCACAAAACTTGTTACTAGGCCAAACGCACACTCACATGCCCACTTGCACACACAGCACACAAGTATCAGTAATATAGGTTTGACTCCTTTTTTATCATTTCTGTACTGTCTTTTAAAACTTTCCTGGGGCTCCAGATTAATTTATTTAGCCCAAATTAATGTATTTACCTAAGGGGAACAAATACGATTTCAGGCTGGATAAGATTGCTTGGTTGCAAACTTGTGACCCTGGCAGGATCATAGTTTTCTAAATTACAAAAATGATTTGTCTTCTATTATAAATCATTCTGCAGCTTGCTTGCTTTCTATGTATGTACTTTGAATGTCGATCTTCCTTATTTTTTTTCCTTATGATTAAAGAGTATTCCTTTACTTGGATGTTTCATAATTTATCCATCAGTCTCCTGTTGATTTCCATTTTCAATATTACATAAAATGGCCTAACAAACATGTTTTTCCTTCACTGCAATTTGCTCGTGTGTTTCTAAAAGGACAAATCCTTAGAAGTATAATAGCTGGTTTATTAATATGCCCATTAATAAGCACTTCTCCCTTGATCTCCAAAAACGTATCATTTTGCATTCCTGTTGTGTGTTACTCCACACCCATATAATACCTGATATTGAGTATAACTGATTTTAAAAATGTTTTTATCAATCTGGAGAATGTAAAGCATCTCCTTTTTATTTACAGTTCTGAATATTTTTTTCAAATCTTTGTAGGCAGCTTGTGTTTTTCCTCTTTTCCTTCTTTCTTTTTAAGACATGGAGTCTCGCTCTGTTGCCCAGGCTGGAGTGTAGTGGCGTGATCTCGGCTCACTGCAACCTCCACCTTCCAGGTTCAAGCGATTCTCCCACCTCAGCCTCCAAAATAGCTGGGATTATAGGCACCCGTCATCATGCCCGGCTAATTTTTGCATTTTTGTAGAGATAGGATTTCACCATATTGGCCAGCCTGGTCTTGAACTGCTGACCTCAGGTGATCCACCTGCCTCAGCCTCCCAGAGTGCTGGGATTACAGGTGTGTCCCACCGTGCCCAGCCTTTTCCTTCTTTCTTGTTTGTTTAAATGGGAGTTTAGAATATTATGCCACTTTTGTCAAACTTCACATACTCTATGTCTTTTCATGTTCAGTTTTTAAGTTTTTACGGAGTCAGAATTTTGGTCTTTTTATTTATGACATTTGAATTTCAGGTCCTGGTTAGAAGTTTCTTCCCACTCCAGTATTTCAAAATACTGTTGTCTGTATGTTAGTCGTTTTATAGTCTGATTTTTTTAGGTTGATATTTTTAATCATGTATATAGTATGAAGACTCACTTTACTATCAGCTTGCCAAATTTTAACAAAAAAAAGAAAAAATTGAAATTATGATGGGATTTGAATGAATTTTGCATGTTAATTTGGGAAGAATGCATATCTTTACAAAATTGAGTTTTCCCATCTAAGAATGTGGTTTTTCAAATAGGTGTTGTGAATTTCTCATAATAGTTATTCTTCATTATTGCATTTTTATTGCTTTTATGAATGAGATCTTTTTCTTTTGGGCTACTGATGGTATAAATAAAGCTATTGCAACTTGCATTTTAACTTTATTGTTTATTCCCATATTAACTCTCTGGTTAACTAACAACCAGAAAGTCCAGGAATGGTTTTGCAGAAGGAAAGATTCAGTCTTAACCAGAAAGGGTTAACTTTCAGGGAACGTTTGGGGAAAACTTTGATGTTAACATCTTCTGACCATAGCACAAATGAATGTGTTTATTGTATTATAATATAATACTAATGATTATGATTCTTTTAGTGTTGATTACTGAGGCAGTTGCTAATATGAATCATTACTGTGGCATCCTTATATAAGTATAGAAATTCAAGTTCACCTAGCAGATAAGGAGAGTTTGGTTCATATCTAGTGTTAGTTTTGAGAGACTTCCAAGTATATCTAATAATCTAGTGGAGCATAATAACTTTTCCAGATTTTCTAAATATTACCTTAATATTCATTTTAATGTTTAAAGGGAAAGTAAAGTTCTCCAACATCACTTGAAGGAAATGATGTTCCAAAAATCAGAAAGTGAGAAAATATCACCTCTCCCAAAAATGTTGAAAACGTTCATTTGGATTAAAATCATCATAATCGTGTTAGAAGAATTAAATTAATGAAAATTCCTCCTCTATTTGCTCTTTTGTGATTTTATTGAGTTTGTCATTTACTAACTTTTTTTAAATTTTGCTTTTAAGAAAATAGATGTTACCAATAAAGTTGTTGCAGAAATTCTTTCAAAAACCACTGAATATCTTCAGCCAAATCCAGGTAAAGTTGAAATATTCTCTTGTTCATTTGCTGTCACAGACTCTAATAACCCATGTTTACTTGGTGTTTAGTTGACATAATGTAGAAACAATGTCGTCTGTGTCCCAATAATGAAATTCAGTTTTTAAAGCTGAGTCTCCAGTGACCAAAGGTAGTTGCATTCGGTCCTACTGATGAGAAAGAGAACAGCTATTTTTGTGAATTTCAGTTGACATCATCCGAATGGAGTGCTGGTCATAGCAACAAGAGAGCACTGAGCAAAGGTTTTATGAGTTGCTTCAGAAAGCCACTAAACATTTGGCAAATATTTTCTTCCTTATTTCCTCTTTATAATTTTTTTAAAAATTCTGCCCTTGTGTACTATATACATAAAGGTATATGTTAATTTGAAAAAGCTTTCTCTTTGTGGCTTAAATGCTGGAGAAACAAGATGTGGTGAATACGAAAGGCTGCTTAAATCCAGTGTCACATCAGCTTCTCCACTGAAGGTCTGGGTTTCTAGGTCCCCAAGCAGCATCTATTGATGAGATTTTCCCAGGTTGTAAATTATAGGAACCAATAGAGGGCGCCCAAGCTTTGAGTTCTGTGGATTTCTAAAGCCACCTTTCCTTTTTAGGAATTTATTATCTGCGTAGAGTTCCTGTGATTCCCTTGACTGTAGGAATCAGCACAAACCTAACCATTTGAAAATTGAGAAAGTAAAAATTTAAGAATATAAATTTTATCAGGTGTATCCAGGCAGGTCTAAAGTTCTTTACAATTGTATTGATGATAATAGCTTTGAAAACCATAAAAATATATCTTCTCCTCCCTGGCCACATCAGTGATTGAAATCAGCCACACAAATTTCTTTTCCTGATATATCAGTCAACAAATATTTAATATGTGCTTTCTCTGCACTAGAGGATTTCGGGGTGCTGGAGTACACTATGAAATCAGACAGATACTTCACCCTCAACCAGCTGACTCTTGAATGGGATAAGGAAGTGTTGGCCAACAATAAAAGTGTCACCACTGGCTAGAGGTCTCTGGTTATTCCTAGAGAAGAGGCAGCCCTAGCAACCTCTTATCCAGTTTAATGGCTCTCACCCACATACCTGCTGCATCCCACATCCCCCTCCAACAGTGGGAAAGATGGGCAGAGAGAGAGAGAGAGAGAGTGTGTGTGTGTGTGTGTGTGTGTGTGTGTGTGTGTGTGTGTAGTGTGTGAGAGTGAAGCCTTTGGGCTTGGGGACCTGGAGGATAAATGCTTTGAGGATAAATGTGAGGTTCAAAAGTCCGGCACTGGCCAGGCACAATGGCTTATGCCTGTAATCCCAGCACTTTGGGAGGCCAAGGCATGATGATTGCTTGAAGCCAAGAGTTCAAGACCAGCCTGGGCAATGTAGCAAGACTCTATGTCTACAAAACATTTTCAAAATTAGCCAGGTGTGGTAACACGTCTGTAGTCCTATTTTTACTCAGGAGGCTGAGGTGGGAGGATCGCTTGAACCCATGAGTTTGTGGCCACAGTGAGCCATGATCATACCACTGCACTACAGCCTGGGCAACAGTTGTTGTTTCAAAACAACAACAAAAAAGGCTGGCACTGTGAATGTCAGGTGAATGTGAGTGGCACTCACAGCTGGCACGGGAATGTCACTACTCACAGTGCATTCTATTGCTGGAGATGCAGAATTAGGCTCAACCCAGACCGATGGAATCACTCTACATTTTAACAAGATCCTTGGGTTATTTACATACACATTAAAGTTTTGGAGGCATTGATTTAAAATACATTAAAAATAGTACAAAATTATTAAAGTAGGAAAAAAAGTGTATCTCTTGACTATCTAAAAGTATCTCAAATACCACAAACTAGTATGTGATTCACTCTCTCACCTACAGGATGAAATCTCAAATCCTTAGCTTGGTGTTCAATTCATAGTCACATTTTCCCATAGCTATCTCCCACTTTGTCCTGTATTAATAGCATTTTAGGTCAAACCAGCCTACTCCTTGTCCACTGATTATGCCACAGTATTCCCTCTTCTACACGTTACTGACACCATTCTCTGTACTTTTTAGGGCATCTTTCCATCTTTCTTCAGCATATTGCCGCCTTTCCCTTGCCCTGCACCACACTGGACTTTATTTTCATAATTATGTCCTGTATATTCTGCCTCCCAGTAACTAGACTTTGAGCTCCTTGAGGGCAAAGCCTGTCTCTGGAGTCCCAGTAATGAGCACAGTGTGTTGTTGCACAGGGCCCAGTGCAACAATGAGTAAATACTCATTGCCTGAGTCAGAGGAAGGAAAGGAAGGTAAGACGCAGTGATGCGCATCACCTCCCTAGGGAGCAGAGGCTGAGCTGCACCTTGGGACCAGCCACACAAGGCTAGTGTTCACTAGGGGTGGGGTGGTCTGTCCCCTCCTATGATTCTGCCTCCTAAACAGCAGCACCTGCCTGCCATAATACTGAAAATCATTAGGCTCAATCAGTCCTTGGGAGCAGAGTGTGTGTGTGTGTGCGTGCGCGCGCATGTGGTGTGTGTTAATGACCAGTTGGTTGTTTGAAATATCCTCCTCGGCAATTCTATTTTTGTTTACATTTAAACAAACAAACAAAAAGCATGTCAGTGTCACACAGGTGTCAGTGTCTGACTTCACGTGTCAGCAACTGCAAGCTTTCCAAAGGGTCTCACTCGAGGGGTGGTGCTCAGGAAAGCCTGGTCACTATTATTTCAAGTCAGCAATGTGCCCCATCATTTCTTTTTTTTTTTCTTTCTTTCTTTCTTTCTTTTTTTTTTTTTTGAGACAAAGTCTCGCTCTTGTCCCCCAGGCTAGAGTGCAATGGCGCGATCTTGGCTCACTGCAACCTCCGCCTCCCGGGTTCAAGCAATTCTCCTGCCTCAGCCTCCCGAGTAGCTAGGATTACAGGCATGTGCCACCACGCCCAGCTAATTTTTTGTATTTTTAGTAGAGACAGGGTTTCTCCATGTTGGTCAGGCTGGTCTTGAACTCCTGGCCTCAGGTGATCTGCCGGCCTCGGCCTCCCAAAGTGTTGGGATTACAGGTGTGAGCCACTGCGCCCAGCCGATGTGCACCATCATTTCTATGGTTCATCGTGGCTGCGGAACAGTGCACTTAGCACCCACCTTGGTAAAGAACCTAGAAAATTACCTGAGAAAATTAAATAGTTCACACACAATTGTTTCAGGCCTCAGGTCTCTGGCATTTTGTTTAAGGTGACCTCAGTTTTGGCAGCTGCGTTTATTAAATTCTATGTACCTGTCACTCCACCTTGTAACTTTAAAGAATTACAAATGACAATGTTTTTAAGCATACAGAGCTAAGCTAGGAATGCTGAACACTGTGTCGAAGATCCGAGGGCAGGTGAAGACCACAGGATACCCGCAGACGGAAGGCTTGCTGGGGGACTGTATGCTGAAATACGGGAAGGAGCTCGGGGAAGACTCCACCTTTGGTGAGTTATTCAGAGATCAGCTGGGGGAGCTGAGAACTCCTCCAGTATGGTTTTAGGTTATACACAAACCCTTCAGTCTAACAACCTTTGTTATTTTTCCATATTACCAAAGTAATACATGTTAATTGCAGGAGGTTTAGAAAACATAGGTAAGTAAAATAAAGAAAAATGCTAACATCACCCATAATCCCATATCCACCGATAGGCCCAATTAAACTCTGTTGTGTATCTTTTTTTTTTTTTTTTTTTTAGACAAAGTCTATGCCCAGGCTGGAGTGCAGTGGCGCGATCTTGGCTCACTGCAGCCTCCACCTCCCAGGTTCAAACGATTCTCGTGCCTTAGCCTCCCGAGTAGCTGGATTACAGGCTCAAGCCACCATGCCTGACTAATGTTTTGTATTTTAAATAGAGACAGGGTTTCGCCATTTTGGCCAGGCTGGTTTTGAACTCCTGACCTCAAGTGATCCGCCTGCCTCGGCCTCCCAAACTGCTGGGATTACAGGAGTGAGCCACTGCACTTGGCTTGTTGTGTATCTTTTATGCCTTGTTTATTCTTATATGTATTCATATGTACTTTTAAAAACTACAGTAAGGCTATAGTACATATACTCTTTGGTAACACTGACTATATAATGATCCATATCGTAAAATAATTAATCTTCCATGATATTGTTTTTAATGGCTACATAATATTCCATGTATCATAGTTTGTTCAGTCAATCCCATTTACTAAATAAATGTTTCTTTATGTAAAAACATTTTACATAGCATTTACAATAACCATTTTCATAGGTAAATCTTTGGGGATATCCAAAATTATATTCTTTGACATAATTTAGATAACATGTCTAGTATAAAATTGCTGAGTCAAGAGTATGCTTATTTTTCAGGTTTTGAAAGCATATTCCCAACCTACCCTTCAGAAGGGTTACACTCATTTGACACTGTTGCCAGGAGTGAGTGAGGGTATATTTCTCTACATAGTTCCTAACCCTAGAGATTATCTTTTTAGTTTACTTTTAAATAACTGATCATTTGATATGTAGTATACAAAAATGATATCTCATTGCTGTTTTAACTCCATCTTTTGGATCACGTGTGAGGTGGAATTTTTATTTGTGTTTGTCATTGTTTTTGTGAATTGTGTGTTTGTGTCCTTAGCCTGCTTTTGCATCAGGAGGTCCATTTTTTCCCCCCTGTCTCATGAGCTCTTTAAATGGTCAGGATATTTGCTCATTGGCTGTCTTGTATGTTGATGAAGCTTTGTCCCAGGTAAGCATTTGCCTTCAGACCTTGTATATGAAGGTCATTTCAATGGAGAGAGATTTTTATTTTTTATTTACTGAAGCTCTTTAGTCTTCCTATATGGTTTCTAGCTTTTTGGAATCATGTTTAGAAAATCTTTTTCATCCCACTCCCTGGCAAATGATATAAACGTTTATTTATACTTGTTTTTGAATCCTGTATTTTCTTTTATTGCCTTTAAATTTCCAAGCTCCTGCATTTATTGGAGCTACAGTGCAATAGGGTTCTAATTTTGTTTTCTAACAAATAAATAGCTTGTTTCAGTACTGTTGAAAAGTCCAACTTTCTCCTGATGATTTGAAATGATTCTTTTATTATAGGCTAAATTATTATACATTAAATTTGTTTATGGTCTTTCTCTTCCGTTTCTTGATCTGTATCCTGTTTTGATTCAGTGTCATATTGTTTTAAGTATTGAAGTTTTAAAACATACTTTAATATATTATTTACTAAAAATTTAGGTATTGTATTGCAAAAAGTTCACAGACACACTTACTGGTTTTATTTTTCCAGGTGAAACTTAAGTCCCTTTTATTTAAAAAAGTCATTAAATTTTGATTGAGATTCATTTAAATTAATACATTAAATTGAGGATGAATTGGATTTAATATATTAAGTATTCCCAAAGAATTTGGCATATTTGCTATTCATATAGTGGTAACAAGGCAGGAGATGGAAGAGATGGAAGTTGAGAAATCAAATATTTGGCCACAGTAATCATTCTAGGAAATTGGAGGAAATATCTTTTGAAAAAAATGTTAAAACTCAAGCATTAAAACACGAATTAATTAGTGACAAAGGGTAATATTATCCCTCAGAGCAGTATAATGTGAATTTTATTTTATTCTAAGGGCCAATGGGGACAAGATGGCCTATTTCTTACTCTGAAGGCACATCAGTGAAGGGAGCAGGTGAAACTGCCAGGCAGGCCTTGAAATCCAAGGACACTCCTGCCGTGCATCTGGCCTTGGCGACAGCCAGACAATTTGGTAGCTTCCCAGGTGCTCGGCAACCGAAAAAAACTTGGGATGAGGAAGAGAGCTGATGTCAGCAGGGCATCAGGAACAGATGGATTTCTGCTCTTCCAAGGAAGAGGCTGTGCCGTTGGATGTTTTCTTTTGGGGGGCCACATACTGGGACCTCCTACAGTACAGAAACCTCAGTGGGTGGAGGCTGAGCCCCACACCCGTGGAATTCGACAGCGCCAGTCTCAGGCAAGGAGAGGGAATGTTGATTCCAGGGAGGTGGCGGCCCATGTTCAGAGCATCATCTTTGGAGTCTACAGTGTATTTGAAAATGTTTCTGTCAAGGCGAAATGAGCTGACATTGTGAGACACTGGCACTGGTGGCAGAGGGGCTGTGTAGGGGGTCAGGCAATACCATTTCTCACCATTTGGGCAGGAAAGAGTCCACAGGCTAGGAAGGGACATTTCGTCTTCATTTAGGAATTATTTAGACACACTTTGGAGAGTTGAGCTAAGGAAATGTAGCTTCCAAGGAGGAATGAAGCTACCACTGGGTCCGTATGGAGTCCTGGGAAGCCTTAGTTTAGAGTAACGGTTCCTACTTCTGTTTTGCAAGGTCCTCTTTAGTATCTTTCTGTTTTTTTTTTAAGGGAGGTGAGGCACATGTTGCCATCTCTATTTTACAGGTAATTAAGTTGTCCATGCCCTCACCTGGTGGGTGAAACAACTCAAAGGTCAGACTTAGGCTGGGCTTTACGGTCTTCTTCAAGCCTAGAAATGGAGCAACCCAATCTCCATCTTTTTACAAGATCAATTTGGAAAAACCCAAATATAGGAAAAATAGTTCATTCTAGTGCAGCATTTCCCAGGGATGTTTTCTAGAGACCCTGCAACCCTCATTGTACAGAGAACTAGAGGGCACCTGGTTTGCAGTAATCTGGCAAATTACTGCCGATTAACCGGACTGAGATAGCACACTGTAATCCAGGAAAAACTACCTGCCACTACCCGAGCCAGGAAGGCTGGCCTGGGCTCCAACGCACCAGCAGACCCCCACCCCACCCTGCTGACAGGATGTCCCATGTGACACTGGCAGGCTTTCTTTGACATCAGAGAGGGCAGGGAGGCTTAGAACCTTCTAGAAGGATACGGGGAGTAGCCTTGAGAAGATCCCACGGCTAGAAGCTGAGATGTTTTGTTGGTTTATTTCTATTGTAATTTTTACTGGTTAACACTTAGCCCCATGAGTGAATCCTTTCATTGTTTACAAAGAGATTTTATTCTCAAGCTTCTAAGGAACCCTCCGTGCCAGTTTCCCAAATTACCAGTTTTTTAGAAAGGATCTTTATCCCCATCTAGTGGTCCAAATGGTAAGTACTTCGGTCTGCTAGCCTCAGTTGTATTTTCTGTAGTGGTGAAAGTGCAGACCATAGAGAGGAAAATACAGAAAATAGGAAGCCTTGCTTTTTCTTTTTCATTCTGATCCAGGATTCAGAGGTCCCGGAGCAAGGACCTTGCTACACCATCATCCACACACTTTTGGTAAAGAATGAAATAAATAGCACTGTTAACCTGGAGTAGTGTTCCCAAAGAACCTTTTGTATTTATGTTTTCTATTCAAGGCAATGCATTGATAGAAGTTGGTGAATCCATGAAGCTAATGGCTGAGGTGAAAGACTCTCTTGATATTAATGTAAAGCAAACTTTTATTGATCCACTTCAGTTACTACAAGATAAAGATTTAAAAGAGATCGGGGTAAGTCTTCCAGGGTATAAATATACCTGTTGCTACATAAGATGATGTTTATATTTAAAATCACTAGAACGTTTCAGCAGACTGAAAGCATCATCTTATGATGCTTGTGGGTAGGGTAAAAATGACTCAGTTCTATTTTCCTGGGCTCACTGGGAAAGAGTGCCAGGATCCATTAGTCCTATCTGCCCTGGAGATGAAGCAGGATAATGGGAGGGAATGTAAGCCATGTTCTTTCAGCTGGAAATTCTGTATTTAGTTGAAGCCAGCTCTAAGCCAGGCTAAACAAAGTAATTACATAACTTTATAGTGGATTTCTTATTATCAAAATCGTACCATAGTTGCATGTTTTGATGCGTTGCCCTGGTGGTCATTATTTTCCATTACTTCTCAAGAAGATCAATACCTAGAAATTGAATTTTTCATTTGGAAAACTGTTAAAAATGGCGTGCATGGGAATTTTCAGGTACCTGGAGATAATTGCATGCCACTTGCATGGTGGCATTTTTGTAGATGTGCAAAAACAGCCCCAAGACTTCTACCCCACCAGTGACTTCCACTCTGGAGGTACAAGCACCGTCTTATGGATATGTACAGAAGATGTTCCTCCAGGTGCCTTCAGCATGATCTCAGCTTGGAGGTCATTTGAGCCTTGGGCATATCCTGTTTTCCCTTCTTCAGACCTATTGATTCTCAAAGTGTGGTCCCTGGACCAGCAACATCAGCATCACTTGTGAGAAATGCAAATTCTTGGGCCCCATCCCTTATCTCCTGAATCAGAAATCTTATGGGTGAAGCCCAGCAAGTCTGTGTTTTATAAAGTCCTCCAGGTGATTCTGATGCACGCTAATGTTCAGAAACCACTGTTCCAGCCCATCCTTTCCAGAACTCGAGGGGGAAGTGTGAACCCCCACTGGTCTAGCCTATGTGACAGAGATGAGGCTGGTGGGATGTGTGAGCTTGGGTGGCCTTCCCTGCTTGGACCGTGGGCCTTGAGGTGGCTCCATATTCCAGGGGCCAGAGAAGGAACTGATGGATGTCAGATTATTGGTTCTTCCTTTGTTCATTTATTTATTCATCCATCAACTGTGTATAGCCTGCTCTGCCCTGCTACAGTGGTGGTGGGCACTGGCCATATGTGGCTAAACAAGACCTGGTGCATGCCCTTGTGAAGCTCACAGGTGTAGGGTAGAGAGACAAGTAAACAGATACCATGCACTTTGACAGTTGTTGGAGAGATGAGCCCAGGGACATGAAGGAGAAGCACCTCTTTCAGCCTGGATGGGTCAGGGAAGGCTTCTCAGAGGAGGAGAAGCTGGCTAATGCAGACTGGGAGACTGGGGTGGGCAAAATATCCAGCACAAGCTGACCAGAGGGCCAGGGCTGTGAGAGCAGGCAGGCTCGGGGACCTCGGTTGTGTGATATGGCCAGGGGATAGGGTGTGTAGGGGTGGGGGTGCAATGAAGGGAGGAAAGGCTGAGAGTCACGGAAAGCCCTGGATGCCTGTCCAGGCAATGTATTTAGAATTTCTGCTGAAAGCAAAGGGTATGAGGGAGAATTCAGGAAGTTTGAGTGAGAAATGAAAGCATCCATTCAGGAGCTCCCTAAACATCCCATTCCCCACCTGCACACCCCTTGGCCCCGACACTCATACCATCCTCTTCTTCCATCTCAGGGGAAACATGTCCCTGTTGCTCTCAAGCCAGTCCTCCTCTGGGCCGCAGGGTCTGTCACCTCTCACCTCCTCAGGGCCGTTGTGACATCCATCGTCCTCTCTGGTGTATCTTCATTCTTTCCCTTTCTGTCTGTTGGCTTCTTCCTGTTAACATTTACACACAGCACAGCTGCCCTTGACCCCTGGTGTCACATCTCACTCCCTCCTGTCCATTCTCCAGCCCACAGCCAGGGCACCCTTTCTGAGCTGCAAACCTTCCTGGCTGCCCACTGACAGTGGGGTGAAGATATAGACCCTCAGCCCTTCACAGCCTGGCCCCTCCTTTCCTCTGTGGCCTTATTGCCACCCCTTCCCCACATGAACTCTGCCCAGCCTCACTGAATTATTTCCAGCTCCCTGGTGACGTTTTGCTTTGTGCTTTCTCGCTATTTGCTGTCTTTGTCCTTTCACCCCTTCTCCTGGCTGTCACCTCACCCCTCAGCTCGGATGTGCTTTCCTTTGGGAAGCTGTTTGTTCTTTCGCTAGACTTCGTGGGGTATCCCTTCTGTGCCTCTGTGTCATGAGCACCGTTGCTTACCTTTTGCTCATGTTGGGCAGTCCATTCCTCGGGGTGAGTGATCGTGGTTTGTTCCTTGTAGTCACAAGCCTCCCACGTGGTTTGTGCTCACACATTATTTTATTTTTTTAATTTTAATTTTTGTGGGTACGTAGTAGGTGTATATGTTGGTGGGGTACAGGAGATGTTTTTGCAAATTATTTTTGAATGGTTGATTCTAGAGAAGTGACAGTCTGGGTTCTGGGGATGCCAAAACATCTCCCCCAAATGCACAGTTGTAAAACCAAATGCCTCCTTTGCTGACATATAGCAAGTTTTATTTCTTCTTGTGCTGTCATCATGGAGGAAGGTCATATGAAAAGTCAGCATTGCTCCTCCACCTGGCCAACCACAGACACATATGTGGTCCTGAGTAGTAAGTGGGTGAAATGTGTAAAACACACTTATTCTGAAATGTTGCAGTTCTCTATGCAACAAAATAGTTTTCTAAATGCCATCTTGTTACTCAGCTGCTGTTTGATACAGAACTGTAAATCTAAACTTAAATTATGTGGATGATGGAAAGTTAAGAGTCCAAGGTTTAGGAAGCCTTTCATAGTCTCAGCTATGCTCTGTGTCGCTCAGAAATCAGGGGTCAGGGGCCTGTTCATTTGACATACGGCTGACTTTCAGGTGTTCATGTAGAGGTACAGAGGGATTAGGGACCAGCCCAAAGTCACAGAGCAAAGAGAGAGATGTTTCTGACTCTCTGGGTCTTGTGTGCTCTTTTCACTGAGTCATGGAAGTTAGAAGCAGTGCTTCCTGCTAAAATGAATAGTGCGAGCTATCCCCATGCTTCAGTGGGATGATCAGTTTCTACATACACTTTCGATGCCTGGTATCTGATTTCCGAGGATTATAGCCATAAACTCTCCAGGGACCCCTCCCTTGTCCTGTATAGCTATCCCACTCAGCACTGTTTCTGACACGGGGTCTCTCTGCTTGGACACAAACTGTGATGGGAAACCTACTGCTACGCAAGGCAGCCTGTTCCATGAGTGGACAGTTCTAACTGTTATATTTTGTTAAAGCGGTTATAATATTGTTTAGAAATTTTACTGTTTCAGAGGTTGTCTGTGAATCTCTCTCCTTTGCATTCATTAACAGCGTTTTACGCAACTTATTTCTTGATTGTTTGGGAACTTTACGGAGATCCGTTAATATTCTAAGGGATTGTAGAAGTTTGTGATTTTATAGTCTACTACTTAGTCAGGAGTTGACAATAGTACCAAAAGAAATGTTCCTACTGTGTTTTGTTTGGTTAACCTGGTTAGAAATTATCTGGACATTAAGAAGGCTGAAGTGAGGGATCGTATAAAGAACGTTGGAAAATAATATCTGAGCATGGCTACTGCATCATTACATTCCATAAAGACACTCATTCATTCTATCACCGATCTGTCCATTCATTCATTCATTCCACAAATATTCCTGGAGCACCTGAAGTGAGGGGAGCCTCCATCAGGTGCTGAGGTGCTCCCAACAGCAGTGTAAGGTGGGTTCCTGCCCTCTGGAATCTAGGCCGAGAAAAAGCAATGACCATTTTAATAGAAATAATTTTTTGTGCCAGGTTTTGAATGTAGCACCTCTCTGAGGGACTCCATTCTCTTTTTTTAGCATCACCTGAAAAAGCTGGAAGGCCGCCGCCTGGATTACGATTATAAAAAGAAACGAGTAGGTAAGATACCAGACGAAGAAGTCAGACAAGCGGTAGAAAAATTTGAAGAGTCAAAGGAGTTGGCTGAAAGAAGCATGTTTAACTTTTTAGAAAATGATGTAAGTATTTAAACCAAATAGGAGATTTTAATGTAAATGAATGAAACATTGAATATATGACTATGATCGGCATGTTGAAAAACTCTAAAGCAGGAGTGTCCAATCTTTTGGCTTCCCTGGGCCACACATAAAATACACTAATACTAATAATAGCTGATGAGCTTAAAAAAAAAATCATAATTTTTTTTTTTTTTGAGACGCTGTCTCGCTCTGTCACCAGGCTGGAGTGCAGTGTCTCGGCTCACTACAACCTCCGTCTCCTTGGTTCAAGTGATTCTCATGCCTCAGCCTTCTGAGTAGCTAGGATTACAGCCACGCACCACCACACTCGGCTAATTTTTGTATTTTTAGTAGAGATAGGGTTTCACCATGTTGGCCAGGAGGGTCTCGATCTCCTGATCTCATGATCTGCCTGCCTGGGCCTC
Organism: Homo sapiens; assembly: GCF_000001405.40. Taxonomy (NCBI): domain Eukaryota; kingdom Metazoa; phylum Chordata; class Mammalia; order Primates; family Hominidae; genus Homo; species Homo sapiens. The sequence goes on from NW_025791797.1 coordinate 182,961, forward strand.
TCAAAGTGCTGGGATTAAAGGTGTGAGCCACCACCCCCGTCCAATCTCATAATGTTTTAAGAAAGTTTATGAGTTTGTGTTGGGCCACATTCAGAGCCATCCTGGGCCACATGTGGCTTGTGGGCCACAGGTTGGACAAACTTGCTCTAAAGCCTTAGTTGTTATGCAAGTTTCTAGAATTTTCTCCTATCTCCTGCCTGAGAGATTGATTGCTTCAGACATCCAGCAAGCCCTGACTCACATCTTTTTTTGGAGACAGGGTCTCACTCTGTTGCCCAGGCTGGAGTGCAGTGGCACGATTGTGACTCACTGCAGCCTCGACCTCCCAGGCTCAAGCGATCTTCCCACCTCAGCCTCCTGGATAGCTGGGATCACAGGCATGCCACCAAACCCTGATAATTTTTTGTCAAGATGGGAGTTTCGCCATGTTGCCCAGGCTGATCATGAACCCTTGGGCTCAAGCCACCTACCCGACTCAGCCTCCCAAAGTGCTGGGATTACAGGTGTGAGCCACCACGCCAGCCCCTGACTCAATATCTTAAATCTTGAGGAGTCCTGTTTATCCCAGGATTGCTTCAGAGGTTGTCTCTGAAGATTGCTAAGTAGACTGGCTTTTGTATGTGAGGCCATAGGATTTATGGTTTCACAGGAGAATGAAAAGTCGAGGTCATGTAGTAATTTGCCATTTTGCTGAGACTGAAAAGTACTTGGCAAGGCAGATGGTTAAGGGAGAACAGCTCTCTTATCTGGGGGGCGGACAGCCGCTGTCATCCCCCAGCTCTCTGGTGCCTTTACCTGTCATAGCCCACATTGAGGACACAAAAGCATGACCCAAATTTTTCAGCTGTTCCATAGTGGTGCTTGTGGGCTCGGGAATTGTGAAGGTCTCGGATCTTATCCCTCAGAAGTGCCAATCTTCTATTGTACTGTGGTTCCTGCCATTTGCTTTGATTTGATTTGTCCAAGTAAAGTCAAATGAAATGGAATTAAGGAGGACGGTGACTCCTGACCAGGCAACACGCAGCTGGGGGTGGCCTCCCTGCTCGGCCTTGGGTTTAAGGGGCCATTGGCACTTTGACTGCCTGAGTGGAAGAGGTGTCAGCCACCTGCCTCCCTCCGGAGCCCCTGCCCTCAGCCTGGCTTCAGCGATGCCAGGAGCTGTCTCAGCCCCAGCATTAGTATGGGACCTAATTGTTAAGTTTTTAAACCTGTGGGAACAAGTCAGGAGGTTTATTTATCCTCAAGACCATGTCGTCCTTATAACAGTTTATTTAAAGGTACACTGAGGTCTTACATCCTTTGAGTCAAGTCAAAATGCATTGAGCACCCTTTATTTACCATGGTGATGTATGGAGGAATTATGTCCAATACTAACAAGACATTCATCCTGGAGAATTTATTCTCCCAACTGGAAATGCCAATTTGAAATTTCCCATGCCCATTAAACCACTGAGGCCTGAAAAGTACACTCTACTGTGTTTCTTCTTTTAATTTTTTTTTTTTTTTACATTTTTTTTGGGAAATAGGAGGAGGTGTGACAGTTTGGTATCTCTGTTTTTCTTTAAATGTATAAATTTCCTCTTGAAATTGTCCCCAAGCAACAGCGATTTTGTTTTGTTTCAGATTGCCGTATTGTTTTGAAGTCTTTAGAAAATGTATTTGAAGTGTGACATGTATCAGATACTCCTTGTTGGGCCATATGGAATGTTGCCCTGCTGGCTCCAGGCCCATTCATGGCTTAAACTCTGAGATTGTGTCTTGTGTGTCAGATGCGCCGTCTGACCCATTTGTTCCATTCACTGCCTTCATGCGGGAACCACAATGATGGGTTTTTGCGAAGTGCTCCATGAGGGAAGCCTGTCTGAGCCACGCCGGCCTTAGCAGTTGACCCAAGAGACCTCAGTTTTCCCCCTCAGTATCAGTCAAAAGTCAAAAAGGATCCCTTCATTATAAAAGCTCAATCATTTGTCCATGTTTTGACAGTAACACGTATTCTGCCTGTCACAAATGGGTTAAGTCCTCCCACCCTGCCCCAGCAGAAGTAAGAGCTGGTTCCTAGCCCAAGCTCCGCAGGGGCTCTGGTGCTGGCCTTGCTCCGGCCTGGTTGCAGTGTTTCCTCCAAGGCTTCCTGTGGGAAATTGACCTGCAGGTGAGTGGAGGTTTCCCCTGTTCAGCTCTGGGGAGTCAGGGCTGCTCCCTCAGCCTGGATCCTGGGGTCTTCACCTTCACAAGGAGGGGTTGTCTGGCTTCTACTTCTGCCATTGAGGTGGGAGGAGACCAACGTTATGAAACGGAGATGGGCCGCCCAGGCTGCCCGGGAACTAGGCTCTTCCCTCCTTCCTGCTTCCTGCTTCCTGCCATCTGTAGCTGCAATGGCTGCTAGGTGTGCTCTGGCTGCTGCTTCTTGCGGTAATGGTGGTGATCGTGATAATGATAAAGACAGTGGTGATAATGATGATGACAATGACAAGAGCTACCATTCACTGACACCCCATGATAAAGAGGCTAAGGGGGTGCTGTTGATGGTCCCTGTCATGGTGCATGTGCGTTTACCTTTTCTCCTACCCAGGTTTATAGCTGAGGAGACTCAGAGATGATTGTTTAGGCTTCAGAAGCCCATCTTACTCTCTTCTTGGGGTCAACAGCAGTTAGATCAGAGGGAATCACCTGATCCTTTTCCATGTCAGTGTGTCTGTGCCATAGCCAGGTGGTCTGACCATCCTCTCCTGTTGACCAGACAAGCTAGAGAAAAATCTCCTGCTGGTCACTCCTTGGACCTGACATGCCAATGCCGATACTGCCTGGTGCTTGGGGATAAACAGAGAATGTGACTAGTTGGGAGAAAGACAAAATGCCAATACATGGTTGATGGGGCATACATTGAACCCTTGGCCCTGTGTTTGGCCCATCTCCAACAACCAGGCCAGAGCTGGTGGCCTTGTAGCCCATGGGACTCTGGTTTCCTGCTCCCTGTGAGTCACAACCCGCACGTCCAACCTTGGTCACTCAACCTCTTGTTGCCATGTTGCTTCCTTTCCTGGTGGGGAAGTCCTGCATGAGGAGCTGTGCTTCGGGATGGCTGGGGAGGGCTGGATTTCCTGGCAGAAACTAAAGATGGCTGGGACCTGTTCTAATCGCCATGTCAAACACAGTGGGTCTTTGGGTGCTGCTGCCTGATGGATTGGACGGTGTTTCTACCTGATCTGGTACCTGCTGGAGACAAGGTGCACAAACTGTCAAATGAGTGGCTGCAAGGGAAGCCTGGTGGCAGGCAGCAGAGGCCCTGACACTTCCTCCAGACACAAGTGGGACATGCTTCTGTTACTGTGGTGGGAAGTTTGGGGATGTCAGTCACAGCCATTCACCCTTTGGGTTCTGACCAATGGAGGAAGTGACAAAAAAGCCGGATTGGAATCAAGGGACATCTCTTTAACTGATGAGAATGCTTGAAAATTGTAAAATACAGACCTCCTGGTCAACTGTGCTGAAGGACATGGCCTGGGCCTAAAGTCCTGTTGGCACTTTCCCCTCCTTGCACCTTCGGTGGATGACAGCCAGCTCTAGGGGAGAGCCCGCCTGTCTTACCACCCAGATACAGCCTGAGACGCTGAAGCTGGGTGAGTGGGAGCCTTGCTGGCCCCAACCCTGCAGAGCCAGTGACTGAGGCAGAGCAACCCATCCTACTAACTAGGGAGCACCCCCAACCTCATCCACAAGAGGAGGAAGAGGAGGGCCTGGCGAGAGGACTTAGAAGCATTCGCTCCAAAGAGAAAGTGAATAAGCAGAGAAGCAAATGAAGGGAAATCCTCTGAGATGGGTGTGCTTGGTGCTCTTGTGCTACCTGTCCATCTCTGTTTGGCACTGACAATTCAAAGACCAAAATCTCACCCTGGGGGAAGAGCTGGTGCCTTCTCCAGCCCTCATGTCTCATCATCCTGGCTAAGACGCAATAAAAGCTTCACCGGGGAATGCCTCAAAAGAAACTGTTTGCCAAAACTCTGACTGATGTGAGGAGAACCCTGACTGGAGTTAACAGACTTGGTCTTTCCTGGGTCTCCAGATGTAGTACTTCCTAGGGTTTTCTGGCCAACAGGCCATTTGCAGGGATTTCCAGGGTGTGGTTGTTCACTGTCCTCACCTCTGCATTCTCCCAACTGAGAAACAAACCCAGGGAGCCACATGAGATCACATGCCAGCCCCTTGCTCAGAGAGCAGGGCTCTCTAGAAAGCCATGTTGGAAGGGGCAGCTTGGGCCTGGGCCCACAGTAGAAGTCCAGTGAGCTATTCCTGGCCTGAAGTCTAGACCTTGGAGCCCCTGCAGAGAGAGCGGGTGCAGAGACCACAAAGCCAGATGACACACGATCTTGTGGCCACTTCACAAACCCACTTTCTTGAGAAATCCGGAGCCCAGAGCCAGGCCCCTACTGCCTTTCCTTGCAGTGTCTAGGTACCCTGGTTATTAGGGCCAAGTGGGTGCCACTCCCGTAATCTCACCAGTTAGATGAATCACCAAAGGAAGGGGAGGTAGAGAGACATGACATGCTAACTCTAACATTCCTAAGCAGAAGTTTTATCTATTTTCTCATCTATTTTTGGCAGAACTGGGAATGGGAGAATGAAGAAGAGTCTCCTTCGGCCCCACACTGTAGCCTTTGGTTGTCTTGTGAATGGGAGCTGGATTAGAGACATTGAGCATCTCTTCACATCTTGCCTGAGGCTGAGCAGTGTCGTTATTCTATAGGCAGTGATGCAAGCCAGGAGGTGTTTTGGTTCTCCAACTTTCCAGGGATCCAAGAGGGGCAGTCCCATGACTGATTTCTCACCAGGCCAAGTTGGGCTTGGCAGGGTCCTGAGAAGTAACCAGGGCAGCCCTCCTCTTGGAGGAAAGTGTGGGAAAGTCAGCAGACTGGTTACCAGCCTTCATTGCCGTATCTTGGGAACACTATATCACCCATAGGCTTGTTAACACACTGTCACCTCTTCTGTCTTTGCAGAGAAGTTTATTCCTCATTATTCCTCACAACTTACTAGTAGCAAATGTAGGTCTTTGACATTAGCAGAAATCAGAGATATTCCATAGAAGATGCCTATTTCAGTCCAGTGAGTCCAGGCACCTGCAGTACTGGCTGTCTTGGTATACATTCACCAGCTACGGGATCCTCCTTCCATTCATGGGTTCCCAAGACCAGTGGAATTACTAGATTCCAGATTCCTGAGGTCTTTCCATTGGTCTAGAGTAGCATTTTCCAAAATCCATTCCATGGGATGTTAGTGTGTTTTGCATTAATAATGTCTCTGTGGTCACATAAGTTTGGGAAACCCTGGGTTAAATAAAACTAAACAGTTTCTTTATCACAAGACTTTTCAGAGTCTTTATTTGACAGTATGAAAGATTAATCTCTAAGCGGTTCCTAACAGAAAATACAGTTGGCAGTTTACCAAACTTATTTGACCGCAGAATTCCGTCACATTATTATATTATTACTAATGTTTCAGGACTGTAATGTGTGGAATAAGATGCATTAGGAAGTATTGAACTTGTAGAAAGCATACCCAGCAAGGCGTGAGATACCTGAATTCTGTTTCTGATTTTGTTTCTGCTAAGCCTCTGGGAAAATCATTTCACCTGACTGGTATCAGGCAAATTAACAACTGCATTTGAGAAATTCTTTAGAAGGATAAAGTGGAGAATAAAAGTGTAAGGGATTATTATCCATGTTATTAATTTAATTGCCTTACTCAAACTTTCTCAGAAACTCTGAATAAAGGCTTTTGCCCCATTGGAAAAGTCATCTGTTTATGACCAGACTGCAAAATACATGAGAAATTTTCCACAGCTTCTCTGAGGAATCCAAAAAGAGTAGAGGTCTTTGATATGATAGAGCAAGAAATTACTGGTATTATTACACTGTAAATTGAAGGTGACCTCTATGGGAAATGTGCCTTTTCAGTTGTGAAAGAGAATGGCTTGTCGTCTTTTGAAGATGTACACTTCTTTATTCCTGCATGCCAAACACACTTGCAGACCCCAGGCGTCTGGACAGGCATCAGCTACTCACATCACAGTTCTCTCTCTGTCCTCGCCATGGGCTTCAGGGTGTGCTACTCTCTGCTTACTCACCCGGCTGCTCACCAAGTCCCCTGGTAAGGGATTGCTAAAGGGTCAGAGGAGGAGGGTTCCCAGCCCTGCTCCTTCTAGGCACCCCAGTTTCCATAGTCCTCTTGCAGAGTTGGCCTAAGACAGCCTTGGTTACAGTATGCAGTCCTTTGAGCCATTCTTCCTTTGGGTACAGCCTAAGCCTTTTGCAGTTGGCTCACAAGGCCAGGCCAATGGCTCAGATCTTATGCAAGTGTCCCTGGGGTTTCCATAACTCCTAGAAACTTCTAGTATCCTTAGTCCATTGTAGTTGGGGACATCTATTCTCTGTTTCCATCCCCAGGACTAAGATACTCCCAACGGCCATATATGCTGCTAATCATCCATTGGTTTCCAGCTATAGAGAGGTTTGGAATGAAATGCATCCACAGGTGACACACGTGTGTCACTTGTGGATTGTTTATTGTGTATAGTCTGCCATGGGAGATAAATTGAGTTAATTCCTGTTTTGGGGTTATCCCTCAGAAGAGAGTGAGGAGCCCTGGGATACAGCCAAACCAACAATGAAGTCCCCAGGCCCAGCCACGATGGGCCCATTACCCCCTGAGCTTGGTTCTTATGCGTCTCCAGGCAACAACTCCCATCACCATGAATGGGGGTCCCTGGGCAGCACTAATCTCATTGTTAGGTTTTTGCATAGTTTGAGGATGGGCTAAAGCAGCTCTGTATCAGTTTCCTATTGGGGCCATAACAAATGACCACAAACTGTAGCTTAAAGCAACACACATTTATTGTCTTCCAGCCTAGAGTCCTAAAATCAAGGTGTGGGTAGGGCCATGTTTGTTCTGGAGGCTCTTGAGGAAGAAGCTGCTTCTTTGCCTTTTCCAGCTTCTACAGGCCACCTGCATTTCTTGGCTCATTCTTCGCTTCCTCCCTCTTCACAGCCAGCGGCACAGCATCTTCACGTATCTCATTCTGACCTCTGCTTCCATTGTCATATCTTCTCTGACCTTGGCACTCCTGTCTCCCCCTTAAAGGACCTCGTGATTACATTGAGCCATTCAGACGTTCCAAAATAATCTCTTCATGTTAAGATCCTTAACTCAATCATAACCGCAAAGTCCCTTTTGCTATGTAAAGTAACATATTTGCAGGTTTGGGGAATTAATATTTGGACATCTTTGCAGGTTCCATGATTCTGTCTACCTCAGGCCCCCTCTGGTTTTATGGTTCTGTGTGTCTCCCAAGTTGCTTCTTCACAGCCCTCACTTCACACATTTGTCAACCACCGAGGCCTGTGCCTCCTTGACCTCTAACCTACATGGAAGTCAGCTTGCATTATGAGTTTCTCACTTCAAACATCAGCTGAGTGTGAGCCCATCTGTAGGAGCTAGAGTGCTTCACTTTCAGAAAAGGGAGTGGATTCTCTGGAAATCCAGTTCCTTGGCGTATATCACGTGAACATTTTCATGGGTGAGGTCACACTTTGCTCTCAAGATGGCACCAGCACAGTGTCAGCCCAGGTCTCAACCCGGAAGTGGAATTAAACCTTTCTTCCCACCCCAGGTGACTTTCTCTGATTCAACAGATGGACTGCTGAAATTCCAACAATGGAAGAAATGTTTTACCTTTTGGTCAGGTTTTGGCTCTTGCTAAGCCTGAGTTTGTTGCTTTATCTTGGTTCTGCCTGTCTAGGTATTTATTTCTAATCGTGGTTCAGGAAGCTGAATGTACCTGTGTTGGTCCCCATGGTCCCCAGCACACAGCTCAATGCTCATGACCTGGGGGACAGCTGGAAGCTTCAATTTTCTGAAATCAAGAGGAAAATAATCTATCGTAGCACACCTGGTCTTTACTGTCAACAAGAGACTTACAGCCTAGTAGCCAGCCCTTCAGGACTTGTACTGAGCACCTGCTAGGTGCAAGCATTGGGCAGTGCTGCCATTGTTTCCCAAGGTTTAAGGGTTTTCAGGATTCATTTCCTTCCCAAAGTCAGCCACCCAATGAGCAGTTACGAATGCATCTCTAGATTACATCACCTTGTGTTTTAGCCACGACAGGGAGGATAGCTGGTAATCCCCTTGCCCCCTTCCTGTTCCCCAACCCCAAATATGTTTCAAGAAATATTAATTTAGCTATCTTTCACTATTTCTTTAAAAATTATAAAATGCAAGCATTTTTTAAAGTGGGTAATAAGACAGGGCAAATAAATTTTACTAAAGGCAGAGAGGCATAGCATAGATTTTGCCAAGCACACCACTCTAGCACTGTAAGGAAGAAAAATTGTTTCTGTAACAAATTCTACTACGATCGTGCTAGGCCATGGCCCTGGACTTATTTAAAAGTACGTGTAAAAGCCAAAGAGATGAAATTTAAGAAATCCTTAGGATTTAGTAGGGGCCAGGCTGTCTTTGTTTTGTTTATTGGGTTTTTGGAAATTTAAGGCTAGGCTTGTTGCTTTTCCAGCCACAGAGCATGGTAAAGTAAATGAAACCCGACAGGATTTCATTGTTCGGATGCTGATCACAGCTTGGCACACATGGAATTCAATGTGTCTCTTACATGCATATTGAGCCCGTGTTTAAAATAGTATAAGTGAGTAAGAAAAATTTAAGTACAGGCAACTAAAGAATGATTTGCAACTACAAATGAAAGTAGCTTGGATCTTTGAAGGCTAAGTCCATGGTTGGTTAGGCAGGGTGAGATTGCATAAATGAATCAGCAGGCAGACTTTGCCCTAAAGCTGAGTAGAAAATGAAGTATGGAAATGATGCATAGGCTTTGGGGAAGCCTGGGAAGTGTAGGATTGATTTTGATTTGTGTCTTTGTCCAGCTCTAGAGTTGATTGGATTCTTGCTGGGGGAGGCCCATCACCTCAACCCTCTGGAGCTTGCCTCTGGGGCTTTCAGAAATAAGCTTAATTAATCTCTTTCCTGTAGCAGCCCCTCAGACACGTGGGGGAGCAGGAAAGCTCTCAGGCCTTCCTTAGATTGCTTTTCCTCAAATTATACAGCCCCATATCATCCAGGTTTTTCCTTATGAGACACAGCTCTAAAAAATTCATTGTAAGTTAGTCATTAATTTCATGAATGTCTTGATTTGTGGGAAACAGAGATGCCAGTGTCTTTATAGTTCATTCCCTTTAGCTCTATGTTTCAGGGAAAATATGTTGAGTGGATAGCAACAAAACGCATAGAGGGGACAGGGAAATCTTTGCCCCAGTTCACATGTTGCTCCCTGGCCCCCTTTCTTATCTGTTTCATTTACAGTTCTTAACTGTTTAATGTACTTAATGTCTTGATTTGGCTTAGCTAGAAAGTGCGTGTTGAGACACTTGACAAAGTAGGCAGTTCTTTTGCTAAATGTTGGCTTCGTTTGTAACTGGAAGAGCTTTATCTCTCTGTTTTCAGATCCATGAGCTTTATAGCATAGAAAATCTGCTGAGAAAAATCATCATCTAATTGGAAAAACAGGCATTTTATTGAGTTAAATCAAATTCATAATCACAAATAAATTTGAACATGTTTTTCCAGCATTTATAGCTCCATACCATGACCTGTATGATTATTATACAGAGCTCCTACATGAAATTAAATGAAATGGACCAAGGCAGACACTGGTCTTCCCTGCAAAGCTAGGTCTTTGCTGCTGGTCTCCTCTCTCTCTGGACATTACACAGGCTCGGGCCTCCATGGAATAATTTTGCACTTCTGCTGCAGGTAGAACAAGTCAGCCAGTTGGCTGTGTTCATAGAGGCAGCATTAGACTATCACAGACAGTCCACAGAGATTCTGCAGGAGCTGCAGAGCAAGCTACAGATGCGGTAAGCACCTCCACGTTTCTTACAAGCCAAGGGCTGCGGAGGTAACATCTATTGAAATCCATCTGTCTGTCTCTCCATCTCTCCATCTCCCCCTTCCCCTGCCTCATTCTGTTTTGAATTTTCTTTCACTGGCTTTCATGGTTGGATGTGGGATGGGACTGAGATAATAAGTACTGGCTTTGGCCAGTAGGATAGAACTGGGAAAAGGGACCTGGCAGCTTTTCTCCTTTTTCTTTTCATTAAATCCCTTTTTTTTGTGACCCGTGTTTAGGGCAACTAACCAAGTTGCTCTCCCACCTGGGACATCAACCCCTACAGAACTACCCTGGCTTCATTGCTGATTTGATGAGAGTTTAACTCCCCATTCACAAAGGGATGGAAAACATCCAGAGCTATGGAAAAAAGTGAGATGCTGTATGGAAAATATGTAAATATCTGTAAAAAAAAAAAAAAAAAAAAAAGGTAGTGCCTTCACTTCACCAGTACGAATTTCAGGATATGTTCATAATATTGACTAGTATTGAAAGAGTCAAAATATTGACAAATTTCAGGCTGTGTTCATAATATTGACAGGTATTGAAAGAGTCAAAAATATCTTCTGAACAATCAAAGAAAGGTTTCTGCATTCCTTGTGAATTTAATCATAGATGTAGTCTATACTTTTCTGAAAATTAGTAATATTATATATAGTCTGCATGGCAACCCTGTTTATTAAAATATTTTAAATTAGGTTTGATAACAGAAAATTGTTTTACACAGGATTATGGTAATGCATAAATTTGGAGGGATTTTTACTTAAATCAATGACGTAGTTACCTAGGGAAGACAAAGATGTGTTCAGTCCCTGAAGCATCCACTTCTGCAGGCAGATAGTTTACCTGTTACTGACAGGAGTGTATTTTCATAATTCTATCATAATCTATAAGAGTAGAGTGAGGGAGAAGGCAGCTCCCATCACTGGGTGCCGACCGCGTCCCAGGCACTTGCTGGATGCCTCAGAGACTTGATGAAGAAAATTAGTCTTTTGTTTTGTTTTGTTTTGTTTTGAGATGGAGTCGTGCTCTGTTGCCCAGGCTGGAGTGCAGTGGCGCCATCTTGGCTCACCGTAACCTCTGCTCACTGCAGCCTCCACCTTCCAGTTTCAAGAGATTCTCCTGCCTAAGCCTCCCGAGTAGCTGGGATTACAGGCGCCCACCACCATGCCTGGCTAATTTTTGTATTTTTCGTAGAGATGGGGTTTCACCATGTTGGCCAGGCTGATCTCGAACTCCTGACCTCAGGTGAGCACCTTGGCCTCCCAAAGTGCTGGGATTACAGGCATGAGCCACCATGGCTGGCCCAATTAGTCTTCTTCAAGATGAATTTCACTCACAAGCTCAAATAGGGAGTTGAAAAACTGCATTTGTGATATCACCTCCATCACTTCGGGCTACTCAAGAGTCAGTGTGTAAAAATCGTCCCTTTCATGACCACTGGCTGTAACCTAAGTTCCTGTGCTCAACAAGGCAGAGAGGATGTGTGTTTGGAAAGCTTTCAACATCAGATGTCTGGCTCATCTTACGATGTGTGTTACAGAATATCAGCTGCATCCAGTGTCCCCAGACGAGAATACAAGCCAAGGCCTGTGAAAAGGAGTTCTAGTGAGCTCAATGGAGTTTCCACCACCTCTGTAGTGAAGACGACAGGTAAGTTGACCATTCTAATATGCTAAGTGTGCCTTTAGTAAAGCACTTCTAGAAACACTTATTTACTGCTTGTTTCTGGGTCAGTGAATACACACAGACCCTGGATATCTTTCTTTGGTTGTTTGGTAAATTCCCTTTTCCCCTAAACGTGCCCCTTTTTTCTGTTCCCTGGGGAAGAATTCTATCACTTATATAATGTAGCATTTAGAACCTTGGCCATAGAACCATTATGGCTACATCATCCTTTATTTTTTTAACTCTTTGAAAATATTTTCTTAATTTATTTTTAAGTTGAAATTAGCATTTTTGAGCAACTGCTATATGCTAGATACTATCTTAAGTGCTGCATCGTTATTTTTTATTAAACAAGTGATGCAAATGTGTCTTTTAGTAAAATAATCAAACAGAAAAAAATTGGTAAAATAATCAAACAGAAAAAAAAATTTAATGGTATAAGTCATTCTATAGTCTCTTGTGATCACCTACACCATCGCAGTTCGCTTCCTAGATGTAGCCACTGTTAAAAAAATTTGGTATAACTATTATCATATCTATTGAGGTACATAAATATACACATAAACAGCGTTTTGGATTTTTTTCTGTTTTTTCTTTTTTTCTTTTTTGAGACAAAGTCTTGCTCTGTCACCCAGGCTGTAGTGCAATGGCATGAACATGGCTCGGTGCAGCCTTGACCTCCTGGGCTCAAGCAATCCTCCTGCCTCAGCCTTCCATGTAGCTGGAACTACAGGTGTATGTGACCCTGCCAGGCAAATTTTTTTATTTTTTGTAGAGACAAGGTCTTACTTTGTTGCCCAGGCTGGCCTGCAACTCCTGGGCTCAAGCAATCCTTCTGCCTCGGCCTTCTGAAGTGCTGGGATTATAGGCATGAGCCACTGTACCCAGCCTTTTTTCTGTTTTTTAAATGCGAGATTATACTAGGCATATTGTTTGGCAGTTTGCTTTTTAAAATGTATCACTGTTTCTTCGAGTTATTTCCATATCATGCATATAGATCTATCCCACTGTTTTAACAGCTTCATAGTTTTCTATTATACCATTTCCCTATTGGTGGACGTTAAGGTTTTTTCCAGTTATTTGCTACAGTGAGTATCCTTTATCACTGTGCTGGCTACATTACTATTAAAGCATGAACACCTGCTTCCCCACACCCATGCCAGTAGACTTCCATTTCTGCCAAGCACTCATGAGAAAAAAATGGTATCCAGTCTTAATTTGCATTTTCATGATTATTAGTGAGGGTGAACTTTCTTTTCTATATTTTAATTTGTATTTCCTTATGTCTGAATTGTCTGTTTATGTCATTTATTTGTGTTTTTTGGGAGTAGTTTGCTTTGTCTTATTGTTTTATAGGAGCTCTTTCCATATGAGGATATTAATAATTTTTTTCCTAGTTTGTCATTTATCTTTAAACTTTGTTTTTGGAGTGCCTTGTCCCTTTGTTGTTTTTGCTGTTGTTTGCTTTGTTTAGTTTTGCTTTGAGTATACAGAAGCTTTTATTTTGATGTAGTCAAATGTGTCTGTCTTTTGCTTGTGACTTTACATTTTGTGCCCTGTCATGATTACATTTTGTGCCCTGTTGTGAAAAGTCTTCCTATCCCTGAAGTTATTCTTCTACAGTTTTCTACTACTTTGAATAATCTTTTCTTAATATTTAGATCTTTATCATAAGGATTTATTTTTCTAAATGAAAAGAAATTCCCAAACTATCTTTCAGAGTTGTGCTACCATTTCACATCCCCACCAGCAATATATTAGTGATCTAGTTTCTCCACATCCCTGCCAGCATTTGCTGTTGTCACTGTTTTTTATTTTAGCCACTTTGATAGGTGTGTAATTAATCTTACTGTGGGTTTAATTTGCATTTCCTTAGTGACTAATGATGTTGAATATCTTTTCATGTGTTTATTTGCCATCTGTGTATCCTCTTTGGTGAAATGTTTCTTCATGTCTTTTGTCCATTTTCTAATTGGATTGTTTACATTTTTACTGTTGAGTCTTGAGAATGCTTGATTTATTCTCAATACAGGTTCTTTCTATATATGTGATTTGCAAATATATTCTCTCGCTCTGTAGCTTATCTTTTAATCCTCTTAATAGGGTCTTTCACAGATCAAAATTTTTAATTCTTATGAAGTCCAATGTATTCATGTTTAGTTTTATAGATTGTGTGAAGTCTAGGAATTCTTTGCCTAGCCCTAAATAATAAATATTTTCTTTTCTTTTTCTTTTTTTTGAGACAGAGTCTCACTCTGTAGCCCAGGCTGGAGTAGAGTGGTGCAATCTCGGCTCACTGCAACCTCCGCCTCCCAGGTTCAAGCAATTCTCCTGCCTCAGCCTCCTGAGTAGCTGGGACTACAGACACACACCACAATGCCCAGCTAATTTTTGTATTTTTAGTAGAGATGGGGTTTCACTGTGTTGGCCAGGCTGGTCTCGAACTCCTGACCTCAAATGATCTGGCTGCCTCAGCCTCCCAAAGTGCTGGGATTACAGGTGTTGAGCTACCATACCCGGCCTCTCCTATGTTTTTTCTTAAGTCCACTTTGTGTTAATTTTGTATAAATGTGAGACTTAAGTCATTTATTTTGCCTATGGATGTCCAATTGCCCTTTCAAACACACATTGCTCATATAAGCTGCACAGTGTGAATTTTCTTCCAACCTTATGGCTATCCTTAAAGGTTTTTTTTTTTCATTTAAAAACAAAAATTATCAGAGTAATATGTGTATGTAGTTTAAAAAGAAAATGGTAATATACGTATGTGGTTTTAAAAAGGCAAATGTAGTTACCTCTACCTCTGTGTGAAAACATGGGCAGGCCCCATGAATTTTCTCATTATTAAAACTACAAATTATCAGAGTATATGTGTATACATTTTTTTATTTTTTATTTTATTTATTTTTATTTTTTTGAGACAAAGTCTTGCTCTGTCACCCAGGCTGGAGTGCAGTGGCGCCATCTCGGCTCACTGCAAGCTCCGCCTCCTGGGTTCAGGCCATTCTCCTGCCTCGGCCCCCCGAGTAGCTGAGACTACAGGCGCCCGATACCGTGCCTGGCTAATTTTTTGTATTTTTAATAGGGACGGGGTTTCACTGCGGTGTTGATCTCCTGACCTTGTGATCCGCCCGCCTTGGCCTCCCAAAGTGCTGGGATTACAGCTGTGAGCCACCAGGCCGGGCCATGTGTATACATTTTTAAAAAAAACATGGTGCAAGCTTTTTCGTGAGAAATGGCAGTTTCCCCATCAACTCCTTTCCCAGTGCTTATTTTCTGCTCTCAGAGGAAACACTTTCAACTCTTTTACATATTTATTTGGTACTTAACTTCATGGTGCTTGTTTTTTACTATTTCTTTTTTTACTCTGATTCTTCAGTTTGGATAAATGTATTGATTTCCTGATATGGAAGATAATGGCTTAGCTTCCTAACCCTTGGTCTTCCATAGACTTCTCCCTCCCTTCACCCTTCCAATTTACTTATAATCACTATTTTTGTTAAATAAATATTCATTGTGTAATCATCACTTCCATCATGTGGGACTCTTAAAATGCACTCCTCCCCTTTTTTCCCTGCTCTTATTTTAAATTGCCTACTCACGGATGAAAATGTGAGCAGGCTGCATGACTTTTCTGACTACTCTTGGGTCACATAAGTTCTCCAGTCACTTGAATGTGTAAGTGCAGGCTCGTGCAGTAGTCAAAATGCTAAGACCCATGTCATGGTCAAAGCTATAATCTTGATTTAAAGTTTGGCTTTCACTCCTCCCCAAGCTCTGGCCTGTTGCCGTGGGAACATTGGTGTCAGGGAAGAGGTTGTATTTGGCTTTTTCTCTTTCCCCATCTACCCCTTCTGTTCTTAAGTCCCCAGAGAATGTATTTTAAGCTCGCTGAGGAATCTTTTAAAAGTTCTTCTCTCTTGATTTGGTGTGAAATGAAAAGATCACAACACATCCTGCCTCCTCCACACTCTCTCCAACATTTTTCTAAAAATCCTTTTTAATCTCCATCTTCTGACCTATTTATGCCATAGATGTAGGCTGGGATTAAAAGTTATAAAACTGGCTACCCTCATCTCTTCTGTTTTTGTTTGTTTCCAAATCCTGCATAAGTTGTCTTCTGCACATCGGTTTAATAAAAAAGAACAAACAAAAAAAAAACAGTTCTGGGGCCTCATCCAAAACTTCCATTTTTACATCGCCTAACACTTATTTACAATGTCATGAGCACAGAAATAATATTCACAGCAGTATCACATAGTGCACTATCATTGCATTTCTATTCTTGTACAATTGTTGTCTTGATGACTGTAGCTTTATAAGTTTTGAGGTCAGGCCCTGTTAGTCCTCTAACTTTGGTCTTCATTTTAAAAGTTGTTTGACTATTCTAGTTACTTTGCATTTTCATGTGAGTTTTAGAGATCAAATTTTCAATGTTTCAAAAAAATCCTGCTCAGATTTTTATTTGGATTGGGTTGAATCTATAACTCAATTTAAGAGGAATTGATAGCTTAACAATATTGAGTGTTCCAGGCTTGAACACAATCTATTGTATTTCCCATTTATTTAGGTCTTCTTGAATTTCTCTCAGCAGTGTTTCACTATTTTTAGAATATATACAGGTCTTTTAAATTTTTTCATCAATCTCTAAGTATTTTATATCTTTATGCAATTGCAAACAGCATTTTAATAAAATTTCCATTTCTGAATTTTTGTTTCTAGCATTCATAATATTCCATTGATTTTTGTATATTGATCTTGTATCCTGCCATGTTGCTAAATTTACATCTTAGGTCTAGTAGTTTTTTAATAGATTCCATAGTTTTTCTACATAGATGTTCACGTCATCTATAAATGAAGACAGTTTTACTCAATATCTGCATGCCTTTGTTTTTCTTGCCTTTTTTCACTTGCTAGAACATGCTGAGTACAAAGGGTTAGAGTGGACATCCTTGCTTTGTCTCTGATTTTAGGGGAGAAGCATTCAATACTTCATAATTAAGGATGATTTTAGCTGTAGATTTTTCATAGATTTTTTTTTTTTCTTTTTGAGACAGGGTCTTGCCCTGTTGCCCAGGCTGGAGTGCAGTGGCGCAGTCGCAGCTTGTTGCAACCTCAACCTGCCAGGCTCAAAAGATCCTCCCACGTTAGCCTCCCACATAGCTGGGACTATAGGCACACACCACCAAGCCTGGCTAATTTTTGTATCTTTCGTAGAGATGAGGATTCACCCTGTTGCCTAAGCTGGTCATGAACTTCTGGGCTCAAGCTATTCGCCTGCTTCGGCCTTCCAAAGTGTTGGGATTACAGGCATGAGCCACTAGGCCTGGCCTTCATAGATTTTAAAAATCAGATTGAGAGAGTTCCCTTCTAGTCATAAATAGTTTGAAGAGAGTTTTAATGAGAAACAGTCTTTGAATTTTGTCAGATGCCTTTTTTTGGTATCTGTTGAGATGATCGTTTATTTTTTAGTTTTAGTTTGTTAATATGGTGAATTACATTGTTAGTTAAATCAACCTTGCATCCCTAGGATAAACTCTTTGTGGGAAAGTTTTTTTAAATTAATTTTAAATTTTAGAATAGTTTTAGACTTACAGAAAAGTTGTGACGATAGCACAGGGCATTCCCATATACTCCTCCACTCTTCTATATTAACATTTTATTAGTATGGCACATTTACTTTATATAATGAACATATATTTATATTAGCTAAAGTCCACACTTCATTCACATTTCCTTAGTTTTTACCTGCTGTTCTTTTTCTGTTCTAGGATCCTATCCAGAATAGCACGTTGCATTTAGTCCTCACATCTCCTTCGGCCTCTCTTGCTGTGGCAGCTTCTAAGACTTTCTTTGTTTTTAATGAACTTGACAGTTTTGGGGAGTACTGTTTACATATTTTGTAGAATGTCCCCCAGTTGAGATTTGTCTGATGTCTTTACATGGTTAGACTGGAGTTATGAGTTTCTGGGAAGAAGATCACAGAGGTAAAGTGCCATTCTCATCCCATCACCTACCATCTCACATCAGTCAGAATGGCTGGTATTAAAAAGTCAAAAAATCATAGATGGCTGGCAAGGCTGCAGAGTAATGAGACAGCTTATACACTGCTGGTGGCAATGTAGATTAGTTCAGCCACTGTGGAAGGAAGTTTGGCAATTTCTCAGACAACTTAAAGCAGAACTATCATTTGACCCAGCATTCCCGTTACCGCATATATACCCAAAGGAATATAAATCATTCTACCATAAAGACACATACACGTGTATGTTCATCGCAGCACTATTCACAATAGCAAAGGCGTGGAATCAAACTAAATGCCCATCGGTGGCAGACTGGATAAAGAAAACGTACTACATATATTCCATGGGACAGTACACGGCCATAAAAAAGAATGAGATCATGTCCTTTGCAGCAACATGGGTGGAGCTGGAGACCATGATCCTAAGTGAACTAACTCAGGAACAGAAAACCAAATACTGCATGTTCTCACTTGTAAGTGGGAGCTAAACATTGAGTACACATGGACACAAAGAAGGGAATAATAGCCAGTGGGGCCTGCTTGAGGGTGGAGGTTGGGAGGAGGGTGAGAATTGAAAAACTACCTACCCTGTACTATGCTTGATCACCTGAGTGACGAAATAATCTGCACACCAAATCCCTGTGATACACTGTTTACTCATATAAAAAACCTGTGCATGTACCCCTGAACCTAAAAGTTAAAAAAAAAAAAAAAGAATATGCCCTATCAACAAGATTAATCACTGCTGATATTGATCTTGGTCTGCTGGCTGAGGCAGTATTTGTCAGCTCTCTGTAAAGTTACTCCTTGTTTTTTTTTTTTTTTCCTGCATGAAGGCTTTAAGCTATAAATTCAACGTCTTTATAGATAGAAGGCAATTGAGGTTATCTGTTTCTTCCTGAGTGAACTTTAGAAGTTGGTGTCTTTCAAGGAATTTATCCCTTTCATCTAAGTTGTCAAATTTATTGCATAAAGTTGTTCATAATATTCTGTTATTATCCTTTTAAGATATATAGAATTTGTAGTGATTTACTTCTCTCAATCATTTTAGAAATTGGTAATTTTTGTCTTTTTCTTTTCTTAATCATTTTAGCTATAGATTTATCAATTTTATTGATCTTAAAGAGCCAGCTCTCTGTCTCATTGAGTTTTCTCTGTTGTCATTGAGTCCTTTCGCCTTTTCCGATATATGTGTTTAGCGCTATCAATTTCCCCCTAAGTACCACTTGAGCACCATCTCATGCATTTTGATGTGTTGAGTTTTCCCTTTCATCCTCTTTAAAATTGTTTCTAATTTTACTTTTGATAACCTCTTTAACTCTTGGTTTCTTCTGAAATGTGTTATATCATTTCCACATATGTGGATATTTTTCAGATCTCTTTCTGTTTTAGATACCTATTTAATTCCATTTTTTATCAAATAAGATACTTTGTATGAATCATACCCTTTTAAATTTTTTGAAGCTTGCTTGATGGGCCAGAATATGATCCATCTTGGTAAATGATCTGTGTACACTTGAAAAGAATGTGTATTCTATTCTTATTGGGTAGGGTGCTTTATAAATGTCAATTAGGTCAAATTATTTAATAGAGTTCTTCAAGTCTTCCATATTCTTGCTGATTTTTTGGTCTATGTTTTCCTATTAATTTTGTGGCAGAGGGTATTAAAATCTCTGATTATAGTTATGGATTTGTCTATTTCTCCTGGCAATTGTATCCAGAAGTATGGGAAGTTGGCTACATTCCCTTCCGTATTCCTCATTCGCATTGACCCTTTTAGTCTGATTACTTGCATTTTTTAAAACACGGAAAGTGTGTTTTTGTTTGTTTGTTTGTTTGTTTTAAGATACGGGGTTTTGCCATGTTGCTCAGGCTGGTCTCCAACTCCTGGGCTCAACATTCCTTCCACCTCGGCCTCCAAAGTGCTAGGATTATAGGCGTGAGCCACTGCACCCCCACTGATTTATTTATTTATTTTTTTTACTATCTTAAATATCCTTCTCCTCTATTCCCTTTCTTTTTGCCCTTGTAAACAACTACTAGAGGTTGAAACTTTTTGTCCTTCCTCGGACAAAAAGTCTTTTCCTCCTTGCTCTCTGTACCTCTGTTTTTTTATTCTGCCCTCTGAGGACATTTCACCTTCTTACTTTATTCTTTGATCCAGTTATTTATTTAGCATATCTATTGAATTTCTTACTCCAATTGTATTAGTTCTCTATTGATGCTGCAATGAAATACCACAAACTGTGTGGTCTAAAATAACACAATGTATGATCTATTTTATAGTTCTGGAGGTCAGAAGTCCTCAAATCAAGGTGTTCACATTCCACACAGGGTGGAATCTGTTTTCTTGCCTCTCCTGCCTTCTAGAGGCTGCCTGCAGTCCTTGCCTCATTGCCCCTTGCTCCAGCTTCCCAGCTGGTGGCATGACATCTTCAGATCTCCCTGCCTCCATTGTCAGATCTCCTTCTCTGACTTGGATTCTCCTGCTTCCGCCTTATAAGGACCCTTGTGATTATACTGAGCCTACCCACATAAACCCAGGGTAACCTCCCCATCTCAAAATCTGTAACTTAATCACATCGTCACATTCCCTTTCGCTGTGTAAGGTAACATAGCTATAGGTTCTGGGGATTAGGAAGTGGACATCTTTGAGGCTATTGCTCTGCCTACCATGATAGTGTTCAAATTTACATTTTTAAAAAATTTTACAAGTAACTAGACCTTTCATATTCCTCTGAGAATATTAATTATACTTTTTATTTTTATATTTATTTAGTTTTATTTTATTTTATTATAATTATTATTATTTTTTTTTGAGATGGAGTTTCGCTCTTGTCACCCAGGCTGGAGTGCAATGGTACGATCTCGGCTCACTGCAACCTCCGCCTCCCAGGTTCAAGCGATTCTCCTGCCTCAGCCTTCCGAGTACTTGGGATTACAGGTGCCTGCCACCGTACCTGGCTAATTTTTGTATTTTTAGTAGAGACGGGGTTTCACCATGTTGGCCAGGCTGGTTGCGAACTCCTGACCTCGTGATCTGCCCAACTCGGCCTCCCGAAGTGCTGGGATTATAGGCGTGAGCCACCACGCCTGGCCCTTAATTATGCTTTTTAAAAAGTCTCCACTTAATTCTTATCTCCTTGAGTGTTTGTTGGGATCTGGAGTCTACTTTATGAAGTTGTTTCTCATACATTGATGATTCTTGGCTCTGTGCACAACTTTTTATTTGAGAGTGCTTATGAGGTTGCCTCCTGTGGTTAAGGGGAAATAAGGGATGTTCTGTTGAGTGCAGTGGACTGGTTTCTGTTTTTCTGATTGTTTCTATCATCCATGGCACTGCCCTGACTTTCTGTTTCAGATGCCCACACTCACTCAGTACCCCTTCCTGAAGGCAGTTGCCAGGGCTCCTGGCACTGGTACAAACCCAGGATGAGTGGACTCACCTGGCTGCTCTTTTCTCAGAAAGCCAGCCAGCTTTCAGGATCCACTTACACTGAGTTTTGAGCGCCCTTAGACTTCACTGTCACAGCATTCCGCTTTGGGAGCCATTTTGAACCTCATTTCCTCCATCTGCTGCTTTCCATCTTCCAGGCATTCTTGTATTCCTCATAATTTCTGGTCTACCAGCAGTATTTAGTCTCATTTTCCAACATTATTTGCAACCTTAAAAAGTCCTATTTTGTAAGTGATAGGGATTTGGTACATGAAAGGAAGGCTGCAGTCCTGTACTTCATTGTGCCATATTAATGGAAATTTCCCTTAAGACATTCAATGCCACTTATCTCACTGGTTGCATCTTTGCTTCTCCCCAGGATGGCTTTAGGTGCTGAATGGATAGAGACAAAGAATCTTGACTCATATGATGAGAAAATATTCTTTTTTTCAATTCTCTTATATTCATTCCAATTTCAAGGAGATAAGCTACAGTTTTGTGCTGGAGTATTTTTAATGTTCAATTTTAACAGAGAGGAGAGGCCTCCGGTTAAAAGTCATTTACAGACTACAGAATGTATCTTTTGGATGTAATAAAATTGTCTATTTTCCATTGTAATTATTTTCATGCTTACAGTCTCTATAGCATGTGGTACTAGTTTTCAGTTTACATTTTTTGATGTAATGTTTCAGTGAAAGTTATTTGAATAAAATTGATTTTATAAAAAACGTATCAAGAGGATACTTAGGTACAATTCTCTGAAGACTATTTTTTGTTGTTTGTTTTTAAAGATTTTGATGAAGCAGATATATTTTCAAGGTAGAATTCATTGGTGCCAATTTTCTATCTCTTCTTATTTACTTATTTTTTTGCGCTTTATATTTCTGTAGTTGGGGGAGAATTTCAACTTCCCATGTGAAGCACTCCCCCTTTCCTTTCTTTATTTTTTTGGTATTCTAATTTTTTTCCTTAGGTTTTTGAGGAACAGGTGGTATTTGGTTACATAAGTAAGCTGTTTAGTGGTGATATTTGTGAGATTTCAGTGCACCCATCAGCCGAGCAGTGTACACTGAACCCAATTTGTAGCCTTTTATCCCTTACCCCTTCCACCCTTTCTCTCAAGTCCCCAAAGTCCATTGTATCATTCTTATGTCTTTGCATCCTCATAGCTTAGCTCCCACTTATGGGTGAGAACACATGATGTTTGGTTTTCCATTCCTGAGTTTCTTCACTTAGAATAATAGTCTCCAATTCCACCCAGGTTGCTGCAGATGCCATTAGTTCATTTCTTTTTATGGTTGAGTAGTATTCTACCACATATATATACCACAGTTTTTTTATCCACTCATTGATGGGCATTTGGGCTGGTCCCATATTTTTGCAATTGCAAATTTTGCTGCTATAAACATGCGTGTGCAAGTATCTTTTTTGTATAATGACTTCTTTTTCCTCTGGGTAGATACCCAGTAGTGGGATTGCTGGATCAATGGTAGTTCCACTTTTAGTTCTTTAAGGAATCTCCACACAGTTTTCCATAGTGGTTGTACTAGTTTACATTCTTACCAGCAGTGTAGAAATGTTCCCTTTTCACCCATCCACGCCAACATCTATTTTTTTTAATATTTTGATTATTGCCATTCTTGCAGGGGTAAGTTGATATCGCATTGTGGTTTTGATTTGCATTTCCCGGATCATTAGTGATGTTGAGCATTTTTTTCATGTTTGTTGGCCATTTGTATATCTTCTTTTGAGAATTGTCTATTCATGTCGTTAGCCCACTTTTAGATGGGATTGTTTGTTTTTTTTCTTGCTAAGTTGTTTGAGTTCCTTGTAGATTCTGGATATTAGTCCTTTGTCAGATGTATAGATTGTGAAGATTTTCTCCCACTCTGTGGGTTGTCTGTACACTCTGACTGTTCCTTTTGCTCTGCAAAAGCTCTTTAGTTTAATTAAGTCCCAGCTATTTATCTTTATTTTTGTTCCATTTGCTTTTGGGTTCTTGGTCATGAAGTCTTTGCCTAAGCCAATGTCTAGAAGAGTTTTTCCAATGTTATCTTCTAGAATTTTTATAGTTTCAGGTCTTAGATTTAAGTCCTTGATCCACGTTGAGTTGATTTTTGTATAAGGTGAGAGATGAGGATCCAGTTTCATTCTCCTACACATAGCTTGCCAATTATCCCAACACCATTTGTTGAATAGGGTGTCCTTTCCCCACTTTATGCTTTCGTTTGCTTTGTCGAAGATCAGTTGGCTGTACGTATTTGGCTTTATTTCTGGGTTCTCTGTTCTGTTCCATTGGTCTATGTGCCTATTTTTATAACAGTACCATGCTGTTTTGGTGACTGTGGCCTTATAGTATAGTTTGAAATCAGGTAATGTGATGCCTCCAGATTTGTTCTTTTTGGTTAGTTTTGCTTTGGCTATGTGGGCTCTTTTTTGGTTTCATATGAATTTTAGGATTGTTTTTTCTAGTTTTGTGAAGAATGATGGTGGTATTTTGATGATGGGAATTGCACTGAATTTGTAGACTGCTTTTGGCAGTATGGTTATCTTCACAATATTGATTCTGCCCATCCAAGAGCATGGGATGTGTTTCCATTTGTTTGTGACATCTGTGATTTCTTTCAGCAGTATTTTGTAGTTTTCCTTGTAGAGGTCTTTTACCTTTTTGGTTAGGTATATTTCTAAGTTTTTGTTTTGCAGCTATTATAAAAGGGGTTGAGTTCTTGATTTGATTCTCAGCTTGGTCTCTGTTGGTATATAGCAGAGCTACTGATTTATGTACATTAATTTTGTATCCTGAAACTTTGCTGAATTCATTTATCAGTTCTAGGAGCTTTTTGGAGGAGTCTTTAGGGTTCTAGGGTTTTCTAGGTATACAATTATATCATCAGCAAACAGTGACAGTTTGACTTCCTCTATACCGATTTGGATGCCCTTTATTTCTTTCTCTTGTCTGATTGCTTTGGCTAGAACTTCCAGTACTATATTGAATAGAAGTGGTGAGAGTGGGCATCCTTGTCTTGTTCCAGTTCTCAGCGGAAATGCTTTCAACTTTTGTCGATTCAGTATTATGTTGGCTGTGGGTTTTTCATAGATGGTTTTTATTACATTGAGGTATGTCCCTTGTATGCCGATTTTGCTGAGGGTTTTAATCACGAAGGGATGCTGGATTCTGCAAATGCTTTTTCTGTGTCTATTGAGATGATCGTGTAATTTTTGTTTTTAATTCTGTTTATGTGGTGTATCACATATATTGACTTGCGTATGTTAAACCATCCCTGCATCCCTGGTATAAAACCCACTTGATTGTGGTGGATTATCTTTTTGATATGCTATTGGATTCATTTAGCTAGTATATTGTCAAGGATTTTTGCATCTATGTTCATCAGGGATATTGGTCTGTAGTTTTCTTTTTTTTCTATGTCCCTTCCTGGTTTTGGTATTAAGGTGATACTGACTTCATAGAATGATTTAGGGAGGATTCCCTCTTTCTGTATCTTGTAGAATAGTGTCAATAGGATTGGTACCGATTCTTCTTTGAATGTCTGATAGAATTCAGCTGTGAATCCATGTGGTCCTGGACTTTTTTTTTTTTGGTAATTTTAAAATTACCATTTCAGTCTTGCTGCTTGTTATTGGTCTGTTCAGGGTTTCTCTGAAGACTTTTTATATTGTATTATGCTAACACTAGTTTGTGTCTCAAAAAAAAAAAAAACAAAACATAAAACCGAAATGCAGTAAAATAGGATTTCCTCACTCCTGCCACAGTCCAGGGAGAATATTCCAAGAAGATAGGTGGTTCTAATGCATAGAGTCTCTCAGGGGTCTAGGCTGATGGCAGCTCTGCCATCTTCATCATATGGCTTCCTAGTTGTTGCCACTCCAGCCAGCAGGAAGGGGAGAAAGAACAAACATTTAGGTTAGATATTTCCTCTTACACCCGCAAGGTGGAAATGACACACACATTCCAGGGATGAGCGCTCAAACAGCCACACCTAGTAGCAAAGCAACTTGGGAAGTACAACCTCTAGCTAGGCAGCTGCTATCCAGTTGTAATGGCATCTTAGTTTGTTTGGGCTGCTGTAACAAAATACCTTAGACTGGGTAGCTTTTACTTACAGTCTGGAGGCTGAGATGTCTAAAATCAAGGTGCCAGCAGAACTGGTGCCTGGTAGAGGCCATTCCTCATAGATGACACCTTCTAGCTGTGTCCTCACATGGCAGAAGGGGCAAACAAGCTCCCACAGGTCCCTTTTATAAGGGCACAAATCCTACTCATGACCTAATTACCCCCAAGTCACTAATTCTCATGACCTAATCACCTCCTAAAGGTCCCAGCCCTTAATACTATTGCATTGGAGATTAAGTTTCAACAGATGAGTTTTGGGGGAACACACACATTCAGGCCATAGCAAATAGGAAATACACTGCATGTACCAGTCCATAACAATGATGGACTCCTGCTGGGCAGAAATTTCAAGGACCCCCTACCCTGGCAGTGAAGAAAGTGTCTTGATTAGACCCTGGTTCTGCTCTCTGGATTTTGGATCAGGGAGACTCTTTTGTCTTTTATTCTGTGGGCTCCTAGATTTGCTCTCTGAGAAATGTGTCTTCCAAGACCACATTGTAAGTGGGCTTTGGAGGGCTACCTTCTTTGACATCTGTACTTATTGCTGCTCAGGGACCTTGTGGGTTCCTTACAGTTTAGTAGACACAGATGTCTTCAGGCTAGGCTTATGCTTCTTTTCACAACTTGATTTCCTTTTTTTTTTGAGATAGTCTTGCCCTGTTGCCCAGGCTGGAGTGCAGTGGTGGGATCTCGGCCCACTGCAACCTCCGCTTCCCAGGTTCAAGCAATTCTTGTGCCTCACTCTCCTAAGTAGCTGAGATTATAGGCATGCACCACCACGCCTGGCCAATTTTTGTATTTTTAGTAGAGATGGGGCTTCACCATGTTGGCCAGGCTGGTCTTGAACTCCTGACCTTGAGTGATCCACCTGCCTCAGCCTCCCAAACTGCTGTCACCACACTGGCCACAACTTGATTTCTTAAAAAACGTAATGAGCTTCTGATCTATATACCTCCAGGCAGTTCCATGTGCCTGTAAACACATTCAAAGTTCTTTCTTAGATATAGCTCTTAAGACTTTCATTTCTTTCCTTCCTTGTCTTACCCATGCTTCGCTTTCTTAACTTACAGAGGCTACCTTGAGACCACCTGAAACAGCAGATTTGAGTAGGAAGGTGACACCTTTCGTTGCGTCTTTGCCACACAGCTGAGTTCCTTTAGTTTAGGGAGGTCTCTGAGAATGATTTGGAAGAGCAATCTGCTTATCTTGTTTTCTTTGGGGTACAGAAACAGTTTGCTTTTCCAATGCATTAGGAACCAACCTCTGCTCTTTCTTTTATCTTTGCTTGTAGACTGGGCAACTTTTGTCTTTCTTATAGTAACTTGCTACACACACCAAGGTTTAGCTAACATCCAACCTTCTGGCTTTATTCACCTTCTTTCTTTAGAGCTACTGGTATATGGTCTGCTTTAAGAGTTATTATAGGCAAAAAGTTTTTCAAATGTTTTGCCATAATCTAACAGGTCACTGGGTTTCAGCCCGGTGCGGTGGCTTACGCCTGTAATCCCAGCACTTTGGGAGGCCGAGGCGGGTGGATCACCTGAGTTCAGGAGTTTGAGACCAGCCTGACCAACATGGAGAAACCCCATCTCTACTAAAAATACAAAATTAGCTGGGCATGGTGGCGCATGCCTGTAATCCTAGCTACTTGGGAGGCTGAGGCAGGAGAATCCCTTGAAACCCGGGAGGCAGAGGTTGCGGTGAGGTTGTGGTGAGCCGAGATCGCACCATTGCACTCCAGGCTGGGCAACAAGAGTGAAACTCTGTCTAAAAAGAAAAAAAAAAAGAAGCTAGGTATAAGCAAATTAACTAAAAATTTTGACAGTGAGTTCAACCTCAGCCTCCCTCCTTCAATGCCAGTATATTATATTTGAGGAAATGAGAACCCAGGACCCCAGGGCTCAGTCCTTGCCCCACTGTCTCTATCTTTCCAGCTTGCACCCGAGTAGTTCTTAGAGACAGGACCTCAGGTCAAGCTCCCAAGACACCATTCTCTCATTTGCCACCAAAGAGAACTCAACTTTCCTTTGATTTGAGCTCACAGACTGGCAGTGTAGAGAGTGTTAAGCCTTATAAAAATGAAAAGGTATTTGAATTAAAGTATCCCTTAAGGTCATAGGGACCTAGCCTTTGAGGGCCAACAGTATGCCAGGAGTTATTATTTGGTGCTTTGTAGACATAGACATAACTCATTTCATCCTCATAACCGTACTCCAAGGAAGTGATAATAAAAAAAAGTAACACATAATAAGATAATGACAATAGCAACTACACTTATTGGCTACTTACTATGGGTTAGATATTGTATAAATACTTTGTATACATCTCTAGTACTATTTTTAGTCCCCATTTTACAGATGAGTAAGTAGAGGCTCTGAGAGGTTAAGTGAGATCTTCTCAAGATCACAGAGCCAGGAAGTAGCAGAGCTGGGTACTTTACCTTATAGATATTTCATGTTATATCATTAAGAAGGAATACTAGGGGAATGTTATGAAATGGCCAAGAGCATTGGGAATGATTTATTTCCAAGATTCATGATTACAGGGAATCTGTGGTCAGCAGGTGGTTGCACAGGGAGCCCACTAAATGCATCTGACTTGGAAGGGAAAAACAGAGGACAGTGAGGTCTTTGGCTTCCTCATTGAGGCCACGCATGTCAGTGCTTTGTCCCCTCTTTCTTGGCCAGTAGCTGGGTCCCTAGACAGATTAAGTTCCTAGAAGGGCGATGTACAGAGATCACAGACGTGCAGAAGCTGGCTTTTAAGAAGGCTCAGTGTCCCATATTCTCCACTGCAGCAAACTCTACTGTGTGCCACTGTGTGTCTTTTGCCTGTGCCTGTCCCAGGCTGCTTCTTCTAAGTTTCCCTCGGTAGTAGCTTCAAGTTCCCGTCTCACACACCCAGCATTGGGCTTCCTTGATTTGTGGGTGGAATTTGCCAGTGTAAAGGGGGTCCTGTACTGTTTGTTTCTGAGGCACAGTTTCAAAAGAAAATGACATTTATAGCCTGCATTAATGGGAAATTACTTTCCATTAGGATTCTGAATGATTTGCACATAATGTTTATAAAGTGAAGGAAAAATGTCAAGCATTTCACTAACAAATGAAAGCAAAGCTCATGAGACTCTGCCAGAAATGAATTCCAAGAACATTTTCTTCATCATTTCTTCTTTCTAAAGAAAAAAAGAGAGAGATGAAAGAACATAAGTCAATTAAGCAGAATGCATCGTGGGACTGAGATGGAATCTTTGATAATATCATTGCTAGGTAGTTAAGAGAATGAATAAAGTGAGCCAAAATGGAGAAAGGGGAGAATCACATCTTGAAATGACAGATTGCAGACAAAATCCAACTCTAGGTCCTGGCTGGGAGAAACGAGTGCCTGTCCAAGCCCGCGAGTGTGGGGTCATGCTGTTTCATCAGTGTAAGCTGCCCCTCTGTCCCCAAAGAGAAAAGGAGGCCAGGAAACATCCTTGAGTTGAAACATGTGCCTGTGTAGCTCCCAGAAAACCACTGATGTTGAAGAAAATAGTGTAGGAATTTGTGACCCATGCTCAAGTATCTTCCCCACTTGTGGGGAATTTGTATCAGGTCCCAGGTTGTCACCTCCTGAATTATATATTTAAAGACTAGAGGACAAAGTGTATTTTATCAACTCATTTTTTATGAAGTTTTTTTTTTTCTTGCTGAAACTCTTAAAAGGGGTACCACTTTGTGTAATCACAACTAAGGGTTAATATGCCCCAAACTGGGACCTGCTTTAAACATATAGGAGGCTGAAATTAGTTAACAAATATGTATTCCAAATGTGTGCTACAGGCACATCAGAGTGAGTTGAAATAAATCTCCCAAATGGCTTGTATTAAGACCTTCTAATTCTCTAGGTATAAAAGAGACTTTTATAAATTTCTTCACACTTCTAAGGCAGCTTGGAAATAATTTCTAGAGCCTAAATCCTTCCCCTCATTGGCACAAAATGTCTAGGATTACATTAGAAAATAAACATTTATTCAAAAGTGAAATGTGAAGTTTGAAAATTAAAGATGAACACTTTGCAAATAGAAATATATGCAATTTTTTTAACCTACATTTCCGAAGAGGAAATTAAAATTTCACAGAACAGTGACAATGGTGATTGTTCGGTCAGCAGGTTGTTTCTTACATTTCTCTTCTTTCCTTCCTCCTCTTTTCTTCTATTCCCCTTCTCCACTAATAGCCTTCCCCCCAGATCCATTTCTATATATTATAAGTAGTGCTTCAGAGTCAGAGTTATTGACAAGAGAGAAATAAATAAGGAAACAAGAGTCCCATGTTATAGTTCAGATTCTGGAACTTCTTAGTTGTATGAGTTGGGGTGAGTTTCTTAGCACCTCTAGACCGATTTGAACTTGTTCCTAGAGGAAGTGATTGGACTTAATACATTCCAAGGTACTTTCTAGCTCTAAATTCTGTGGCTGTAGTAGTTGTCTTTTGTGAGTACTTAGCATTCTTAATAATTTGAAATGTGGACAGGTTGAACATTTAAATATTTTCTATATTTTAAAAAATGTTTTAAAAATTAAAGTGTGAAATATGATTATTATTGTTGATCAGTAGCCATTGGTGCGGTGAACAGGAAGAGTCTCTCTCTTATTTTCCAATTTGAAGGAAGATTTAGAGAGGGAAGTTTTCCTCACTGCAGGGAATGGTTTTCTGTAATTATTCTGAACAGTCTGTAAAAAGAGTTTTGAAAAGCCGTAAGACATAAATTCTAACTTAGTTGTGGGAATTTTGACTTTGCTGAAATGATCTCAAGTGCTGCATATTTTCAAATCTTAACATATACTCTATAATGATACATTTGATCCATAAGCTAAAATGTAAAATACCATCATCTAAATATTAATTTATGTACTTGTTTTAAAAAATACGGTAGAAGTCAGTTGTTTCCTGGGATTACAAACCAGGCAACAGTGATGTTGCACCATCCAGAGGACTCTGAGTCCATATGAATGACAGCCCCTAGAGTTGTCCAGTGGATGTGGCTGCAAGTGCAAACTTGAATGCCAGATTTTAGGAATGAGAGACATAGGAAAAGTGTAAGAAAATAGTGCAAGGCTGGTGATAAATGGCTGACTCTAAGCTTCCAAGTCAGGATCATGACAGAGGGAGGTGTGTCTTCAACAACTAGAAAACACTTGTTCTTTCTGAAGGGGGTGGCCGATAGTCTACGGCAAGCGCCCCTTGCCTGAGAATGTGAGCCCATCATAGCTAGCCTTTCTGATTTTTCAAGAGAAGCCAGAAACCCTATGTTTATGTGACATCTCCTGACTTTTAGATGTTGGCAACTAATCCACATTGTAAAAAAGCAAGGAGCAGGCCAGACGAGGTATCATCTGCAAGCTGATCACTATGCCAATGGCCAGAAAGCCAACTCTAATTAAGGCAGCTGTTTGCATTTCCATTTTCCAGAACTCAGAGTGGCAAATAATAATAATAATAATAATAATAATAATAATAATAATACAAACAACAACAACAAAAAAAACAACCCACACACATTGGACCTGGTTGCAATAGAGGGGTCACCTGCCAGAAAGTTTATTTTGATAAATAAATGGCCCGCAGGTTTTGAGGTATCTGCAAAAGTCATCACAATAGACAAGTCATTGTTTTGTAAGGTGGGGGAGGGCAAAACTTTATTAGTTAAACCCATCTAATATAACCCGAGTAAATTGAGGAAGATTGGCATTAAGGTTAACATAAATCACACATGCTTATTTTTACAGATTTCAATGATTAAGCTTGAGTTCCATTGACAAGTAATTTCAATAAATCACATCTCCTGTGGATAAATACAGGGCTGTTATTTCTAGAAAGACAGCAGTTCATTGACTTTTACTAGATTTTACTTAGTAGTGCACAACTTAACCCTCATAGACCAACACTTCAAATTTCCAGATAAGGAAATCAGGACCCAAAGATGACCTAATCCATAGCAAAGATGCAGGGATCTGAAGCTTCTGTCCAGTGCGCTCTTACCCATGGACAAAAACAATATGTTAGAGATGTTGAACTAGATAGTGTCTGTGGTATCTATCAGCATTAGACACCAGTGTTGTATCTGGGTCAGATAGAGAGAAAGTATGTGCTTCAAATGAATTCTGCTATAAGAATTTGAGATTATAAATGGGAAAAAAGAAACTTTTGAAGGGAGTTTAAACCAGATATGCTTGTTTGAACTCAGAGGAGATGGTATCTCACAGATTGAGCACGGTGCCTGGCTCCATGCTCCTGGCTCCATGCTTTCAAACACTCGGTGAGAGTTTGAAAATGAATTGGAACCAGAAATAAACCTGAAAGTTCCAAATTGGGTTTCTACCCGCCCCCCACTCCCCCCGCCCGCCCATGGTAGGAGATGAACTGTCTAGTCTGATGGTGCAGGTACAGTCAAACCTCAGGGTAACCTGGGTTCTGGGATCGAAGCTTCTAGGAGACTTGGGGTCCCATTCCTGACTGGGGCATGGACTCCCCTCATCAATGGTTACCTTCCTCTCTGTTCATCAGCTGCTCTACAAGTGGTGTAAGTAATAAGGGAACATGTTTGGATTTCCTGACTTCAGGCCAGGAAGTGAGCGGAATATAAGCCCACCCAGCCCAAAGGGGTGTTAACCTGCCTTGCTGGAAAGTGGGCTTTGGAGTCAGAGGGAAGCCCAGATCCTGGCTCAGTTCATACCTTTGGGTCTCAATTTCGTCATCTGACGAGTGCGGATTCTCATTGCTACCTCACAGGATTATTCTAAGGATTAAATTAGATCTTGTGAATTAGGGGTGCTGGGAAAGGGACTCGGTACAGAGTAGGAGCCCACAATGCAGCGCTGTTAATGTTACATAATCGGTTATCTGATTTCCCAGCCTACAGCAGACTGGAACCAGCAGATTAGGAAGGCCCAAGGGACTGCTTCGGGAAGGCCATTGACAGCAGGAAAAAGTGACAGGTCGCAGCCAGACTACAAGGGAGGCAAGAGAAAAACTATAAAAAGCAGGAACAAAAACACTCAAAAGACACAGCAGTCTGGGGGATTTACTAAAAGACAAAGAGCCCTACTCAGGTCAGTAGCTTCTGGGAGACTCCATACCTTGTACCCCAACAGGGACTTATGTTGACAGCGTTGTATGAATTACTTCTCTCTCCATCCCCTTTGCCCCTTGAAATAACTATGGGGGTGGGGTCATAGTTTGCCTTTCAGTGGGGATGCTCTGACCGAATGCTTCCAGGTCATGAAGTTCCCAAAGTCAAGGCCAGCAAAGGAGCAAGCACAGTGGGCTCCTTCGGTGGTCTGAAAAGAACCCAAGTTCCACAAAAGAGCTGTGAGTTTTAGTGCAACAGAGAGAAGGATGCCCCTTGCGCCACTGACCACTCTTTCCACCTTCACCTCCCTTAAAGTCAGGGTTAGAGATGGAGCCCTGGAGAACAGGCTTCCAGATCCTGGCATGTGGGAGAGAGAGAGAGAGAAAATGAGAAGGCCAGGCTGCAGACACGCCAGTCCCTTCTGATGCCATCTCTACTCTGGTGTCTAATCCACCACCTGGAGTGGGCACTGTTTTTAACTGAAGCCTGAGCTGCTCACTTTGAAGCTGGAACTCAGGCTGAAGAAGGCAGGACAGAGACTAAGTGCCTGGAAGTTATCCCTCAAGTGCGACAGGCAAGGCTAGGTGGGACCTGGACAGACCTTCCTGGGGATCTGCGTAGGATTTAGGTAGAGAATGCTCTTAGAGAGCCTTCAAAGGCCTGGGAGCATCCTGAGGTATGCTGAGCTGAGGACCCAAAGGCTCATTCCAAGCCCAGCTGATGGGCCACCCCATTGAATGGGATTGGCTCAGAAATGGTGTGGGAGAAGGCTGGGCGTGGTAGCTCATGCCTGTAATTCCATCACTTTGAGAGGCCAAAGCAGGAGGATCACTTAAGCCCTGAAGTTTGAGACCAGCCTGGGCAACATAGTGAGACCCCACCTCTATAGAAAATACCAAAATTATCCGGGCATGATGGTGCCTGTAGTCCCAGGTACTCAGGAGGCTAAGGTGGAAGGATTGCTTGAGCCCAGGAGGTCAAGGCTGCAGGCCAATAGCAGGGCACTGTACTGCAGCTCGAGGAACAGAGCAAGACAGTCTCAAAAAAGAAAAAAGGAAAAGGAAAAGAGAAAAGAAAGAAAAAGAAAAAGAGTGGGGATAAGACCACAAACTAACAATTTTCAGGGGGTATATTGCATAGGGATCAAGAACGTGGACTCTCTACCTGGCCCGAGGTCAAGTCTCAGTGTTGTGGCTTAATTGTGTTAAATTTGTGTCCTCAATTTCTCCATCCCTCACATTGGGGGAAATAGTGGTACCTACTCATAGGATTTCTCTGGGAATTAAATCCATAAATCCACTAATATCTCTGAGACACTTAAAATATTGTCCTGGCACATGGTAAACACTAACACCTGAGAGTTATTATTTCGTCCCTGTAGCTGAGTAGGGCTGAGGAATTGTAGGATTGGACCGCCTCTACCTTAATAAAATGTGCTCAGCATTTCTGCATATGCAAGTAACCCTTTGCAGCAGCAGGGACTTCAGCCAAAAAATATATATATATATATATAATATGTATGTGTGTGTGTATAAATGTATGTGTGTGTGTCTATATATATATATAGAGACAAAATAAGTGGAGTTGGGGGAGGGGCACCGCAAATAATGTTCCTGCTGTTAAAATAAGAGGGACTGAACCATATTAATGCCAAGGGGGAAGTTCAGTTTATTTCAGGGGGGACGTGGTTTTCCTACCTCCTACTGTGTTACTGATACAGTACTTACTGACCAGCCGTCTTAAACTCTTGTGGTAGGGTCTCTCTCTCTCTCTCTCTCTTTCTCTTTTTCCTAATGGTGTGGAACAGAGCTTGAATAATAAATATTTAACAGGGACACTCCCTTTTCTCTGTTAAAATAATCTTTGTTTCAATACTTTAACAAGGAAGACTGTGTTTTCCCACCTCTGCTCTCACGTTTCGTTGAAGCCAGGTCTCAGGAGTAAGAGAAAATCAACACAAGGCCACTTGGGGAGGGCAGTGCTGGCTGAAGCCGTCTCACTGGACAGCCCAGGGTCAGGGGTTTCAGCCGCCTGTTCAAGGACACCGAGATCCACAGCAGCCACCTGGGAGCTCCTACACAACTATGCCCAGCGATTCCAGGTGCCAGCTACTGAATGTGAGAGAGCAAGGAGGTGGAGGTGGATGAGGAACTGCCAGCTGCAGGACCACAGGGGCAAGGGGAAGGGGTTGTCAACAGGGATGGGACGCTGGGTAGGATCAGTCTTTTCTTACGAGACGTTTTCAGCTGAGGTGCTGGCTTCTGATGGTGGGAAACCAAGCATTCAGGTCCCTTGGAGAGGCTTATATCTAACAGTTGGAAAGCCTCCATTGAGGAAATCCAGCCCATTCTGCCTGGACTTTGGGGCTCCATCCATGGTGACTTTTGTGTCAAGGGAAAATTCACACACTGTCCCTCAGGCGGGCAGCAACTTAATTTCTCTTTAGCTGAACTGAACTTGCTTGCAAGCCTCTATGTAGACCAATGGCGGAAACAACTTAATCTTTTTTCCATTTCTGTTGTTGACCAAAAAAAAAAAAAAGCTTTAAAATCTTTTTTCCATTTCTTCTAATGGTGGAAAAAAGCATAATCTTGCCATTTCAAGGTAGCTCAGTCTCTTCCAATAGAAAGCATAGACTATCCGTTTATGACTTAGGCGATTCCAGATTTAAACACAGTCAATTCAGAGTAGAAATTCCCTATCAGGGCTGTTGGTTTTTCTTGAAGGTTCTCTCCTCCCCCTGGTCCAGTCCTAAGATGTTGCCTAGATGTGAGGGGGGTTTACAGAACATCATGGTGGCAGGTAGGGAGGCTCACTTCCACAGCTGAGGTGACTCGTCACAGGAGGCCTGGGGCCTGGGCCAGGATCTGTGCTGACATCTGTGGCTTAGGCCTCCCTCTCTGGGTTGCTGAATCTCTGTATTTGGAGCCGTGTGTCACTGCCCCCAGGCAGCCTCTGGCCTCAGTGGCCCCTCAGCACTTCCTGCTGGGGACTTGAGGGAATTTGTTCACAGTTCACAGGGAGCGACCAGCCTTCAGGCCCCATCTGTACTTAGTGACACCACATGGTTTCCACTGGGCTCCAGCCCCCGTGTTAGTCCAGAGAACTTTGACAGCTGCCTTCTCCCGGGATTTCTGTGGAAAGTGGAGTCTAAGACCCCCTTCCCCAGGGTGGCATCCAAGGAGCATTTCAATTTTCTTGCTCACCCTCTTCTCACTGCAGGCCCCTTCCCTGCTTCCCTGCCTCCAGAAAGAGCTTGTATCTCTTCTCTGGATGGCAGGAAACAGCTCCTCCCTCTCCATGGCTTGTAATCAAAATGCTAGGCTCTGAGTTCTTCAAGCTCTAGTTCTTGGAACCCAGAAGTTTCTCTCTCTCTCTCGCTCTTAAATCTTATAAAAGCCTACCTGGCTCTAGCATGAAAGCCTAAAAGCCTTGGCTTTCACAATGTTTCACAACTGAAATGGTATTATTTGGGAATTTAAAAGCTAAACATTGACTGCTTTGTTCATGTCTGGGTTCCACCCTCCTCCTCAAGTAAGGGAGGCAAGCCCCAGCTCCTTGGGTTGAGGGCCCCAGGCAACAGAAATGACCCAGAATGAAAAATGCATTGATACTTCAGAATATCGTCCGGCTGCATGTATAATTCAGGGCAGCCAGTCTGAGCTCTGGTTGGGGTGGATTTACCAACTGCCTACTTAGCAAGTGCCAATTGCTCTTAGTGTTGTAGCCAGCCCAGTGGTGGCTGGAGGGCCAGGTGCACTTGTACTGCCTGAGTCAGGGAGTTCTTGAACAGGGTCTTTCTACTCAGTGGTCTCTGGAGAGATGCCCTGCCTTGGGTTTAGGTGCTGATGGAGTGTGATATGAGTGCTGGTCTCTTTCCAGCTCTCAGAATATCAAAGTGGGCAATGTGGCAGTGGTTCCTTGCCAAGAATGAATGACATGAGAAGTGAGTAATGCAGCTTTTCCATGATTTGTTCTGTGTGTGTGTGCAGCAAGAACCCAGGTTTACACATGGAGGTGGTGGCCTGGTTTACACATGGAGGTGGTGCATACACTTGGACAAATGTATGCTTGCCACTAAGCATTTTGGTCATTGCAGGTGGCTTATAGAGTAAATGGGAGGGAAATATATAAATCTATCTATCTATCTATCTATCTATCTATCTATCTATCTATCTATCTATCTATCATTAGCCCTGTAATCAGTGTGTCAGCCTATGAAATGTCTTGGCAACCCTTAGTGGTGTCATAGATCATGTACGAGGTGACATGGAGCAAGGTAGCTGATGGCCTAGGGTCTGGAGCCCTCCTGTTTCTGGCTCAGCCAGTAGCCCTGGGGCCAGGCCATTATGACCTCTCAGAGGCATTGATGGCTTCTCTTGGAAAAGGAGAGGACTCATGGAGGACTGCCAAATTCCATTCTAGCATTAACATTCTGTGTTCAAGGAAATGCTTCCCGAGACTACCATGTGGTTTGGCACCTGACCCCTTCTCTGTTAA
Organism: Homo sapiens; assembly: GCF_000001405.40. Classification (NCBI taxonomy): domain Eukaryota; kingdom Metazoa; phylum Chordata; class Mammalia; order Primates; family Hominidae; genus Homo; species Homo sapiens. Next base: position 219,781 of record NW_025791797.1, read on the forward strand.
AAACTAGTCTAGTAGTGGGAGAAATGCTAAAAGAATAATAATTATTTTTATAATCCACATTAAAACAGTTATACATTAATAAAGTAGACTTTGACTCACAGCTCAGGTTGCCCTTGGTTTTCAGTGCTCAGCCCCCACCTGCCCACCCATATACACACTCCATGACCCAAGGAAAATGAAAAGTTCTGTATTGTAAGCCCTCTATTCCCCATGCTTTGTTTGAAATCATTGAATGTTGTTCTGTTCAAATTCAAAATAGTGAACTAATCCCCAATATTTACAGCCTTCCACCCCCTAGCTTTCATCATTATGACAAGAGGAATACACAGACTTAGGCAGGGGTGGGGTCTGTCACGGAAGGAGCTGTCTAGAGGCTAGAAACATCATGTAGATCATAGAGGTTATATTGCAGGTGGGTTCAGAGTTTCAAAGTCACGACCCAGTACAGGAGCTGCCTCCCTGAAGAGGAAGAAGAGCTCCCCTACCATTACCCCCTTCTCTTTCCTCGCCAGCTGAGTCTCTTTAACCTTTAACGCTTCCTTAGGGGAAGGAGAGGGGAGGATCATTTCACTGGTGGTTGTCAACCTACCCTGGACATAGGAAGGACCTGAGAAACAAAAAATACTGATGCCGGGTTCACCCTGGGCAGTGGGCTGTTTAGTGTGCCACCAAGTTGAGAACCACTGCCATAGGAAGGCAACAGGAAGCCACCTTGGTACAACCTGGGGAGCTCCGCTGATGAAGGCTCCTTAGAGTGCCCTGTTCCTTAGAGATATAGGCGCTACTCCATGAATTTCAAGCTGTCTAAACAACTATAATATAATCCTTCTCACAACAGGAATCTCCATTGCCCCAACTCTTGTCTTCCTCCTCCCATAATGCTGTCACCTCTCTACCCCTCCCCAGGACAAAGGGGCATCTCATTTGGCCAGCCACAGAAATACCCCAACGTACCTATTCTCTTTACTTGGACCTAGAAGACTTAGTGGAGAAAGAACATAATCTCTAGCAGAACTTGTTCAATTCTCACTTGAAGTCTAGAGGGAGGAAAAAGTCTTATAACAGAAAAAGGAAATAAAAATGGAAATCATCAAATAGGATGGCAAAAGTCACTTATTAAGAAAAAAAAAAACTCCTAAGATTAATCTTATTAATACTCAAAGAAAAAAAGTATGAACTAGTCAAAATTGAAGTGAGATTTTTGTGAGAGAAATGTGTCATATTAATACTGAAATATACCTAGTTAAATGAATTCATGAGAATAGCAAGGAAATATTGAAATAGAAGGGTAATGACTATGAACTAGTTTTACTAGTTATTAACATTTTATTTATTTATTTATTTTTGAGATGGAGTCTCACTCTGTCACCCAGGCTGGAGTGTAGTGGTGTGATCTCAGCTCACTGCAACCTCCGCCTCCCAGGTTCAAGTGATCCTCCTGCCTCAGCCTCTTGAGTAGCTGGGATTACAGACATGCGCTACCATGCCTGGCTAACTTTTGTATTTTTAGAGATGGGGTTTCACCATGTTGGCCAGGGTGGTCTCAAACTCCTGGCCTCAAGTGAACTGCCCGCCTTGGCCTCCCAGAGTGCTGGGATTACAGGTGTGAGCCACCACACCCGGCCTGTTAACATTTATTATAAAGCCACAGTATTTAAAATGATATGGTACTGTTACCAAAATGAGTCAGTGGGACAAAATAGAAAAAATCCAAAAATAGATCTAAGTCCCATGATGATTAAATATATGATAAAGATAAAGGCAATACTTGAAATCACTGGAGAAAATATGGATTATTTAAGTATGTTGTTATGACTGCATAAGCATTATTAAATATAATAGATATTTACCTCATTTTGCCAAAATCCAAATAGATTATAAAAGTTCTGATGTGAAAAAAATTAAATAAAAATACTAGAATAAAATTTAGTTGAGTCTTTATATAGGACTGTGGAGAATAAACCATGAATAGAAAGTTTGATTAGTTTGACTGCTTATACTCTTCAATTTGTGCATTCATGCCAAAACAAAATAGAAACCCCTTTCCCTGCCCCACTGCCAGCACAAACTTCAAAAACAAAATGAGAAAAAAAAAGAACAGATGATAAGTTGGGAATAATGTTTGTACCAGAAATGACAGATAAAGGGTAAATATGTGTAGTATAAAGGGACTTCTAAACATCTTAAGAAAAATAGTGATATTAGGTTGGTGCAAAAGTAATTGCAGGTTTTGCCACTAAAAGTAATGGTAAAAATTGTGATTGCTTTTTTTTTTTTTTTTTTTGAGATGGAGTCTTGCTCTGTCCCCCAGGCTGGAGTGCGGTGGCGCGATCTTGGCTCACTGCAACCTCCGCCTTCCGGGTTCACGCCATTCTCCTGCCTCAGCCTCTCCAAGTAGCTGGGACTACAGGTGCCCGCCACCACGCCCGGCTAATTTTTTTGTATTTTTAGTAGAGACAGGGTTTCACTGTGTTCTCGATCTCCTGAACTCGTGATCCGCCCGCCTCAGCCTCCCAAAGTGCTGGGATTACAAGCGTGAGCCACTGCGCCTGGCCACTGTGATTGCTTTTGCACCAACCTAATAGAAAAATAAATTGACACTAAATGTCAGATATTTTAGAAAGAATTCATGTTCTATGACCATGAAATCCTTTTCTTGGAATTTATCCTCAGAAATTAATAGTGCACATTTGTAGATATTTATGTATAAGCTCTTTTTCCCAAAGAATTGTCTATAAAAGCCAAGGGGGAATAAAAGAGACAACAGAAAGAAATGAAGAAAAAGGAAGAGAAATCGAGAAAAACAGGGAGGGAGAAGGAAGAAAAGAATGAAGGAAGGAAGGAAAAGAAGAGATGAAAAGAAGAGAAGGAAGGAAAAGAAAGAAGAACCGTAAATGTCCAACAATAGGAGATTAGTTGAAGAAATGTTACATTGTGAGAGCTGACAGCTAGTCAGTAACTAAAATTGAAAGATATTCACCCTAGCTTGTACAAGAAGAATCTTTTATGAAAACAACTATATGTAAATATATGCACAAATATAATCATGAAGACATCTGGAATCTGAAAGCTAGCCCAGTTATCTCTGGGGTAATGGTTTACAGCTCTGACTTTTCTTTCTCCACTTTGCATACATGTATTTTTTGTTTACAATTAGCATGATTTTGTTTTGAAAAAAATGTTTTTGATGTTATTCTGGGACTAGATGTCAGTAAATATTCTTGTCTGTAAATTCTGGTCTGTAAATATTCTTGCCTTTCTTGTCCTGGTTTCTCTCCTCCCGGCCCTTGTCCTGCCCATTAACTAGGAAGATCTTGCTGACCACCAAGGTCCTCCCTACTACCCTCTCCCCAGAGCTCCTGAACCATGAGTGATACACACTTCATATTTGTTCTTTAAAAGATTTTTGGCCATGCACAGTGGATCACGCCTGTAATCCCCACACTTTGGGAGGTTGAGGTGAGCAGATCACTTAAGGCCAGGAGTTCGAGACCAGACTGGCCAATATGGTGAAACCCCACCTGTACTAAAAATACAAAATTAGCTGGGCGTGGTGGCGCATGCCTGTAGTCCCAGCTGCTTGGGAGGCTGAGGCACGAAAATTTCTTGAACCTGGGAGGCAGAGGTTACAGTAAGCCAGGATCGCACCATTGCACTCCAGCCTGGGCAACAGAGCAAGACTCTGTCTCAAAAATAGATAAATAAATAAATAAAAGTTTCTCGTGTATTTTCTAATCCCCACAAAGAAACTGTAAGCTCCCAGAGAGAAGGAGGTGGGCCTGTGATTCCTCTGTCGCTCCCTTAGGGCTCCAGGTGGAGCTGACTGGCTGCTTTTGGGAGATGGGCTGGGCACGACTTCTCTGCCTGGGAGTATTGAAAAGATAGACTCTGGGCTCATGGGGTTGGCGCAGGCAGCTGGGAGAGCTGAGGCAGCCAGAGACCACAAACGGCACCGTGAGCTGGGTGGAGCTGGCCTTGTGGGAAGGAAGCAAGGCCTGCTGTTAAGGGTCTCTCTGAGCTTTTCCACATTTCCAATTTCCCATGGATAATCCATCATGTTCATCTGTACTTTTTGTCTCCATATCATGTGGACAGGTTCTAACATTCCCATGGACCAGCCCTGCTGTCGTGGTCTCTATGACTTTGAGCCAGAAAACCAAGGAGAATTAGGATTTAAAGAAGGGGACATCATTACATTAACCAATCAAATAGATGAAAACTGGTATGAAGGAATGATACACGGAGAATCGGGATTCTTCCCCATTAATTACGTGGAAGTGATCGTGCCTTTACCTCAGTAAATGTGTAACACAAACTCTGGACATACTTTCGTAACTGAAATGAATTCACACCAGTGTGCTCTCAGTGCGGTGTTCTGTGACATCCTTTGCTCTCTGACCAACTTAATGACTTTTGTATGTGTGCTCTCTTTATAATGTATTTTATATCACTTTAATTTGTATAAATGATTTTCTTGTCCTTGCTACATGAAAATATTTTCTTTTTTGCTTCCTGTCCTAAAAGTCATTGGTTAAATGTATTTGCTTCCTGTGGCTAAAAATAAGTCTCACCCATTGCAGTTATGTCAACGAATGGCCTATATTCCTCAGCTGCAATGAAATGGTAACATTTGAAACTAAGAAATGCTAAATATTTTGTTTCTCGACATTCCTGATGACGTCTGGTCTTTTCTTTTCATTGTATTTTAAGCTTACCTGTGAATAGCCCAATAAACATGACACACTGTGTTGGCAAAAGGCCTTGGTTATTTTTAATGTTGAATTGTTGATTTTTAAGCACAGTCTTCCAGCTGCAAACTCACACCCCATGGCCAACCGAAGTGTCACAGCGCAGATGCTTAGATGATGCCTCCTGATGGGAGCCTTCGCTTTCCACCTGATTCAAACATGACACGAATCCTCCTTCCAGCTGGGGGATGGAAAGCCCTTCTACTTACCTTCAAGTTTATTTATAAAAGACCCCAAATCAAGCTTCTGCTGCTGCCATATTTTGGATAGGTTTTTCAGAAAGTTGTGTTATGGGTGCTCAGGAAGTAGTGTGGTCAAGAGTTGATTGAGTCCCCAATAACATCCTCTTAGGCTCAGTGAACCAGCCCCTGGCCTTGCCTACAGTACGCACTAGTTACATGCTTTGGCCCACTGGAGTCTACAATCCTATTATGTGAAGGGGCAGGTATTATTTCCCATTTGAAAAGAAGGAGCCTCATTGACTGACTTACCTAGGATCAAACGACCACATACAGACACACCTCAGAGATATTGCAGGTTCTGTTCCTGGCTACTTACTGCAATAAAGCAAATATTGCAATAAAACAAGTCACACAAATTCTGGGGGTTTCCCAGTGTATAGAAAAGTTGTGCTTACACATAGACACGAGGAGGGGAACAACACACACTGGGGCCTGTTGCTGGGGGAGGGGAGGAGGGAGAGCATCAGGAACATAGCTAATGCGTGTCGGGCTTAATACCTAGGCGATGGGTTGGTAGGTGCAGCAAATCACAATGGCACACATTTACCTATGTAACAAACCTGCACATCCTGCACATGTACCCTGGTACTTAAGAAGAGTTGTGTTTACACTATGCTGTAGTCTATTAAATGGGTAGGAGCATATGTCTTAAAAAAACAAACTACACACCTTAATTTAAAATACTTTACTACTAAAAAATGCTAATGATTATCTGAGCCTTCAGCAAGGGGTAATATTTTTGCTGCTGGAAGTTCTTGATATTGATAGCCACTGACTGATCAGGGTGGGGTTGCTGAAGGTTGGGGTGTCTGTGGCAATTTCTTAAAATAAGACAACACTGAAGTTTGCTGTATGGGTTGACTCTTCCTTTCACAAAAGATTTCTCTGTCACATGCAATGCTGCTTGATAGCATTTTACACACAGAACTTCTTTCAAAATTTGAGTCAGTCCTCTCATCCTACCACTGCTTTATCAAGTTTATGTAATATTCTAAATCCTTTGTTGCCATTACAATAATGTTCACAGCATCTTCACCAAGAGTAGATTCTATCTCAAGAAATCATTTTCTTTGTTCAACTGTAAGAAGCAATTCCTCATCTATTCAAGCTTTTTTACGAGATTGCAGGAATTCAGTCACATCTTCAGTCTCCACTTCTAATTCTAGTTCTCCTGTTATTTCCACCACATCTGCAATTACTTTCTCCACTGAAGTCTTAAGCCCTTCAAAGTCATCCAAGAGGGTTGAAATCAACTTATTCTAAACTCCTGTTAATGTTGATATTTTGACTTCCTCCCATGAATCACAAATGTTCTTAAAGGCATCTAGAATACTGAGTCCTTTCCAGAAGGTTTTCACTTTACTTTGCCCAGATCCATCAATAGAATCACTAGTTATGGTAGCTGTAGCCTTACAAGATGTATTTCTTGAGTAATAGACTTGAAAATAGAAATTACTTCTTGATCCATGGGCTGAAGAATGGATGTTATGTTAGTAGGCATGAAAACAACATTCATCTCCTTGCATATCTCTATCAGAGCTCCTGGATGACAAGGTGCATTGTTAGCAGAGATATTGTGAAAGGAATCTTTTTCTCTGAACGGTAGATCTCAACAGTAGGCTTAAAATATTTAGTAAGCCATGCTATAAACAGACATACTGTCATCCAGGCTTTGTTCCATTTATAGAGCACAAGCAGAGCAGATTTAGCATCATTCTTAAGGACCCTAAAATTTTTGGAATGGTCAGTGCGCATTGGCTTCAATTTAAAGTCACTAGTTGTATTAACGCCTAACAGGTTAATCTGTCCTTTGAAGCATTGAAGCCAGAGATTGACTTCTCTAACTAGGAAAGTCACAGATGACATCTTCCCATGTAAGGCTATAGTTTACATTGAAAATCTGTTGTTTAGTTTAGCCAGCTTCATCAATAATCTTAGCTAGATCTTCTGGATAACTTACTTCTCCATCAGCACCTGCTGCTTCACCTTGCACATTTATGTTATGGAGGTGGCTTCTTAAACCTCATGAACCCACCCCTGCTAGCCTCAGACTTTTCTTAATGCAGCTTTCTCACCTCTCTCAACTCTGGATTAGGCTTTGGCTTCAGGTAATGCAGCTGGTTGATCATCAGACCACTCAAACTTTCTTCATATCAGCAAGAAATCTGCTTCACTTTCTTATCATTCATGTATTCACTGGAGCAGCACTTTTAATTTCCTTCAAGGACTTTTTCTTTGCATTCACGACTTAGCTAACTGAGGCAAGAGGCCTAACTTTCAGCCTACCCTGGCTTTCAATAAGCCTCCCTCACTAAGCTTAATCATTTCTAGCTTCTGATTTAAAGTGAGAGACCTGTGACTCTTCTTTCACTTGAACACTTAGAGGCCATTGTAGGGTTACTAATTGGCCTAATTTCAATATTGTTGTATCTCAGGAAATAGGGAAGCCTGAGGGGGGAATGGCCAGGCAGTGGAGCAGTCAAAACACACACAACATTTATCAGTCAGGTTCACCATCTTATATAGGCATTGTTTGTGGTGCCCCAAAACAGTTAAAATAGTAACATCAAAGATCACTGATCACAGATTAACATAACCGATATGATAATGAAAAAGTTTAATATATTGTAAGAATTACCAAAGTGTGACAGAGACAGAAAGCACATGCTGTTGAAAAAATAACGCCGATAAAAACGGTTACCGCAAACCTTCGAAGAGTTTACAAACCTTTCTAAAAATCACTATACCTGTGAAGTGCAATGAAAAGACGTAACCCTGTTGTGGCAGAGGCAGAGTTTGAAATCAGATTGCTGTACCTCACTGCACACTTAAGTGTTCACCCAAGTCACTTGGAAAGGCACTGCTGATCACTGACTTTTGTAACAAATGCCCGGAAGCCAGACTGATCACCTAAATCAGGTAACCTAAGCCAGGTTCCCCAGTCTTCTGATTCCACGGTACATCACTAAATTCACAACAATATGTTTTCCCTCCAGCCAGCTATACACACACACACACACCACTTCTCCAGAACAGTTTTACATTCAGTGTCTGTAATCAAATAATGATAATAATAATGGCTAACTCTTGTGTGCTTACTATGTGCCAGGTGCTGTTCCAAACATTTTACCTGAATAAACCCATTTAATTCTCATTAACGATCCTCTGAGGCAGACCTTATGCCCGTTTTTCAGATAAGGGAACAGAGATGCCATAACACTGAGTAACTTGTCCACAGTCATACAGTTAATCAAGTGGCAGAGCTAGGATTCTAATCCAGTCTCCCTCCCATGCCCACAGTCTTTGCTTTTCTGCTTTACTACATCCCACAATGTGTCTGTTCATGTATATTCACAAAGCAGCCCTTTTCCATCCTCCATCAGCTTTCATTCTCTAGATGTCACATTAGGAATTTACCAAAGGGCATCAGAACTGCAGACTATTCTCAATGCCCATAATATGCTTAGCTGTCTTGTTTGGTTAATACATAGTAAGTGAAGTTTATTGGGAGCTATAGATTCAACTTTAATGATAACAACAACAAAAAGGTTCAGCAATTTACATCGGATTACTGACATGGAATTGAAATGAGACTTGTGTCTGTTGACAGATAGCTGCCAAGGAGGAGATGCAAGGATCATGACCTGGCAGTGAGTTGAAATGGAAGTGTTTGTATGTACAGTGTTTCTTCCCTGGCTTGTGGCCTCAGCTATAGGGCAGGATGTTGTCTCTACAGAGTCTGCATCCAGATAGTGTCTCACACATGCTCAGGGAAAAATTGGGCCAGTTGCAACATGGCAGTAGCCACTGTCTTCCCTTCACCTGGCTCTAGTACTCCTAATTCCGTTATACCCTTGCACATCACTTCTTCTGGCATCGCCTCTCCTACTGGCCTCCTCTCCCTTCTGTTGGGCACAGACTGATGGTGCCCACAGGGCATTTCTCCCGAGGCAATGGAGACTTTGACCATCAAAGCGACACCATATTCTGTTGGGAAGTGCAGAACGCCCCTCCTGCTGCCTGCATTGCTTCCTGGAGATGGGATCCTAAAGCAAGTTTGTTTATCCTCTGCTATTTCCCCCAGACTAATAACAAATAATTCTATCAGTTCTGCCTTAAAAATGTCCTCAATATAGGTTTCAAGTGTGAGTCCAGATAGAAGCTAGACCAGAAAATGAATATGGAGGTAGATACCACCAAACCTTAACCCTTCTCTCATAAGATCGTGCTACTGTTTCAATTATGTATTGCCACATAATGCTGTGTAAAAGCCACCCCCCAAATCAGTGACTTAACCTATAATACATATTTACTCAGCTCACAAGTCTGCAAGTTGGTGATGTAGTCTGGGTAGCTCTTCAGGTCTCAGCTGGGCTCACTCACGGGACTGGGGGATAGTTGGCTGTTGGTTGGGGCTGCACAGGTCTGGAGGTTGGCTGGGCTGACTCAGTTCTGCTCCACATTCTCCCTCCAGCAGGCTAGCCTGGGCATGGTTTCATGGCGAAGGCAGAGCTGCAGGAGCACAGGTGGAAAGGCCAAAATGCTTTCTCAAGTCCCTGTTGACTATCTCACAGGCTGGGCCTGCTACCATCTCACAGGCTGCGCCTGCTACCATCTCGCAGGCTGGGCCCAGCATCGGAGTGGGAGGGTTTTTCAGCATTACATGGTAAAGGGTAAAGAAGTAGGGATATTAATGTATTGCAGTTCTAATATGAATAGCCATTAGCTATTCTTCCATCAAGCTTATCGCTCTGGCTTCCTCTTCCTTGAGGATATGTTCTTTTCTTCTGAGGTTCCTGTCCCTCAAACAAATAGGCTTTTTTTTTGAGATGGAGTTTTGATCTTGTCACCCAGGCTGGAGTGCAATGGCACAGTCTTGGCTCACTGCAACCTCCGCTTCCTGGGCTCAAGTGATTCTCCTGCCTCAGCCACCTGAGTAGCTGGGATTACACGTGCCCACCACCACACCCAGCTAATTTTTTGTATTTTTAGTGGAGACGGGGTTTCACCATGTTGGCCAGGCTGGTCTCGAACTCCTGACCTCAGGTGATCCGCCCACCTCGGCCTCCCAAAGTGCTGGGATTACAGGCCAAATAGGCTCCTGACAGGCACATCTTCCAAATCTACATATGTTGCCGGATGTGTTTGACCCTCAGTGTGGGCACTGCTTAGCTTCAAATTGGTATCTAATCCCTCAGCTTTGCACCCTCTTCTTCAATTCTCCTCTCTTGTTTTGCTATAGAGGCAAATAGATTGGGTCCCAGTAGACTCACCCAGTGTCTGTCCTAATGAGACTATGCCTGGCCCCAGTGTATAACTGGGTTTCATTCAAATCTCCCCCTACGGCACCGAGCAGGGCTAGCTACAGATCTGACCAATGAGCAACACCAGGGTTCAGCTCAAGGGGCTGATAGGGAGAGTGTGATCCTACTTGACGCAGGTGAAAGCGCAAAGAGCAGGAAGCGGGGATGAAAACCTATTCATATGAGAAACAACAAGAGACGAGCTAACGGGGACAAATATTAACATCAAGGTGAGTTGCAGAGGGCAGAAGCAGGACCATTAAAGAGATGTCAGAGCATAGAGTCAGGGGACTGATTGAGGACAAGTACAGTGAAGTGGGTCTAGTGTTTTAAGATGCTGAATTACTGGGCCTTTGACATAAAGATTCCTCTCTGCTTCAGAGGTAAGCCAAGGGCAGGGGTCTAGGAATAAAATATCTGGGATGTTAAGGCTCCTTGGGAGGCCAGGACTTTGAGACCAGGCTGGGCAACATTGTGAGATCCCATCCCTACAAAAAAGTTAAAAATTAGCCAGGCATGGTGGTGTGCAAGCAACAGTTGTTCTAACTTCTGGGATTGCTCTGGGACCAAGGAACCCTGGGAACCTTTGGACTTGGAGTGATTCAGGCCCGAAGTGTTCCTTTTAGGAGCCGCTTTTCATCTCCCACTCCACCTGAAGGAAGGATTTGTTATGTTCACTTCCTTAAGAAGAGAGCACCAGGCCAGGCACGGTGGCTTATGCCTGTAATCCTAGCACTTTGGGAGGCTGAGGCGGGTGGATTGTGAGGTCAGGAGTTCAAGACCAGCCTGGCCAAGATGGTGAAACCCCATCTCTACTAAAAATACAAAAATTAGCCGGGCATGGTGGCACACGCCTGTACTCCCAGCTACTTGGGAGGCTGAGGCAGCACATTCCCAGAGAAGCTGTGTTATTTACTTTATATGCATTTTCTTGTTTAATGTTCCTACTAACACTGTAAGTCAGGTTGTAATGTTTTTATTTGCAGGTGAAGAAATTGAGGCTTAGAGATGTTAAGCAACTTGATGAATATCAGAACTGTGCTCTGAAGGCCGTGCTATTTCTGTACCACTTTATCACTCTGTCATATTTACCTTTTTATAGTGTCTGTCCTGCATGTAACTTCTACTTTACCCACTGTAGAGGGAAACTATCAGCCACATTGTACACTGTGGCCCTACCCCACTGGCCACAGCTAATTGGACCAAGGACATGCAGCCAAACCAGAGAAGGCCAGTCAAATTCTTCCCCAGGAATTTAGAATTTTCCTTTCGCTGTTGTGGTTATATAATCATTCCAAGTTTGATTCCAGCATTTTTTCCCTCTGTTCTCTTTTACCTAGCTACCTAAATTTCAATTTTATATGTTATTTTTATAGCTTATCTACTGTTATTTTTTATTTTAAGTCATTTTATTGGGATTTTATCCATTTTTTTCTCCTCTTTAGGTATACGTAATGACTAATTTTAGCCTTTATTTCTATCACTTAAAATGTATTTTTCTTAAATTTTAAACTTATTTCTGTTGGAATTAATTTTTGTTGTTGTTGTTGTTGTTTGTTTGTTTGTTTTTTGAGATGGAGTCTTGCTCTGTCACCCAGGCTGGAGTGCAGTGGCATGATCTTGGCCCACTGCAACCTCTGCCTCCTGGGTTCAAACGATTCTCCTGTCTCAGCCTCCCGAGTAGCCGGGATTACAGGCACCCACCACCACACCCAGCTAATTTTTATATTTTTAGTAGAGACGGGGTTTCGCCATGTTGGCAGGCTGGTTTTGAACTCCTGACCTCAGGTGATCTGCCCGTGTTGGCCTCCCAAAGTGCTGAGATTACAGGCATGAGCTATCGCACCCAACCAATATTTTGTTTTTAAACACTGTGTGACTTTCACTTTTTTTCTTACCATTAAGAGGTCCCAGATTTTTCTTCTAAAGAGCTCCACTACCACAAGACTCCTGCTTCTCCCCATCTCCCACTAACTCTATCCCAGAGCACAAGAAGTAACAATCTGATTCAGTGGTTTAGAAAGAGCATCACATGCCAGCCAGTCACTTCCTCTCCTCTTCTTCTCTAGCTGCAGAGCTCATGTTCTGAATCACTCCTGACCACGCCATGACTTTAGTGATAAAGATTCTGCTCTGTGGGTCAAGCCAGGGGTGGTCTGAAGCCTTTTATGACTGGGTAGGTAAGTCTGCCTGTTTCTGAGCTTCAGAATACAGAAGCCCCTTTGCCTAGAGATCTGAGTCACATTTTCCAGTATTGGCTTCTCCAGGAATAAGATGATATTTTGGTTTCCAGATTTCTTATCTTTTGCCTTACTTCTCAGTTGGTTCTTAATTGGGGCCTTGTTAAATGTTAACGACTGGCATGTTTGTGCAGAAACTTTGACAATGAAGTAGGAGGGAATTCAGGGATTAGAGTAGCACTTGGTAGAGGCTCACAGTGGGACTAGGGCATGTGTTTTTGGACATTAGCATGTGGCACTTGTCTCTTTGTCCTTGACAGCTTTCTGTAATTTCCATTAAGGCCCACTTTGGAATAGCTTCTGTGTTCAGCTGTCAAACATGATACAAGTTGAGCAATTTTTACTCCCGCTATTGTGTTTTGTCAGTTAGGCCCATCAACAATTAGGGTATTTTTCTCCTCTGGATGATAAACACTGATTTTTATCCAGGTCTAAGGCAGGTTGATCCAGAAATATCATGACCTTTCCGTATCAACATTCCCTCTGTGGCTCTAATTCTCCCACATACTAATTATACTTATCAGTCCTGAAGATGCAGATTATAGCTTTACCTATAGAAATGTGGTGGACTTTATTATCAGATAAGAAGAAAAGGGGCTGGGCGCGGTGGCTCACACCTTGTAATCCCAGCACTTTGGGAGGCCGAGGCGGGCGGATCACGAGGTCAGCAGACAGAGACCATCCTGGCTAACACGGTGAAACCCCATCTCTACTAAAAATACAAAAAATTAGCTGGGCATGGTGGCGGGCACCTGTAGTCCAAGCTACTGGGGAGGCTGAGGCCGGAGAATGGGTTGAACCCGGGAGGCAGAGTTTGCAGTGAGCCGAGATTGCGCCACTGCACTCCAGACTGGGCAACAGAGCAAGATGCCGTCTCAAAAAAAAAAAAAAAAAGAAAAGAAAAGGGATGTTCTACTTAACTAGTAAAAAGGCTGTATTTCATATGTCCTAGTGTTGGAAATTAGGGTGACCCAAAAACTATTCAAGGATCTAAAGTAGAGACAGAAGCACTGCAGAATAGTTTAAATGGTTTCGATGAGTGGTTCTCAGATCTCCCTGTTCATTAGAATCTAGACAACTTTTTTTTTATGGTATGTCTGGTCCTAACCCCTACATTTTGATTGAATTTACTGGGGATAGGCTAGGGCCTTGGGCCTTGATATGTTTTTAAAGCCCCCAAATGATCCTAAGGTACATCCATGATTGAGAAAAAGTCTTTAGATAAACAGAGAATGGTGCCTTAGGCAATATTGGGCGATAAAATAGGGAAGTACTGACTGTGAGTGTCTTGTTCCAATAAAGCCACCCCTCTTTTTCATCTGAGTTTGAAACAAACTGAGGCATAAAACAAGGATTAGAACAAATGACAGCCAATATATGATCTGAGCTGTAAAATGTTAAGTTATAGTATGCTACTTAGGATGAGGGCCTATAGAATCTACTAAATGAACCCCAAAGTAATCAGATATACCTACCTATTCCAAAAATAGCTGAACTACCACAACCTCTTGCTACAGGGACAGAGCCTATAACATTGAGCTTACCACAGGGTTCAGGGCACTCAAACACACATTTTCTGCAGGCTGCCCAGCTTCTAAGTGGGAGAGGGGGCTGTGATACACATGCCCAGTTTCTAAGCCAACTCACAAGTCAGGTAATTCCATCCACCTATCCAACTAGCCAGAAATGTTTAGAGAAAATCCCTCCTTATAGAAACTAGAAGAATGGGAAGAGGTATTTCTCTAATTCTGGAGAATGAAGATGAGGAACATATAACACTTCAGAGAAGACTCAAGTTTTCAGAGGCCAAAATACACCTATATGAAAGGGAAAAAGGACTATATATAAGACATATTCTTTATAACTGCTTTTTAAGTTTACATCAATGTGATAAACCAAGAAAAAGCAATACATGGAGTAATGACTATAAAGCAAGAAATGGGCTGAGCGTGGTGGCTCACACCTGTAATCCCAGCATTTTGGGAGGCCAACGTAGGTGGATCACATGAGGTCAGGAGTCCGAGACCAGCCTGGCCAACATGGTGAAACCCTATTTCTACTAAAAGTACAAAAATCAGCTATGAGTGGTGGCAGGTGCCTGTAATCCCAGCTACTCAGGAAGCTGAGGCAGGAGAATTGCTTGAACCTGGGAGGTGGAGATTACAGTGAGCTGAGATCACGCCATTCACTGCCCTCTACCCTGGGTGACAGAGCGAGACTCAGTCTCAAAAACAAAAACAAAACAAAACAAAAGCAAGAAATAAAACTGTGTTTATGTGCAGAAAACAAGAGAGAATATGTAGAAAATCCCAAGAATCTGTAAAAAAAAACAACCAAAAAACTAATAGAACTTATAAGCAAATTTACCAAGGTCATGGGATAGAAAGTCAACATACAAAAATCAATTATGTTTCTATGTACCAGGAACAATTATTAAATATAGCATTTAATATTAAAACTATAAAAAGCAGTGCCATTTACAATGCCTTCAGAAAGTACAAAATACTTATAAAGTATTTTAACAAAAGATATGCAAGACTTTTATACTGAAAACTACAAAACATTGTATGTAAAAAATAAAGACCTAAATAAATGGAGTTATACCATATATTGTTAAACTATCCATTCGTGCTAAATTGATATATACATTCAATGTAATTCAAATAAAAATCCCAGCAGGGCTTTTTGTCAAAATTGACCAGCTTATTCTAAAATTATACAGAAATCCAAAAGTCCTAGAATAGCCAAAACAAAGAGAAGAACAAAGTTGGACAACTTATACTATCTGATGTGTAAAATAGAGTCATCAAATCACTGTGGAATTAGCATTATGTTACATAGTTCAGTGGAACCAAAGAGTCTAGAAATAGACTTACATGTAAAAGCATGGTCAATTTATTTCCAACAAAGGTACTGAGGTAATTCAGTGGGGAAATAAAAGTTGTTTTCTGCAAACTAAAAATAAACCTTGACCTTTACTTCACACCATACATAAAAATTATTTCAAAACGTATCATAGCCTGGGTGCAGTGGCTAATCCCTGTAAACCCAGCACTTTGGGAGTCCAAGGCAGGAGGATCACTTCAGGCCAGGAGTTCAAGACCAGGCTGGCCAATACAGTGAGATCCCATCCCTACAAAAAAGTTAAAAATTATCCAGGTACGGTGGCATGCACCTATAGTACTAGCTACTTAGGAGGCTTAGGTGGGAGGATCACTTGAGCCCAAGAGTTTGAGGCTACAGTGAGCTATAATCACAACACTACACTCCAGCCTGGATGCCAGAGCAAGACTCTGTCTTAAATAAATAAATAAATAAATAAAGTACCATAGACCTAGACATACAGGCTAAAACCTTAAAGCTTTTGGAAGAAAATATAGGTGATATGGTTTGGCTGTGTCCCCAGCCAAATCTCATGTTAAACTGTAGCTCCCATAATTTCCATATGTCATGGGAGGGACCCAGTGAGAGGTAATTGAATCGTAGGGGTGGGTCTTTCCCATGCTCTTCACATGATAGTAAATAAGTCTCACAAGATCTGATAGTTTTATAAAAAGAAGTTCCCCTGCACATGCACTCTGGCCTGCCACCATGTAAGACATGACTTTGCTCCTGATTTGCGTTCCGCCGTGATTGTGAGGCCTTCCCAGCCATGTGGAACTGTGAATCAATTAAACCTCTTTCCTTTATAAATTGCCCAGTCTCAGGTATGTCTTTATTAGCATGTGAGAATGGACTAATACAATAGGAAAATATCTTCATAATTTCTTAGGCCATAAAAAGCACTAACCCCAAAAGATAAAATTGATCAATTGGACTTCATTAAAATTAAACATTTTTGCTCCTCTAAAGAAAGATACATTAGAAAAATAAAAAGATAGACTAAAAAACATTCATAATACATATCTGTGACTGTATTAGTCTGTTCTCATGCTGCTGTAAATTACTGCCCAAGACTGGGTAATTTATAAAGGAAAGAGGTTTAATTGACTCACAGTTCCTGAGGGCTGGGGAGGCCTCAGGAAACTTACACTCATGGCAGAAGGGGAAGCAAACATGTCCTTCTTCACATGGCTGCAGGAAGAACTATGAGCAAAGCAGGGAGAAACCCCTTATAAAACCCCTTTAAAAAGTCAGATCCTGTGAGAACTCACCATCATGAGAACAGCATGAGGGTAACTGCCTCCATGATTCAATTACCTCCTACCCGGTCCCTCCCAAGACATGTGGGCAGTATGGGAACTACAATTCAAGATGAGATTTGGGCGGGGACATAGCCAAACCATACCATTCTGCCCCTGGCCCCCTCCCAAATCTCAAGTCTTCACAGCTCAAAACACAATCATGCCCTTCCAACAGTCCCCCAAAGTCTTAAGGCATTCCAGCATTAACTCAAAAGTCCAAGTCCAAAGTCTCATCTGAGACAAGGCAAGTCCCTTTCACCTATGATCCTGCAAAATAAAAAACAAGTTAGTTACTTCCTAGTAACTAACGGGTATAGGCATTGGGTAAATACACCTGTTCCAAATGGGATAAATAGGCCAAAACAAAGGGGCTACAGGACCCATGCAAGTCCAAAATCCAACAGGACAGTCATTAAACCTCAAAGTTCCAAAATGATCTCATTTGATTCCATGTCTCACATCCAAATCACACTGATGCAAGAGGTGGGCTCCCACAGCCTTGGGCAGCTCCATCCCTGTGGCTTTTCAGGTATAGCACCCCTCCTGGCTACTTTCACAGTTGGCATTGAGTGTCTGCAGCTTTTCCAGGTGCATGGTGCAAGCTGTCAGTGGATTCTGGAGTCTGAAGAATGGTGGTCCTCTTCTCACAGTTCCACTAAGCAGTGCCTCAGTGGGGACTCTGTGTGGGGGCTCCAGCTCCATGTTTCCCTTCTGCCCTGCCCTAGCAGAGGTTCTCCATGAGAGCCCCATCCCTGCAGCATACTTCTGCCTGGACAGCCAGGGGTTTCCATACATCCTCTGAAATCTAGGTGGAGGCTCCCAAACCTCAACTCTTGACTTCTGTGCACCCCAGGCCCAACACCATGTGTAAGCCACCAAGGGTTGGGGCTTGCACCCTCTGAAGCAACACCCTGAGCTGTACCTTGGCACCCTTTAGCCACAGCTGGAGCTGAAGCAGCTGGAACTCAGGGCATCATGGCCTGAGGCTGCATAGAGCCGGTTGGGGGCCCTGGGCCTAGCCCATGAAACCATTTCTCCCTCCTGGGCCTCTGGGCCTGTGATGGGCCTGTGATGGGAGGGGCTGCCATGAAGGTCTCTGACATGCCCTGGGGACATTTTCCCCATTGTCTTGGTGATTAACATTCGGCTCCTTATTGCTTATACAAATTTCTGAAGGTGGCTTGAATTTCTCCCCATAAAATGGATTTTTCTTTTCTATTGTATTGTCAGGCTGCAAAGTTTCCAAACTTTTATGCTCTGCTTCCTCTTGAACGCTTTGCCACTTAGAAATTTCTTCCACTAGATACACTAAATCATCTCTCTCAAGTTCAAAGTTCCACAGATCTCTAGGGCAGGGGTAAAATGCCACCAGTCTCTTTGCTAAAGCATAGCAAGAATCACCTTTATTTCAGTGCCCAAAAAGTTTCTCATCTCCAAGACCACCTCAGCCTGGACTTCATTGTCCATATCACTATCAGCATTTTGGTCAAAGCCATTCAGCAAGTCTCTAGGAAGTTCCAAACTTTCCCACATTTTCCTGTCATCTTCTGAGCCCTCCAAACTGTTCCAACCCCTGCCTGTTACCCAGTTCCAAAATTGCTTCCACATTTTTTGGTATTGTAAGTTGGCTGTTGTCTCTAGAGGTAATCTCCTGGTGGAAGAGGTTTCTGCTCTGGAGCTTCTAAGCACATCATTAGATAGCTTGCCCTGTAGGGGTGTGCAGAAGCACCCCACTCTCTGCAGTACCAATTTAATGTATTAGTCTATTCTCACACTGCTATAAAGAACTGCCAGAGACTGGATAATTTATAAAGGAAAGAGGTTTAGTTGACTCACATTTCCACAGGACTGGCAAAGCCTCAGGAAACTCACAATCATGGTGGAAGGGGAAGCAAACATGTCCTTCAAATGGTGGCAGGAAGGAGAAGTATGAGTGAAGGTCGGGGAAATCCCCTTATAAAACCATCAGATCTTGTGTGAACTCACTGTCATAAGAAAAGCATGAGGGTAAGCACCCCCATGATTCAATTACCTCCCACTGGGTCCCATGACATGTACGGATTATGGGAACTACAATTCAAGATGAGATTTGTGTGGGGACACAGACAAACCATATCAGTGACAATAGACTTCTGTACCAAATTTATACAGAATTCTCATAATAAGCAATTTAAAATGGTCAAAAGATTTGGAGAGACACGCCACAAAAGAAGATATAAATGTTCACTAAGCACATGAAAAAGTGTGCAACATCATTAATCAGCATCAGAAAAATGCAAATTAAAATCATAAGTTAACCCTCACACCTACCAAAATGGCAAAAATGGAAAAGATTTACCATACCAAGTATTGGATAGGAAATGGAGTAACTGAAATTTTCGTACACTGCTGGCAATGTAAAATGACACAATGTAAATGGATATGAAAAGGAGGATAGGAAAACCGATGCAAAATACTCAAGGCATTATTGGCAGGTTTTAAGGTGATTTGGTATTACAGAAAATGCAAATATCACTCTGGGCTATGAGAGAACATAGTAAGAAATTAGTAGGATTAGGATGCTAAGCGATTGTAACCCAGTATCCCCATTTTTCTAAGAGAAAGAGAATTAATGTTTTAAAAATTATTATTTTTCTTCTTTTCTCTTTCCTCCTTTTCCCCACTTCCTACTTAACTCTTTATAAATGCAGTTATGACCCTTTACCTTCCCTTCTTCAAACACTCCCTACAGGGCAAGCTATCTAACGATGTGCTTAGAAGCTCCAGAGTAGAAACCTCTTCCACCAGAAGATTGCCTCTAGAGACAAGAGTTAACTTACAACCCATGGTATGCCCGCTATGAAACTCTCTCCCACCTGGAGAATATCTGAAGACAAGGGTCACTTTTATAACCTAGTTCTGACTGCAAAGGCGCCAGTTCAACCACCCAGTGGCACCAAAGCAAGTCATGGGCCCCCCACCTGCTTGCCGTTTCCTCTGTATGCCATTCATGCCAAGTCCCTCCTTTAAAAGCCCCTGCTTTGTGCCTTAGAAGCAAGGTGTTTCCCTTAAATCTGGAAGCCTGTATTTCTCCCCCTAACCTAGCTTTGGAATAAAAGTTACTTTCTTTATACTAGATCTTACTCTTGTTAATTGGACTCTGCAAATGCTGAGCAACTGAACCTGTGTTTCCATTACAGGATGACTCAAACTAGAGGGAAGACAGGCAGATCTGGGCTAGATGTGGGACTGAGAGAAACCTATGCCCTGTATGTATTAACGAGGGTGAAAGTTAAGTTGCTGTAAAAAAAAGATTCAATAATATTCCTACTAAAAGATACAGAACTTCATTTTTCTCTCCTGATACAGGCAATCCAGATATGAGAGCTAAACTGCTTCATGTAGTCATTCAGGCTCTCAGGTTCCTTTCTTCTTACTATTCTCTAAGTTGTTATCATCATCTGCATGGTCAAAGTTGGGTTGCTGTCATATCAACATTTCAGCTAGGGAGAAGAGGAGCAAGTTTATGTACATTCAATGAATTATGCATCATATCTGGAAACAGAATCATCATTTCTACTCACAGTTCATTGGCAAGAACTTAGTTACATCACTACACCTAAATGCAAGTGAGTCTGAGAAATCTAGTTTTACTGGGAAAACAGGTAACCAGCTCAAACTCTATTTCTTTAGAAGAAAGGAATAACAGATTTTGGGGGGCCCCTTGCAGTATCTGCCACACTTTAGATAAAATTCAGAAAGAGAAAGCCAGACTGTCTCTACTGACTGAATAATGGAGGCTGTTGGCAGTCCTAGAATTTTCACTTTTGTAAATTTTACTTCTGTCTTTCTGTAGGTGACTCCACTAGGCTAAATTTGGAGAAATAAATTGGAAACACAAATATGTATTTATCTGTGAACTGAGAGAAGATAGGGCTAGCCTGTAGTTCAGAATAAGAAACAGATACATAGCTCATGCCTAGCTACATGCCTATAGTTTAGAACAAAGAATAGATGATAGATGATAGATAGATGATAGATAGATAGATAGATAGATGATAGATAGATAGATAGATAGATAGATAGATAGATAGATAGATGATAGATAGATAGATCAGAGCAGCCCCAAGGGAAATGCAAGGGCAATGGCAAAGATAGAGAGATAGACAGATTTGGGTTGATAAAATTTTAGAAACTCCAGGAAACCAAAGGCAACCAAACATGATTAGATGAGACCAGAGCCCTCTTGAGAGGTCAAATGATGACATTATTCACGTTGTAAAGCCACAAGCTCTGCCACCAGGATTGCCTGCAACAGGAGAAAGCAGAATTTATAGAAATGGTTAAGACTCCGACTAAAAGAAAAAATATCCTGGTACGAGTTATTCTGTCACCAGGACAATTGCAGAACAATTGGAACTCTGAAAACAGGCAGGCCTGTAACCTTTAGTAGCGATACTCTCCAGAGTCAGGGCAGTCAACTTTTGCTCCAAGACCTGGTCAATAATCTGGGTCTACAGCTGTAGATATTGGTCTAGGGCTTCATCTAGCATGAGTAGATGCTGAACCGTCCACAAGATACCCAGGGAAAAGGTCACAGGCAGCATCTTTAGCCTGGTTCCTGGCACTGGGTTGGCACCCATTGACTTCCAACAAACTATCAGAAAGAAAACTGCACTGTGTGCTCCTGCCTTAAGTCTCTCACAGTTTTACATCCAAAAGTTTGTTGTACAACTTTAATCAAATAATCTTTTTTTTTCAGTCTCTAGAAAGAGTCATGCAAATTTTATCTTTTCTGTAAAATACATCCATGACTTTTTTTTTTTTGAGACAGAGTTTTGCTCTTGTTGCCCAGGCTGGATGGAGTGCAGTGGCGCGATCTCGGCTCACTGCAAACTCCGCCTCCTGGGTTCAAGCGATTCTCCTGCCTCAGACTCCCGAGTAGCTGGGATTACTGGTGTGCACCACCATGCTCAGCTAATTTTTTGTTCTTTTAGTAGAGATGGGGTTTCATCATGTTGGCCAGGCTGGTCTAGAACTCCTGACCTCAGGTGACCCACCCGCCTTAGCCTCCCAAAGTGCAGGGATTATAGGCATGAGCCACTACACCCAGCCAAAATATATCCATGACTTTTTAGATGTCAAAACAATTTTTTAAATTAAAATAGCTTTATTTTTCTAATTATAAAAGTAATACAGGCATATTGTAGAAAAATTCAGAATGCATGTAAAATCATAAGAAGAAAGTGAAAATCACTTTTAATCCCACAACCTCAAAATAATTACTATTATCAACATTTTCATTATATTCTTCCAGTTTTGTCCTTGCATAATTATATTTTATGTATTTATATATATATTCATTCATACAAATGAGACTTCCATATCATAATTTTATCTTTCTATATTAATAACTGTAGACCTAAGTCTTATGGTTTATTGGCTACATGGTATTTTATTGTATGTCTATATCATAACTTATCCAACTAACCTCCTACTGTTACACATTTCCAGTTTTCTTACATTATAGACAAACCAGTAACAATCATCTATACATATAACTTCAATTATTTCCTTATGATACATTTCTAGAAATAGAAAAAAAATGGGTCAAAATGACAAACATATTGAACTTAGATATATTTAAATGTGTATATTAATTAACCTCTTCCATATTATGCTTGAACTTCCTGATGGTTACGTCAGTTTGTATTTCTTATATCAATGTGTGGATATTCATTTGCTTCTAGTCTTATTAATTCTGGGTAAAAATAATTATTGAAATTTGTCCATCTGACAGGTAAAAGGATATACCCCTATTGTTTAATTTGCATTTCTTTGCTTACTAGTGACATTGATCTTTTCATATAGTTATTGGCAATTTTTAGTTCTTACTATATTCGTTGCCTAATTTTCTATTAGCATTTACCTCTGATTAATGAGTTATGTATTACTATCTTTGATCCCTTATCTATTATGTGAATTTAAAATATATTCTCCAGTTTGCCAGTTGCCTTTGTGTGTGTGTGTGTGTGCATACGTGTGTGTGTTGTTTGACTGTTATACCAATATTTTAAAAATGCATATAATCAAATTGATCATTCATTTCCTTCCTATTTTCTAGCATTATTCTCAACTCTAATATTATAAAATCACTGAGCTTTCTACTTCACTTTTTTTCTTTTTGCACACTAATCCTTAACTCATTTGGAATTTATTTTATAGAAATGAAGGAAGTTGATATGTAACATTTCTCACTAAATATCTAGCCAATAATTTACACTTTTTTTCACTGAATTAAAATGTTACCTTTAACACATACTGATTTTTAAAATATATTTAGATATAATTACTTACTCTTTCTGTTTCATTACGTATTTTTTCCTCCCATTCCCTTTATTATTAGTAGCATTGTTGCTTTGGTAAGAACACAATACAAGATCTATTCTTTTAGCAATTTTAAGTGTGCAACACAATATTGTTAACTATAGGCACTACGCTACAGAGTCGATCTCCAGAACTTACTCATCTTGCATAACTGAAAGTTCGCAGCCTTTAACCATCACCTCTCTAGTTCTCCCTTCCACAAGCCCCTGCCAATTACCATTCTACTCTCTGCTTTTATGAATTTGACTATTTTAGATTCTACATATAAGTGAGATCATATAGTATTTGTCTTTTGGTGTCTGGCTTATTTCACTTAACATAATGTTAAGTGAACATTAAGTTAACATAATCCACCCATAGATTTCCTTCTTTTTATGGCTGAATACTATTCCACTATATGCCATATGCCATAGTGTCCTTATCCATTCATCTGTTGATGGACATTTAGGTTGTTTCCATATCTTGGCTATTGTGCATAATGTGATGAGCCTGGGAGTGCAGGTGTCTCTTTGACATTCAGATTTCATATCCTTTGAATGGATATGAAATGGAATTGCTGAATCATATGAGTTTTATTTTTAATTTCGGAGGGAACTTCCATACTGTTTTCCATAGTGGCTGTACTAATTTACGTTCCCAATAAGAGTGTAAAAGAGTTCCTTTTTCTTCACATCCTTGTCAACTTTTGTTATCTCTTGTCTTTTTTTTTTTGTTTTCTGATTTTTTTTAAGAGAGCTGTGGCATGATCATTATTTTTAATTGCACTGTCACTGCATAGCCATCCTAACAGGTGTGAGGTGATATCACATTGTGATTTTGATTTGCATTCCTGATGATTAGTGTTGTTGAGCACCTTTTCTTGTACCTTTTGGCCATTTGCATATCTTCTTTGGAAAAATGTCTATTCAAGTCCTTTGCCCACTTAAAAATCAGATTATTTTTCTGCTTTTAAGTTGTATGAGTTCCTTATATATTTTAGGTGTTAACCCCTTATCCAATATATGGTTTGCAAGTATTTTTTCCCAAATCGTATGTTTTTCATTTTTTTTCTGTGCAAATGTTTTTTAGTTTGATGTAATCTCGCTTGTTTATTTTGCTTTTGTTACCTGTACTTTTGGTGTCATAGCCAAAAAATTCTTGCCAAGACCAATGTCAAGGAACTTTTTCCTATGTTTTCTTTCACAGTTTTAGATCTTACATTTAATTCTTTAATCTATTTTGAGTTGATTTTTATGTATAGTGTAAGGTTAGGGTCCAATTTCATTCTTTTGCTTGTAGATGTACAGTTTTCTCAGCACCATTTGTTAAAGAGACTATCCTTTTCCCATTATGTATTCTTGGTGCCCTTGTCAGAAATTAGTTGGCCATATATGTGTGGGTTTAATTCTGAATTCTCTATTTTGTTTCAGCTTTGTTCTTCTTACTCAAGATTTTTTGGCTATTTGGGGTCTTTTGTGGTTCCATATGAATTTTAGGAGTCTTTTTATATTTCTATGAAAAATTCTACTGGAATTTTGATAGAGGTTGCATTGAATTTGTAGATCACTTTGGATAATACAGACATTTTAACAATATTGATTTTTCTAGTCTGTGAATATGGGTTATCTTTCCATTTATTTGTGTTGACTTTAATTTCTTTCATCAATGTTTTATAGTTTTCAGTGTAGAGATATTTCACCTCCTTAGTTAAATCTATGCCTAAATATTTTATTCATTTTGATACTATTGCAAATGGAATTGTTTTCGTAATTTCTTTTTTTTGATAGATCATCGGTAGTGTATATTATGCAACTGATTTTTGTATGTTGATTTTATATTTCTCTACTGAATTCATTTATTAGTTCTAACAGTGTGTGTAGTCTATGTATAAAATTATGTCATCGGCAAACAAAGACAATTTTACTTCTTATTTTCCAATTTAAATGTCTTTTATTTCTTTTTCTTGCCTAATTGCTCTGGCTGGGACTACCAGTACGATGTTAAATACAAGTGGTGAGAGTGGGCATTCTTGTCTTCTTCCTGATCTTAGAGGAAAAGTTTTCAGCTTTTCACTGTTGAGTATGTTAGCTTTGGGCTTATCATGTATGATTTTTATTACCATATATGATGTGGCACATTCTTTCTATACCTAATTTATTGAGAGTCTTTAGCATTAAAGAATACTGAATTTTGTTAAAATTTTTCTGCATCTACTGAGATGATCATATGATTTTTATCCTTCATTATGTTGAGGCTGTGAGGGCTGTTAGGGTCCTCAGCTGCACCTCTGGGTCCAGTGGCCAGGGGCCAGGGCCAGTGGTGTGCACACGCTATGCTATGATAGCTGGCTGCAGGCACATCTATGACAGCTGAGGCCAGTTGCAGGCTCATCTCATGCATGGTGGCAAGAACTGGGGTAAGAGGAAGGGCCTGGGACCAACTATGAGTGCACAGATGGCAGGGTGGGCTGGCAGATTGCACATGCATAAGTGCAGGGGCCAAGTGCACGCTGGTGAAGGGGGTTAGAGGCTGTCTGTATGTGTGTAGAAGGGTGCATCTGGGAGGCACACTGGATATGTATGTGCACGTACAGCTGCAAGGGCCAGCTGTGGGTGCAAACATAGTAATGGGGGAAAGAGCCAGGGGGCAGGGCCAACTGCTTATGCATGTACAGCTGTGGAGCCAGGGCTGACAGCATGTAGTAACCTGGCTGCAGTGGTTAGCCTAGGGTACACATGGCAGTGGGATAGGGTCCTGTGCTGGGGGTGCCTGGGAGCTGTTTGCAGGCACACATGTAGTAGCTGTGCTGTGTCCCAGGGCCAAATCACCCATGGAGGCAGCAGCTAGTAGAGAATGCAAAGGCCACTAGGGTGAGACCCTGGGCTAGGGGTATCATGGCAGGAGCAGCTCAGGTGGTTTGAGGGAGGGATGATGGAGAGGAGTGGTGGGTCAAGCACCCAGAGACTGCCAAGGCTTTTGGGCTGGATATCCAGATGGAGCCACTGCAGCAGCAACAGTCTTGTGGCTCTAGGTGGCAGCTCAGGTGGCTTCAGGGAGGTGAGAAGGAAAGGAGCGGTGGGTCAGCCATCCACAAACTGCCAAGACTGCTGGGCTTGGTCCCTTGGCCAGGGCAATTGCAGCAGTCTACTATATATCACATTGATTGATTTGCGTATGTTGAACCATTCCACTTGATCATGGTGTATGATTCTTTCAATGGGCAGTTGAATTCAGTTTGCTGGGATTTTGTTGAGGATTTTTGCATCAGTATTAATTAGGAATATTGGCCCATGCTCTCCTTTTCTTGCAGTGTCCTTGGCTGGCCTTGGTAGCAAGGTAATGCTGGCCTCATTGAATGAGTTTGGATGTGTTCCTTCATTTTTAATATTTTAGAAGAGTTTGAGAAGAATGGGAATTAATTCTTTAAAAATGATTGGTAACATTGAAACAATCTGGTCTTGGGCTTTTGTTTTTTTTTGGAAATTTTTGATTACTGATTAAACCTACTTACTCATTACTGGTCTGTTTATATTTTCTCTTTCTTCATGGTTCATTCTTGGTAGGTGTATATTTCTAGGAATTTATCTATTTCTTTTAGGTTATCCAATTTGCTGTCATATAAGTGTTCATCATAGTCTCTTATGATCCTTTGTATTTCTATAATTTCAATAGTAATGTCTCCTTCACGTATAATTTTGTTTGGGTCGTCTCTTTCTTAACTTAGTTAAAGTTTGTCAATTTTGTTTATCTTTTCAAAAAACCAGCTTTTAGTTTTTTTCTTTGTGATTACCATGAGGTTTGCATAAAACATTTTATAGTTGTAATGGCCTATTTTAGTTGAAAACTTAATTTTGATTGCATACAAAATCCTTACACTTTTATTCCCCCAAATTTTATGTTATTAGGGTCACAATTTACAGCTTTTTACATTGTGTAACCATTAACAAATCACTGCATATTTTAATATTTTTGTCTTTTAACCTTATATTAGAGTTAAAAGTGATTTATGCACCACCATTACAATATTAGAATATTCTGAATTTGACATTAAACTTATCCGTGAATTTTATACCTTTATATGTTTTCACAGTGCTGATTAGTGTCCTTTTGTCTCAACTTGAAGAGCTCTTTTTAACACTTCTTATAAAGCAGATCTATTTGTGATAAAGTCTCTCAGCCTTTGCTTGTCTAAGAAGGTCTATCTCTTCTTCATTTTTGAAGGACAATTTTGCCAGGTATAGTATTATTGGTTTGCAGTTTTTTCTTTCAGCAATTTGAAAATATCATCCCACTGTCCCGACCTGCTGAGAATCTGCTTATCATCTTAATGGGGTGGGGGGCGGTTCTATTCTATGTGATGTCACTCTTCTCTTGCTGCTTTCAAAATTCTCAGTTTGTCTTTGACTTTTGACAATCTGATCATAATGTGTCTCAGTGAAGACTTCTTGATGCTCAATTATTTGGAGTTCTTTGGGCCTCATAGATATGGATATTCATTTTCCTCTCCAGATTTGGGGGACATTCTGTCATCTTTTTTTTTCTTTCGTTGGGGAAGATGGAGTCTTACTCTGTCGCCCAGGCTGGAGTGCAGTGGCGCGATCTCGACTCACTGGAATCTCTACCTCCTGGGTTCAAGCAATTCTCCCGCCTCAGCCTCCTGAGTAGCTGGGATAACAGGTGTACACCACCATGCCCAGCTAATTTTTTGTATTTTAGTAGAGACAGGGTTTCATTGTGTTGCCCAGGCTGGTCTCAAACTCCTGAGCTCAGGCAATCCACCCACCTCGGCCTCCCAAAGTGTTAGGATTACAGGCGTGAGCCACCATGCCAAGCCCATTTTCTTTCAATAAGCTTTCCACTCCTTTCTTCTGCCCTGATCCTTCTAGAATTCCTGTAATGCATATATTGATTCATTTGATAATGTCCCATAAATTCTGTCAGTTTTCTTAAGTCTTTCTTTTTGTTCCTTGAACTGGATAATTTTAAATGATCTGTCCTAGAGTCTGCTGATTCTTTCTTCTGCTTGACTGAGTCTACTGTTAAAGCTTTCTATTGAAATTTTCACAAATTTTATTCCTTAGCTCCAGAATTTATGTTTGGTTCTTTTTTTATGATTCCCATCTTATTATTGAACCTCTCATTTTGTTCATGTACTGTTTTCCTGATTTCATTTAGTTGTTTCTCTGTGTACTTTTGTAGATCACTGGGCTTAAGATGATTATTTTCAATTTTTGTCAGGCAATTCATAGATCTACATTTCTCTGGGGTCAGCCACTGAAGCTTTATTTTGTTCCTTTGGTGGTATCATATTTCCTTGATTCTTCATATTCATTGAAGCTTTGCATTGCTATCTTTGCATTTGAAGAAGCAGTCATGTCTTCCAGTCTTTACTTCACCAGTGAGCCTGGCTAAAGATCTTGGGTGTCTCTTATCTGTTTTTTTTTATGGATGTACCCACACTGCTCCTCTTGTGCCCTCTTAGAGGACAAGCCTTAGGATTGTGTATCTTCTCTTCATCCTGCAGAGCTACATTTTGTATTGAAATTCTCCTGTTTATTTTCCCTAGGGCAGTGTCCTGAAATATCAAGATTGTGGCGGTTCACCCAAGCCAGTGAAGTTGAGATGATTGCTAAAAATCCACACCTTCTGTTGAGATCCTTGTGCTGTCTGTGAGAACTCATGCAGGCTGTACACAGGGATGCATACGGTACCATCCCATGGGGAGCTGCATGAGGTGCTCAGGAAGTGTGTTGGCTGGTTCAGGGGAGTCCTCGAGTGAGTCGTCCTGGAGCAGTCTTGGGAGGGCTGCTTGGTAGAATTTATGTGTTAGTTCACAAGATCCATGACTGGCTGTTGAAAACTGTGTGCCAGTTGTTCTGCACTTCCTCCCCTTCTCCTGGCTTCTAGCTGTCCACAGACAATTCAGTCATGCTGATCCCCTTAGTGTTCTAGGTGGGGCAGATAGAAGTGGGCCTCCTAGGCAGCATTTTGCAAGGACGGGGAAGCCGAGCACTGACTTCATTCTCCCTTTCCCCTATGGAAGAAGTCATGGGCCAAGGGGGCCTCTCTTGGCATCAAGCTGTGCCACTTTGGGGGAGCGGTGATGCAGATAAAGTGAAACTGTTTTTATCCTTTTAAATGTGTTTATGCACAGACTATTTGCTCCACCAGGGTGCTGGGACCTCAGCTAGGCTCTGGGGCTCCCCCAAAGTTATTCTCATCTGTGGGCAGTTGCCAAACCCTGTATTCTGTTGGGGGATGAGAGCTGGAACCTCCTATTTTCCCATCTTGCTAACATCACTCTCTCAAGTCTTCTTAAAGCTGTCTTTTCACATTCTTCTCTGCAAAATCCCAGTTATCACAGCAACTATTCCTCTGATCTTCTGATCTCTCAAACTCTACAAACTGCTTTCATCTGCCTGGCTGTTTCTCTTTTTTTCTGGTCTCCTAGATCCTTTCTTCTTTAGGTGATTTCATACATTTTTTAAGTAAGAAATTAATCTGATTCACTCTAATCCCAAGAGAAGAATCATGGCTGACTGAACAACTAAAGAATCACTCTATCTTTAAAGGCAGAAGGAAAAAGCAATATTGCAGACCTGTATTAGTTACTCTCTCTATTTCAATACTTGTTACACTATTTATTTCCAGAGTGCTCTCCCTACCTTCCTGGTAGAGTCGAAGAAGGACACTCACAGTGCACAGCTCTCTTCTGTCATCATGAGAGCCACTGCTGCCAGAGCAATGACCAGGGCTGTATCTCATCAGTCCTCCCTGAGTTGCAGTTCTAGGGATGATCATCTTCCCCAGTTTCCAGCATTCATATGGAATTTTTTTATCTTATCTATTTGATAATTTCAGTGCGGAATGGCTGGTTTGAGTAAAATGTTAATGCTCAAATCATCCTCTGGGATCAGAAGTCTCCACGTGACCTGAAATTTCATGTCAGTATCAGTTTTTTAAAATTTCTTTTCCATTTTCCTTATTTAGGCTTTGCACAACACTGGATAGTTTGTTCTCAATTTTCCTGGCCCCATATATGAATTTGGGGATACTTTTTTCATAAAGTCTTTTGATTTCTTTCTTAGTCTTTAAAGACAACAATAAAAATACACTGCTCTGGAACACATTTGATGAAATAGCATTTACCAATTTCATGGGAAATGCCGAGTAAGTCCCACTCTTGCTTTGATGGTTAACCAGAGACCCAGGCTCAGATTAAATATCAAATTTGCCTTGGAGGAATCAGGGACTTCTGGATGTATCTTTAAAATTGAAGTTCACAATGGAAGAGCAAAAGAACAGAGCTGGGAAAACTTCCTTCAAGCCAGAGCCACTGAGCCATATGAGCAAATGGTGAAAACCCAGGCTGAAATCAAAAGTGGCTCACAATGATTGCATCTTGATTTTGGTTTCTGAGAAAGAGAAATAAATGTTGATATTGTCACTGTTTAGGGGGAATTATACACATATTACTTGCATATTATGTAACATTTAGAAATTCCTTTCCTGGTAGACATATGACTAGATGACAGATGAAGGTAGCTAGCTATTTTTATCTACACCATGAACTTCCATGGTTTCATGCATCAACCATATGTGTTGATGAGTCATCAATATACATCTCCAGCCCAGGCATCTTCCTGGTTCTAGATCTAAAGGCATTTCCAATTCAAAATGCCCCAAGTGAAGCCATCATCTCTGTGTGCCCCCTCCTACCTAACAGATGCCTCCTCCTAGGTACCCTATATCAGTGAATGACACCGAGCTGCCCATTTCACATGTCAGAAATCAAGAAGTCAGCCTTAACTTGTCCTAGTGCCCTACTCTTTAAATCATTCACCACATCTTATCAATTCTACCTTTCTAGCAACTCTCAAATCCATCTATTTTCTTGTATTCCCACTGTCACTCATGCCAGGTTAGGCTATCATGAGCTCTTGCTTATATTACTAGAAACACAGCCAGAGTAATCATTCTGAAGGGCCAGTCTTATTATGTCATTGCTCTGCCAAATATTATCCTAAGCAACCCTTTGCTCTTAAAGCTTGAAACCCGATAGCATGGTATATGTGGCCTTCAATACTTGGCCCCTGCCTACCTCTGTCTACTTACCTTTTTTTTTTTTTTTTTTTTTTTTTGAGACAGAGTCTCGCTCTGTCGCCCAGCCTGGGGTGTAGTGGTGTGATCTTGGCTCTGCCTCCCCAGCTCAAGTGATTCTCATGTCTCAGCCTCCCAAGTAGCTGGGACTATAGGTGCATACTGCCACGCCTGGCCAATTTTTGTATTTTTGTATTTTTGTAGAGACGGGGTTTCACCATGTTGCCCAGGCTGGTCTCGAACTCCTGGACTCAAGTGATCTGCCTGCCTTGGCCTTCCAAAGTGCTGGGATTACAGGCATGAGCCATCGTGTCTGGCCTGTCTACTTACCTCTTGCCAATTCCATTTTCACTTTGTGATTCAAATGCATTAGTATAGACTAGGTTTATGCTGCAGTAACAAATAAAATTTCAGATGCTTAACAGATAAAGTTAATGTCTTATGCATGTGAAAGCTGGCATAGGTTCGCTGACTGCCCATGGTAGCTGTCCTTCATGGGGTGGTTCAGGGAGCCAGGATCCTTTCATCTTGTGGCTCTGCATGCCAACACACACCCTCTGTGTTAACTGCCCAAGGGGAAGAGAGAGCCCGGAGAATGCACAGTGAGCTTTTCACTGCGTCAACCAGAAAGTGATACGGATCACTTCCATTTTTATTTTATTGGCTAGAATGACTCAATGGCTCTGCCTAACTGCAAGAAGACTGGGAATTGTAACCTTCCTAAAGCATTTGGTGAACACTTTGCTTTGCCTCTGCCACACTAAACACAACGGTATGAATACCAGGAGGTGACAGTCATTGGGGCCCTGCTAGAATCTGTTTACCACAGATACCCTACAATATTCCCTCAATTCCTTATTAGGCTGAAGGTGTGTGCACAGAAACCCATATATGGGAACAATATGAAAGTGAGCAGATAGGATTTGTTCTAGAACAAATTCATTCTTTCCTAGACATACCCCACCTCCCAGCCATTTATTTTGTTTTATTTATTTTTTTTGAGACAGGATTTTACTCCCGTCACCCAGGCTGGAGTGCAATGGTGCAATCTTGGCTCACTGTAACCTCCGTCTCCCAGGCTCAAGCAATTCTCCTGCCTCTGCCTCCCAAGTAGTTGGGACTACAGGTGTGCACCACCACACCCAGCTAATTTTTTTTTTTTTTTTGTAAAGACAGGGTTTTGCCGTGTTCCCCAGGCTGGTCTTGAACTCCTGAGCTCAAGTGATCCTCCAGCTTTGACCTCCCAAAGTTTTGGAATTACAGGCGTGAGCCACCGAGTCTGGCCCATTTATATTATTTTAAAACATGTATTTGGGATTGTAGATTGTTTTGACTGGAGAAAAATCACAGAAGGAGAATACAATTTATAATGATAAAATCCTGTGCTTGTACTTAAACTTTAGTTCTCAATTGAAATATTTTCCTAAGAAATGTCTAATACCCTCACAACTGAATTAGTTGCTGTTTTACCCAGTGCATTTATAGCTTCCTGCCCTTAAACCTCTGAGAACATTTATCACACTGTATCTCATCCGCTTCTGCAGGGCAGGTGCTATCTCTTGTCATGTCATTGTATTCCCAAGACTTTGCACATGTCTGACACAAGGTAGATTGTCAATAAATATATACGGCATTATACTGTGTTGAATTGAATTGTTCTTTAGGTCTAAAGCTGACCAGATGCAAATGGTGGGGTCTGAAGAAAATTGGTTCTTCACTCATCCATAGAACATTTTTGCCCGAGTCTGGGAAAAGAAGGGATAGAAATTTTTAATTGGCTATCAAAACCCTCCCAAAGTTAATGTGTTTTGCAAAACTTAATACAGAGAAATGTTTTTATTGAACTTATATTTGAAAAAATACTTTTCAAGTATTCCTTTGTGGTGCTTCCAACCCAAATATTGCCAAGCGGAGAGCGTAAGGAACACATAGGAAAGCAGACTAAACAGGCGAGTCTCATTTTGCGGTGTACAGGGAATGACACGCAAGGCGGCACCAGAGAAAATGCTTTCGTGTGCGACTCTTCTTGACGATTTGTCAGAAAACCGATATCACATTTTTAAACAATAACGGATGCTGTCTTTGGAGGAATAAGATTTCTTACTTTACACTCTGCTCTTTTGCTCAAATTAATTCTGGAATAAAATCCTGGTGATCTAGAGTTGTCAGAGATGATGCTCTAGATGTGAGTTTTTTGGTAAACCAAGGTGAATATTTACAGGAATATGTATAGCTTGGCTTTTGTTTTCCTTTTCTTCAATTTAAGTCTTTTGCATGTGAATATTTTTCTAAAACGTAACACGTACTTTCACACATTCATAAACAGAATCTAATGGACAAATGGGTTCATAACCTGGTTTCGTGAGCATGAACACAGTACTGTGCCTTCTTCTCAGGCTCCTCTGAGGTGAACTAAGCTGCACCAAACAATGGTGATTTTTGACTTTTTGGGTGCCTTTTATGTTTTTCTGTAGCACCTTTATCCTGTCAGTATGCCTCTTAGCAGGCATTCTGTCCCTTTCTAATTTATAGCTTCTGATTTACTCTTGAAAATCAGATGAACAAACTTGTTAAAACTGTGTGCAAAGTAAGAATCAGTAGTCTTCAGTGAGACCTAAGTGTCTGCTAATATACAATATGCTCAAATCTGTGATGTTGGTTGGATGCTGAGAGGTGTTTTCTATTACTAATCTGGTTGTAGTGAAACTAGGAGAGGCCCCCAGGGTTGAGTTCTAGGTTTGCAAGGTATTGCTGTAATACACAAGCAAAGTATAAAGACAACCTCACAAATTACACCAGAAGGAACTGTTTTTTTTTTTTTTTTTTGGGATGGAGTCTCTCTCTCGCCCAGGCTGGAGTGCAGTGGCACGATCTTGGCTCACTGCAATCTCCACTTCCCGGGTTCAAGCGATTCATTCTCCTGCCTCAGCCTCCTGAGTAGCTGGGTTTACAGGCACGTGCCACCACACCCGGCTAATTTTTGTATTTTTAGTAGAGATGGGGTTTTACCATGTTGGTCGGGCTGGTCTCGAACTCCTGACCTCGTGATCTGCCCACCTCGGCCTCCCAAAGTGCTGGAATTATAGGTGTGAGCCACCACGCCTGGCCGAAACTTTCTAATTTTTACAGTTTCACAATATAAAGGAGAAAGTCGATGCTCAGAGAGGCAAAATGGCCTGCCTAGAAGCCCTCAATCTGTGGCCACGCCCACACTGGAACTGGATTTCCCGACTATAGTTCCAGTACTCTCTACACTTGCCTTGCACCTCTAAGGGGAAGATAAGGTTCTTGTGAAGGGCAGAGTGAGATGAGTCCCAAGGCACTAGCCAACCTATTCTCCCCAGAGTATTTGTGCTCTGCTCATGTTCCACAGTGGAATCTACCTAGAGATGGGCAGGTGTACACACGCATGCTTATCAGCACCTTCCTAGCCCTGAAGGCCAGAGGGGAATTGTCCTCGGATTTGGGGTCTGGAGAGTTTGCTGGTCCTGGGAAGGCTCAACAATTCCCAACGCTATCCTTCACAGAACTTTAGGGGACTCTAGCTCCCCCTGCCCCACCCTAAAGACTGGGGACTTTCTAGAAAGAGATCGTCCAACACCACCTTCGCCCTCCTGACAGAGATTCTGATAGGCTCAGACCTCCAGTGCTGCAGCAGTACTAATTCCTAAGCTCCTGACTTGAAATCGCAGACCTGGCACCTCTAAGACTCATGAAGACCTGGGGATCTAAGTGCAGGCTGAGGGGAAAACCCAAAAGTGAGGCTCTGCCAAAGCACACAGAGCCCCTCACTCAGCAGAAACACTTCCTGTCACTACACTTCCCTCCCAAGGGCTGTTCTTGCTTATGAGCAACTGGATAAAGACTTGAACAAATTTTATAAAGCAAATTTCTATTCAAAAGAAGGACCCACTCTGGTCAGAAAACCATCAGTGCTAGCTGAGCATATTTCCTGTGTGGGACTAGGGATACGTCCTGAAAACCAGGCATGGTAGATGCCGTTGGAGAGGATGCCCTGTCCGATTTCTTTACCAGCAGGCACACCTATCCCCAGCATATATTTGGTGCAGCAGCTAAAGGCTTACAGCTGATACATTCCTGGAGCATTGTCCTTGGCCACAGGGAGCCACCTTGGAGGTTATACCACCATATACCACCACCCAGCTCCAGTGGAGGCAGTGACTTACTGGCACCCGGGTCAGCAGTTGGTCCTGGTGCTTCAAGTCACGGCAAATCTATGGTGTGGTTTCTGTTCCAGGATCCCCGAGGATCACATGAAGGTTAGGCTTGACCTCAGTCACAGCTTGCTCTAGTCTTGCGCCTTACCTATCCTGCTTCCCTCACTCCTTCATAGGTTTTTCCTGAAGAACACTCGCTAGCTAATTTTGTGCCCCTAAGGCACTATGTTCACCTAACATCCAGATGTGTTCTTTTTTTTTTTTTTGAGATAGAGTCTCGTTCTGTTGCCCAGGCTGCAGTGCAGTGGTGTGATCTCAGCTCACTGCAACCTCTGCCTCCCAGTTCAAGTGATTCTCCTGCTTCAGCCACCCGTGTAGCTGGGACTACATGTGCACGCCACCATGTCTGGCTAATTTTTGTATTTTTTAGCAAAGATGGGGTTTCACCATGTTGGCCAGGCTGGGTTCGAACTCCTGACTTCAAATGATCTGCCCGCCTCGGCCTCCCAAAGTGTTGGGATTACAGACATGAGCCACCGCACCTGGCCCCAGATGTGTTATCTCTTAGTGGCCTTGGCTGAGAGTGTATCTTTGGTGTCTGCTGCAGTCAATGGTAACTTCTATTGGAGTACTTGCCTCCAAGTACTCTTTTTCTCCAAGCCTCCAACACAGCGTTCTTGAGTGTGCTTCCCAAGCCCACTTCACAACTCTGTAACCAGAAAGAGCATTTCTGTTTCAAGAACAAATTAAGGCTGATGCCTGAATTGATATTCCTTGTCTCTAAGGGTAAAACCTAAACACACCCCAACACCACCATCATCAATAGTTCCTTTCCTGATCTTCAATGTGTATCTCTCACGTGAATGTTGTACTGTGTGCTTGTTGGGTTGAGGTCAACAGGCAAAGCTGGGAGCAGGCAAAGCTGGGAGCGCGGGCAGGAATCTCTGAAATTCATCTAGGAAGAAGCAGGTCCTGAGACAGGTAGTGAAAGCCAGGAAGCCAAGAAGTTGGATCTTAGGGAGGAAATGGAACTCAGTTTCCTCGACCCTTCAGAGTCTAAATGCATTGCCATTGTCCCCAGGTGGTGGGTGTTCTCACAGGGAGGAAGTCCAGGAAGTAGGCAGGGAGGGGCCTGAACCTCCCCAGATAGTGATTGGGTAGGTGGCTACACTCAACAGCCAAATCAGCCAGATTAGCTGCTTTGGGGTTTATTCATTCCTGTTCTTCCCAATTCCTGATCTCCCACCACACCATGCCTTTGGCAATGTCTTATTTAAACATTTGGGCCAAGCCTCAGGTGAGGAAGTAAGGATGGGAGGGAAGTGTGGGTGAGTGACTGAGGGAAGGGGTGAGGGAAGAGGTGACTGAGGGGTGGTGAGGCCATGATTCTGCGCATAACATCTGTGAAGTCCAGCCAGCACCCCCAGTGGAGGCTGTCCTCTGCAGCTCTTTGTTGTCCTAACTTACAGTACCTTGGCCACTCACACAGGTTTGCTTGACCTGCTAGGGTTAACTGGAAGGCAAAAGTTCTATAAAGGTATTGGTGATGTTTTCTCTACTACTTTTCGCTACTGGAACACCTGCTCTTTGAGGGGGCTGGCCTCCTGCTAGATGGAACCTGTGGGAGAGAAAGGCTCAGTCCTGGTCTTAGTACTTGGTGTGGGGCACTCCTTGGAGGCTGGCTCAGGAGTCAGATTGCCCAAGGGAGATGAGACAGGAAGTCCTGCTGAGCCATTAATACCTTAAAACAGAGCAGTGCATCTCAAATGTTCCCAGCAAAGTCCCCCAACTCCAGAGGCATTCTCAGTGACTTCTTGAGTTGCAGACACCGGGAGCTCTGCTTAATGCAGCCACCACTGCACAAGCATAATATTTCTTTGAATTCTCCATTTCATCTTGCATATTCATGTGACTTTTTTGCATTTGACTCCATGATATGGTGGGGCTAGTTTTAG
The DNA here is from genome assembly GCF_000001405.40 of Homo sapiens. Taxonomy (NCBI): domain Eukaryota; kingdom Metazoa; phylum Chordata; class Mammalia; order Primates; family Hominidae; genus Homo; species Homo sapiens. The sequence continues at coordinate 257,076 of NW_025791797.1, forward strand.
AATATGAACGATGAGGAGTGGTATCGTCTAGTTGCTAAGAACATGAGGTATTTAAACCTTTCCACTTCAGTTTCCTCATTTGCAAAATGGGAATAAAAATAATATCTACCCCATAGGCTGTTGTGATGATGGGATGACTCGGTATAAGCAAAGTATCTGGAACAGTGCCTGCCACATCCTAAGTGTTTTGAATGTTAATGTGGCTATTCCTTTACTGATACTCTGATATGAGAAGCACGAAAAATCAATTCTCATTATTTGCAGATTCCTTATTGTGAATTCAGCTACTGGGTAAAATTTATTTGTCACCTCCGTTAAATTAAGTTTAGCCTAAAGTTGCCTTCTTACATATTTTAAGTTCGGCCTAAAGGTCTCTCTGTACATAGTAAACTGTAACCTGATGATGTGTAAACAGACTGTAACCTACTCTTGAAGCAGTCACAGAGTTTTGGCCAATCACAGGCGGTCAACTGTTTAAACCATGTTTAAATAAGGCAAATGCCGAGCTGTAACCAATCCAGCTGTTTCTGTACCTCATTTCCGTTTTCTGTTCATCATATTCCGTTTTCTATCCATAAATATTATCTGACTATGTGGAAGCCCCAGAGTTGCTCTGAATCTATTTTGTTTTGGGGCTGAGGGGGGCTGCCCTATTTTCAAATTGTTCTTTGCTCAATTAACCTCTGTTAAATTTGTCTAAAGTTTTTATTTTAACACCTCATAATCAATAGCTGCAGCACTTTCAAAGTCATTGAACCAGTGCTGAACGTTTTGAGTCTCTTGAGACACATGTTGGAAGCTAAGGTCCAACCAGTCAACCCTCTGTCTTCTTGTTTCAGCTTTCACACTGTAAATGAGTGGCCCAAAAGTTCTCTTCATTGCCATGTTTTCACATTTTTTTGGTCTTTTTTTTGATGATTTTGCTGCTTAAAGCACCCCCCAGGCACAGTGCTGAAGTGAAGTCTAGCGTTCCTAAGTGGAAGAAGGCTGGGATGTGTGTTGCAGAGAAAATACGTAAGTTAGATAAGCTTCATTCAGGCATGAGTTACAGCACTGTAGGCTGTGAGCTCAGTGTTCAGGAATCAACAATAGATGTTAAGTAAGGCGTCTTTAAACAGAAACATGCATAAAATAAGGCAATGTGTTGATTGATTGACAAAAATATTGTGAGCTTGCAGGAACCCAACTCTATATTTCCCCTAGGAACAATGGCTCCATATTCACAAATTCGTTGTTCTGTGACTTTATAGACCACAACTACAGTAAATAAAAAGGATCGATTGTCCATAGATGAGTTAGTTCTAGTTTAGCCCAGCCCTCCCTACCCTTCACTGGCTACTCTTACCTCTCCTGTCTCCACACTGACCTGTCCTCTGCTCACTTGCCACAAGTCCAATCATTTTACATAGAGTGGAGAGACAGCCTTGAAGATCCTCTTCTTGGTCAGAGGAAGTCACCAGAGTAAGTAAGGGAAGAATGAGTGAGGAAAGCAGGCAGGGCCAATTGCTCTTGGCAAAGCTCTAGCAGTAACCGGAACGCAGCAACCACAGAGAAGGCAGGAGAACAACTTTAGGGGTGAACAGTCCAGGCTCTAGAGAGAGGCAGATAGGGGTTCCAGTCCTGGCTTCTCCACTCATGGTGGGCAAGTTATCCTCCCAGCCTCAGATTTATCCTAGGTGAAATGGGATAATGCTCGAACTACTGCTGCTGTGAAGATCAGATAGACACAAAGAGCTTGGTACTCGACAGACACCCAAGGAAATGGCGACTGTGGTAGGACTTAGGTGGGGGCATAATGCAGCCTTTAAGATCAATCTCCTGGCCCTTGGCTTATCCTGCTGGGACTAGGACAAGGACAGGGACAAACATTTCCTTTTACTTCTCCTCACCTCCAGAAGTACACAGGCAACTCACCCCAGTCTCTTGTCCGCGACACTCTTCCCCCCAACCCCAAATCCCAGGCCTGGACACGGCATGATTCTGGCACCTGTGGAGCTCTCAGTTCCCCAAGCCCGGCTCAGACAAGGAGGCGCCAGGTACCCAGTTAAGAGGCGCTCCTGCAAGATCCTCGTGGTCCCTGGCTGCCAAAGGTCCCAGGCCTCTGGGCAGTGAGCGCTCCACAGTCCCTTGTGTGGCGTCTATGCTGCGCGGAGGAGGCGCAGGCCAGGAGAGGGCCATTGGTCTCCACTATGGTCCTGCCTGGCCAGGAGTGCCTATGGCTCTTAGGCACGAGCCAGCGGTTCCGGGCAAACCTCTGTGTGGCTGCTGGGCCTGACTTTGCAGAGCTGGCGCCCGGGTCTGGGCGGGGTGGGTGGAGGCTATGGGAGGTGGGGCCGGGGGTGGGCTCGGGGGGAGCGACGGCATCCCTGCTCCGGCTCCGGCTGAGGCGGGGCGGCCAGGCTGGCTTGCGGCGCAGCGGCCGCCTTTCCCCAGTGCGCCTGCCGGCGGCGGCGGTGGCGGCGTCGGCAATCCCGGCTCTTGGCACAACGCCTGGCGGCCGGCCCAGGGCGAGGAGTGGCTTCCAGGAAGCGGGCGGAGGAGCGTTCCAGCCGAGTCCCGCCGTCGCCGCGGCCCCGCGCGCTCCGAGCGGCCCGGGCCTGGCCCCACACGGCGTCTCTTCGCGCCCCCGGCGCCTCCAGCTCAAGCCGAGGGCGCGGTGCCGGCGCGCAGGCTGACGGGCGCCTGGGCGCGCCGTGCACTTGCCGGGCGGTGCAGGTGGCGGCGCGCGCCCTCCGCCTCTGGGCCGGGGCCAGCGCAGCGCTCTGCGCGCCCGGAGGGGGCGGGAGAGGCGGGGCAGCCCCCGTCCCAGCCCCATTTAACTTCGCGGCGGCGGCGGCGACTGCGGCGCCGCGGGCTGGAGGCCGGCGTCGGGGAAGGTCCTGGTGCCGGATTCCGCACGAGGTGTTGACGGGCGGCTTCTGCCAACTTCTCCCCAGCGCGCGCCGAGCCCGCGCGGCCCCGGGGCTGCACGTCCCAGATACTTCTGCGGCGCAAGGTGGGTGCACCGAGCTCGGCGCAGGGCGGCCCCTCAGGGGTCGGGGGAAGGCGCTCCCCAGAGGGAGTAAGACTTGGAGCAGTGGCCTCTCTAAGCAAGTTGGGGGTCTCCAAGCAGAGTCGGGGCGTGCCACGCGGGCCCCAGGGGGCCTCAGGACTGGGGTGCTCCTCACTGCTGGGCACCTCGGGTCGGGCGCGCTTCGTGCCGTCCCGGAAGGTTCAGGGAGAGTCTTTCGGCGGCAGTTCGCGGGCTGAGGGGCGTTCTTGATTATGGGGGAACTCCACAGGGTTGGAGTTTTTCAGGATTGGGAGTTACTAAGCAGAAACCTCGCGGGTCCGAAGGTCCGGCCGGTTGACCACTGGGTAGCGAGCGCCCAGAACGCCGGGGGTTGAGGCGACGCGCGATCGTGGAAAGTGGGCGTGGGGGTGACCGGGACGCGGCGGAGGCACTGGAGGAGCGACTTCGAGGCAGCGGGTAGTCGGAGGAGTGTGCACTCGGAAGGCTGGTGCGAGCAGGCGAGGGTGGCGCAGAGTCCCAGGGCCCCGCACTGGCCGCCTCCCTTCAGCCAGGAGTCGCCGCCTCAGGTCGGAAACAGCAGCACATTTGCGGATCACATTAGACCAGGCCCTTAATGCCTTCTCCAGATGGAGAGAAGCCACCGACCCGCCCCCGGACACCAGCTCCGCCAAGGCGCCCGCGAGGCGAAGCGGGAGTCGAGTGTGACCTCGGCTTTTCCAGTCTCGACTCATACTGATTTCCCTGTAAATTGACAGGAAAAGTAAGGGAAAAAGTCCCCGCTTCCCTCCTGGTTTCAGCTGACCTCTGCTGGCTGGCCCTCACCTACTTTTAGGAGATTGTGTTAGGCTGGCTCAGGGGCTGTGTCCTCCAAACCTCCCTGAACTTAGCTCTCAGGCGTCTCTCTGGGTGTGGGTCCCGGACCTCGAGGGCGCACGGTGTCATCTAGCGAGGAAAGCCTTGAACTATCAGAAGATCTGCGTTTCAGCCCTAAAATGTCACTATCTTGCTGTGTGACCTTAGGCAGGTCCTTTCCCTCTCTGGGCGGCTTTGTTGTCTTAGACTCATTTTTGCCGCGAGCAGCAGAAGCTAGCCTAAACCTTGGCTCTGTGCTGGCTTCCTGAGTCAAATGCCAATAGCGACACCCTGCTGCTGACAGATAGGCTTGGGCAGGGATATCTCAGCTTCTGAAGAGCTGGAGGTATGAGATGCCCACTGGAGACAGGTCCAGCCCTCGCCTGACTTTGTTGTGGACCTTCTAAAGGGAGCCCAGTTAGCCTGCACCCTGCAGTAGGCAGCGGCAACCTGGGCCAACACAAACCTTTCCAAAATAGTATATGGGCTTCAGGGTCCCTCCATCTAATGGGTCGCTTAAGTCACGGTTTACTGCCATGGGGGCCAGAGCTGGTTGGTAATGAACTCTTTCCTCGTTTGTAGGCTACAACTGAGACCCGGAGGAGACTAGACCCCATGGCTTCCTGGACGAGCCCCTGGTGGGTGCTGATAGGGATGGTCTTCATGCACTCTCCCCTCCCGCAGGTAAGGTCATATAGGGAGGGGAAGGGAAATGGTGGACATCCCTCTGTTTACTCAGAGGCATTATTGTATACCACCTAAGATGTGGCATGATTAGTGTTAATCCTACACCAGAGAACCAGACTTTCTTTCCTATCTCTAGCCAATGGTATTTCTGGTTGGCTTAGCTGTAAGGATTATCCAGATCCCTTGGGTCCTCTCTGAATCCTGAGTAGGGCTTTAATAGCACTGTGGATACCATACACCGGTGATGACCTGGGGCTGTGATGGACCCTGTCATTTCAGACTAGAATGGCTGTCTGCATGTGCCCAGCAGAGGCTGGGTTGCTGGAGACCAGGAAACAATGGGCAGAGCCAGGTTCTGGCCCTAGCTAAGCTGCTAAATAAATATTCTGAGTTTACATCTATCATCACATATCCCACTGTTTTATCCCACAGTCCTCTCTTTAGACTTCTGCTGTCTTTTCCAACCAACTTGAGAGGACCCGGCTCATGAATTGCATCTTTATTTGCCTAAAGGACAGACTCAAACAAAGGAATGAGGCTAGCATTGCCTAAGAGACAATAGAGAGTAACGGAGACAGTGGCAAAGTGCAGAACGCGTGCTCCATCTATTAAGAGCAGTCTCTACTCAATTCCATCTGATCGTTGCTAAGTGGAGACATAAGCCCAGGATTGCCAGATCTTATTTTTCAAGATAGCTGGATCATCTAGACTTCTTACAAAATTTCCCAGTTTTTAAAGTATTGAAAGGCAGATAAATGTGTTTGCAGCCTGGATTCAGCCAAGCAGTTTGCAGCCCCAGATCTAAAGGCAGGGCACATCTTAGTATTGTGTCCCAAGGGCTGCTGCTAGCTCCATACAGTGTCTTATGAATTAGAACAAGGCAATCCCTCCCTGCAGACATAGCTTCTCAAATACATGGCTTGGTGGCCTGTGTACCCTCAGGGTCTCGGAAGGGACTTGTCACTTAAGGGCTTAAATGTCTGTTAAATAAACATGCATCCATGAATGAAGATATATACCCTGGGATAAATTAATCAGACTCCTCTGCCTCTTGTTTCACTTTCTTGGACTTAGTGCCTCTAAAGCCTCTTTTGGCTCCAATGCCCTGTGAATTCTGTGATGCACAAAGAACTGGTCAGCAAGGTACATCTTCTCCCCACTATCCCATTTTATCGATACTATCCCATAATCATATTAATAGAGCTCTTTTGTTAGAACAAAAGTTAAGTCTTTTCAGGATGATGTTAGGGTTCTCTGGCCAGCGAGATGACTGTTGAGGTAAAAGCGTGGAGACTTACGTTTCTGTCTCATCAGCGGATCTGAAACAGGCTTTGAGAGCTTCAGAGATTTGTTCCTGGTCAAATGGGGCTGAGGCTTCAAGGCACAGTGTTCATTTTGCCTTCTTTCACCTTATAAAATTTAAATATGCTTTGAGGCAGTCTGTTGACCTTTGGCCAAGGGCAGTGTTTGCCCAGCTTGAATCACTCACTGACCTCTTTTGGATTTTTCCATATCTGTGTGCCTGTGGCAGTGCTGTTTCCATGTATCCAGGCAGTGTGCATAGAAGGTCATAAAAGGAGATTTCAGACCAGCAGTCTTCATCATTCACGCCACTCACTGTTCGGATCCCAGCTCTACCACTTCATTACTGTGTCACGCAAACGTCTCTGCATCGCATCTCAGTTTTCACATCTATACAGAGGAGATAATATTAGTATAGACCTCAGAATTGTTTGGAAGAGTTAATCCATTGTGAAGTGGAAAAAAGTGAAAAACCAAACCAAACAATGTCTGGCACATAGTAAGTGTACAATAAATGTCAGCATTCTGCTGTTGCTGCTGCTTGTCAGCATTAGAAGCTTGAAGCAAGCGCAGTGCCTGTATTTTCTGGTGTAGAGCCTGTAGGGGGCACTCAAGAGGTATCAGCTGTGGAGGGCCTGATCTTCAGGGAGTGTGGGTGGGCATGGCTAGGTCTGTCTCACCAGAGGCCCTGAGAAAAGGTTCTAATGAAGGGTGGTAGGTCAGCCCTGTGTCCCTGTCCGTGGGTTGGATGCTCTGTTTTTTCCGTAGGGTCAGCCTGGGTTTGACTCAAGGCCGCCCTTTCTGAAGTATCTTGTGATTTTGGTGTTTGGGTGGGGCTTAAGGTGTTCCCTGGCGTCTACCCTTGCTTCGTATGTGCTGCCACCAAGGTGGTTGTTAGAAAACTGCTAGATGTGTGAGGCTGAGCTGTGAGGAGCAAGGGATGTGCCAACTAATTAATAACAAATAGAGTTTCCTTTCTTTTCTTTTCTTTTGAGACATGGTTTCACACTGTTGCTCAGGCTAGAATGCAGTGGCATGATCTCAGCTCACTGCAACCTCTGCTTGCTGGGTTCAAGCAATTCTCGTGTCTCAGCCTCTGAGTAGCTGGGACTACAGGCGCACACTACCACATCCAGCTAATTTTTGTATTATCGGTAGAGATGAGGTTTTGCCATGTTGGCCAGGCTGGTCTCGAACTCCTGACCTCAAGTGATCTGCCCACCTCGGCCTCCTAAAGTGCTGGGATTACAGATGTGAGCCACTGCGCCCGTCCACAAATATATTTTCTTTATTGAATCAGCTAAAATGTAAACTCTTATATTCACTGCCCACAAATAATTGTGAGAGATTGTAGAACAAGGTAAGAGGCTGGTAGTTCCTTGTTTTTGTAACTCGTTCTTGACCATTCCTCGAGGAGCTCACTGTTCCCCTCATCCAGGCAGCTGGAGCGGCCTCCCCTCTTCCTGTCTCACAGGCCCTGGAAGCTTCCTGTTGCTCCAGGCTTCTCCTTAGGGATCTGATTTTCCCAGAGAAGACAGCAGCTGCTGTTCCTACTCTCTCTTCCAGCCTGGAGTATTTGAAAGCTTTTCAAACTTTATCCAGCCTGGAGTATTTGAGAGCTTTCCAAACTTTATCTAGCCTGGAGTATTTGAGAGCTTTCCAAACTTTATCCTGAACACCTTGAAGATGAGTCCTGTGTTGACTGTGCCCTGAATTACAACGTGCCCCCCCTTTTTTTTCTCTTGCCCATGAGAAGAATAAACAGCCTTATCTGTTCACTAATTTAATTGTCATAGGATGGCTTCCTAGCTCTCTGGCCAAGTGCCTTTAGAAACTGTTTTAACATTGGTCATGTGGCTTGCGATTATCTCTTTAAACAACCATGTCAAGATGGCTTCGTGTATATCTGAATGGCCCTCCACCGTGTTTGCCCCTCGGGAGGTGCTGTACTGTTTAGATTCTCTGGCAAATTCTGTCCTCTCCCATTTCCTGTGACTCTGGATGGAATAGCCTTTTCAGAAGAATGACTTGATCTTTGACTGTCTCCACTGCCAAGTTCATAGATATCTACTGGAACAGATCCCTCGAGGCCACAGTTTTGAAAGGCAGGAGACATTTGGATGAAGAAGTCCTGGGAGGTCTTATAAGTCTGTGGTGACCTCCTCTGCAGGGAAGATTTTGAAAATTTCAAAACACAGCTTGTAAAATAAGCAATATCTGGGTTGGCTCCGATCCTGTCCCCTGGGTCTTGTTGGTGCATAAGTATAGGACAGAATTATTTAACTTCTTTTTTCTGATCCTGAGGCTGGAGGCTAGTGTAGAAGGCTGATCTTACAGAGGGCTTTGAGGTAGGGTGGGAATGGAAGGCCAGGTGGCCTCGGGTAGATGCCCTTTGAGCTCCTGTTGCCTTCATCATAATATTTGGTGGAGCTCCCAGGCTGACAGTGTGGATGTCCTTGGGATATGTGGTAGGTTGCCTAATGACCCCCAGATATGTCCATGTCCTAATCCCTGGAACTCATAAATATTCCCTTATATGGCAAAAAGGACTTGGCAGATGTGATTAAGAATATTGAATTGGGGAGACTATCCTGGATTATGCAATCACAACAGTCCTTATAAGAGAGCCACAGGAGAGTCAGAGGCAGAGGTAGTAGAAGATGCTACCATGGAAGCCAGAGACTGGGAGAATGTAGCCAGGAGCTAACGCATGCCAGCAACCTCTAGAAGTTGGAAGAGATAAGAAATGGATTTTCTGCTCAAGTCTTCAGATGTAACTGGCTGTAGTGACACCTTGATTTTAGTCCTGTAAAAATGCATTTCAGATTTCTGACCTTCAGAACTGTAAAAGAATAAACTTATGTTGTTTTAAGACCTAAATTTGTGGTAATTTGTTACAGCACCAAGAGGAAACTAATACAGGATGTCAGGGGTGGGCTTTGAATCTTGACCTCTTTGCTGCCACCAACACAGGCATCCTCTCTCCACCTCCGGTAACCCAGGTGCAATCATAGGGGCTGAGAGAGGCTGGCAAAGTCACATAATTGACATGAGGACAAAAGAAGTGCCATTTGAGTATTGGTGGCTTAGTCCAGGCCTCTTATTCACCTTCTACAGCAATCTCACACTCCATAGCAATTTCACCATCCAAGTTCCCCCAGTTACCCCTGCTATTGCTATCACCCTTGATCATGTCAATCATGGGCAGTGAGGATGGAATCCTAAGGAAGGTAGTCCTGGGTCAGGGTTCAGGGAACTTTCTCTGTGGGTAAATCAGCTCAAGGTAGCCCTGACTCTGACATGGCACATAATTCCTTTTAGGTCAGCCTAGATTTGGTTGGGTTTGGCCCCTCGACAAGTCATAACCTTGTGTCTGAGTGTTGCCCCATGCTGGGTGATCTGGGAGAGTTGGGGCCTCTGAAAGACACAGATTTATTGAGAAGTCTCATTTCAGTAAGGTATAAATATGGAGCCAATCACTGGTCCAGCCATGCCTTGTGAAATCGCCTTTTCCCATCCCCTAATGGAATCTTAGGAAGATCCAGTTTTGGTTATTAAAAGTTCAGTTCCAAAAATTTTCTCCCATTTTGTAGGTTGCCTGTTCCCTCTGATGGTAGTTTCTTTTGCCGTGCAGAAGCTCTTTAGTTTAATTAGATCCCATTTGTCAATTTTGTCTTTTGTTGCCATTGCTTTTGGTGTTTTGGACATGAAGTCCTTGCCCATGCCTATGTCCTGAATGGTAATGCCTAGGTTTTCTTCTAGGGTTTTTATGGTTTTAGGTCTAACGTTTAAATCTTTAATCCATCTTGAATTGATTTTTGTATAAGGTGTAAGGAAGGGATCCAGTTTCAGCTTTCTACATATGGCTAGCCAGTTTTCCCAGCACCATTTATTAAATAGGGAATCCTTTCCCCATTGCTTGTTTTTCTCAGGTTTGTCAAAGATCAGATAGTTGTAGATATGTGGCGTTATTTCTGAGGGCTCTGTTCTGTTCCATTGATCTATATCTCTGTTTTGGTACCAGTACCATGCTGTTTTGGTTACTGTAGCCTTGTAGTATAGTTTGAAGTCACATAGCGTGATGCCTCCAGCTTTGTTCTTTTGGCTTAGGATTGACTTGGCGATGCGGGCTCTTTTTTGGTTCCATATGAACTTTAAAGTAGTTTTTTCCAATTCTGTGAAGAAAGGCATTGGTAGCTTGATGGGGATGGCATTGAATCTGTAAATTACCTTGGGCAGTATGGCCATTTTCACAATATTGATTCTTCCTACCCATGAGCATGGAATGTTCTTCCATTTGTTTGTATCCTCTTTTATTTCCTTGAGCAGAGGTTTGTAGTTCTCCTTGAAGAGGTCCTTCACATCCCTTGTAAGTTGGATTCCTAGGTATTTTATTCTCTTTGAAGCAATTGTGAACGGGAGTTCACTCATGATTTGGCTCTCTGTTTGTCTTTTGTTGGTGTATAAGAATGCTTGTGATTTTTGTACATTGATTTTGTATCCTGAGACTTTGCTGAAGTTGCTTATCAGCTACTCATCTGACAAAGGGCTAATATCCAGAATCTACAATGAACTCAAACAAATTTACGAGAAAAAAACAAACAACCCCATCAAAAAGTGGGCAAAGGACATGAACAGAAACTTCTCAAAAGAAGACATTTATGCAGCCAAAAAACACATGAAAAAATGCTCATCATCACTGGCCATCAGAGAAATGCAAATCAAAACCACTATGAGATACCACCTCACACCAGTTAGAATGGCAATCATTAAAAAGTCAGGAAACAACATGTGCTGGAGAGGATGTGGAGAAATAGGAACACTTTTACACTGTTGGTGGGACTGTAAACTAGTTCAACCATTGTGGAAGTCAGTGTGGCGATTCCTCAGGGATCTAGAACTAGAAATACCATTTGACCCAGCCATCCCATTACTGGGTATACACCCAAATGACTATAAATCATGCTGCTATAAAGACACATGCACACGTATGTTTATTGCGGCATTATTCACAATAGCAAAGACTTGGAACCAACCCAAATGTCCAACAGTGATAGACTGGATTAAGAAAATGTGGCACATATACACCATGGAATACTATGCAGCCATAAAAAATGATGAGTTCATGTCCTTTGTAGGGACATGGATGAAATTGGAAATCATCATTCTCAGTAAACTATCGCAAGAACAAAAAACCAAACACCGCATATTCTCACTCATAGGTGGGAATTGAACAGTGAGATCACATGGACACAGGAAGGGGAATATCACACTCTGGGGACTGTGGTGGGGTGGGGGGAGGGGGGGATAGCATTGGGAGATATACCTAATGCTAGATGACGAGTTAGTGGGTTCAGCGCACCAGCATGGCACATGTATACGTATGTAACTAACCTGCACAATGTGCACATGTACCCTAAAACTTAAAGTATAATAAAAAAAAAAAAGAAAAAAAAGAAAGAAAGAAAAAAAAAAAGTTCAGTTCATTTAAAGTTTTGATTCTCAACTTGATTTAAATCTCATCTCCCTTTCCTCTAGTCTGGGCTTGACACATGGCTTCAGGTACCTGAAGTTGCACAGGGCTCTTTTCCCTCTACCATGGAATGGTACGGGTGTGGTGGGCACTGGTTCTGAGATACTTCTTCCTTTTATTTCTTCTGGATCTAGCTTTCCAAGGGTAGGAAACAAGGAAAGGGGAAGGGGATAAGGGCTATCAGCTCTTTACTCAACTGGATACCTCTCTCTGGTAGTTGTCACTGCCACTCCAGCTCTCCCTCAACCCTCTGCCCTCTGGGTAGCAGATGTGAGTTCTTTGGAGGGCTCCACAGGACACTTCCTGCAGCAGGTAGTCCAGCTTCAGCTTGCCACTTGCTGCCGGGGTCTTCTCACCTAGCAGGCAGCCTTATTGGATGGAGTGTAGGCTGGAGAGTTCAAACCCAGCTCCCTTTGGTGTAGTCTACCTGACCCATAGGAAATGCATGCTTCTTACTGTGCCAGACAGTGAGAAGACGGAATGCTTCAATGCTGCCTCCTCTCTCTGTCCTGCCAACTCCCTTCAGTTCTCCTTTCCTTGTTCTGATAGATCCAGGGAGAGATCAGCAGACCCACGGTCTAAGCAGATGTTCATCTGTAGAGTGGACGGACATTCTCTCCTTGCAGCCGCCCCCAATCTCTATGAGTATTTCTCGTTTTCTTTATTTTCATTTCTAATGGCTGTGTTCCATTGTAGTTATGGTTATACCATAATGGCATAAGTGGCATTATGTGTTATTTAAACCCATTATTTCCTTATTGAATATTTGGGTTGCTTCCTGGATGGTTTGTTCACTCGTGTTTACCATCAGACACCTGAAATGAACATCTCATGCTCACATCTTTGCTTACTTGAGTATTTCCTTAGAATAATCCTTTCTTAGTGTACTGTGCTTTGCTACACACTTGATACACATTGTGGCCTTCCTCCTTTCACCCTGTTTCAGTTCTGTGTAGAGCTTTTCCAGCACTCCGGGTTTTATGTCATAAATGTACTTCCCATGACCTTGTCCCCCAAGTGATTTTGGATCAATATTCCAGTCTGTGTTGACACTGGTGATGGAGTCTGAGCAGGAAGATCTTGGGTCGTCTTGGATGCAGACACCGCTTTATTGCCAAGTTGCCCTGAAAATCTGCAATACAGAGTTATTGGCTAGATCCAGTGAGAATCTGGTGGGAGAATGAATGGGAGCTCTCTCCTTGTGTGTTGCCTGTGATCCCGGCACTCCTTTTTCTCTTTCTACCTCTCTGACCTTTCCATCTCACTCTCCTTCTTTGGCTCCTCTCTGGCTTTTAAAAAATGCTCCTCAATTCCAGAGCTCTGCCTTTGCCCTCCCGTCTGTCCCTCCACATGCTCTCCCAGGCAGCCTCCATCTCTCCAGAGGCTCCTGCCTGGGGGTTATCAGGTGGAGACCCAGGTCTCATGACGATGTCGTCTCTCAAATGTAAACTTTTGAGGTTTTCTTCAAATAGCATTATATATACCGAAAAGATAAAAAGTTGTCCATTATTTTACATTAACTGTTAAATGTAAACATTAAAAATAAACACAATCTTCATAACTCTGTTTTGGCTTTTCTTGTTTCTTTCTTTTTCTTTTCTTTTCGTTTTTTTTTTTAACTCAAGGTTCCCTCCAAAGTGGAAGAGGCTCAGCACCTCAGAGGGGCTTCTGTTTGCCTCTTCAATGAGCTGCAGACCAATATATGCATGAGCTACCATGCACCAGAATGTTCCTTGGTGGTGTCAAGCACAAATGCTTCTCAAACCAAAGTCCTTACCTCTCACTGCGCTCTCTTGCTGTGCCTAGATTCTCCATCACCCAGCCATTTGAGCCAGATCCTGGCATCACTGTAGATGCCTTCTTTATTCCTGTACCTGCCCTGTACCCATTCAGCCACTAACTCCCATTTTTCCCATCTCAGAAATGTCTTTTAAATGTTTCCTCCTCTCAGTTTCCATTGATGCTGTGTTTGAAGACTAGGGACATGGCAGCGTGGAGTATGAGATAATGATGAACAAAGATAGTCTGTGTTTGGGCACAGTGGCTCATGCCTGTGATCCGAGCACCTTGGGAGACCAAGGCAGGAGGATTAGTTGAGGCCAGAAGCTTGAGATCAGGTTGGAAAACATAGCAAGACCTCATCCCTACCAAAAATGTAAAAAATTAGCTGGTTATGATAGCTGTGCTTGTAGTCCCAGCTACTTGGGAGGCTGAGGTGGGAGGGTCGCTTAAGCCCAGGCAGTTTGTGGCTACCCTGGGGACGACCTTGAAGAGCATGTAAAGGATTTTACTCAGTTAGTAACATGGAGTTCTGTGGTTGCTGATCAGGAGGTGGTGGAGGCACCGTTGCGACACCATTGGACCATGGGGACACACTTCAGCAAAACATAATTGGGAGACCTCTTCTAGGCGGGCAATGATGAGACCTTAAACTCAGTTTTCAAGAGCAAACTGGGTGGAGAGTTAGCTGTGGACAAGAGGATATGAACGTGGGGATGATGTTAGAACCTGAAGGAGTGGAACTTGGTAAGTGATTACATGGGCTTGAGAGAGAGAGGGAGGAATCAAAATTCCTTCAGGTTCCAAACAAGTGTTAGGGACACGTGAGGGTGGAAATTCACCCTGATCTTGGGAAATAATTGGTTACATTTGAAGGAGTAGTTTGGGGGACTACATGGAGTCTCACCTTCGGGGGAAGGTGAGGCACTGAATAAAGGAAGGATATACTACTCTTTGAGAGAGAAACAGGATCATTAGAGAGGTTTTCCTTAGCAGAGTGTATTCCGTATATTCATACTCTAAAAGGAAAGCAGCCAGGAGAAAGGGAGAGATTGAAGATAGAAGAGGAAAAAACCAATTACATGTAATTGTTTCATAACAGAAAAAACTTAGGCAGTGTTCCTCCATTGCATTACTAATGTATCTTAAAGCACCAAAGCTAACATCTTATGGAAACCACATTTCAAGGTTTATGATTGTGATTGCTTTCAGTTTATTTTTACAAAGATGCTAATTTCCATAAATAACATGGAAGCATAAAGCAGTTTCCTCTCCAAGTATTTCATGGAATTACTTTCTGGAATTTGTCAGCACTGAACAGCTCCGGCCAACGTATGCTATAAATTATTGTGGTCAAATACTCAGAAATGCTTTTATTGTCCAAGCCTTCATTTACAAATAAACGGTATTTTATTTTGAAAATAATTTAAAAACAAAGAAGAGTAACTATTTTACTAATAAAAGAATATTTAAAGTATTAAAGGACTCTAAATTCTCTTTACTCTCTTTTGAAATTGCCTTTTTTTAAAATTTAAAAACAGCACATATTCATTATAAAAATGTAGAAAACACAGGAAGGGACAATGATGAAAATAAGCATCACCTTTAATTATACTAATTGTTAGGATTTTGTTGTATAGATTTCTGATATTCTTCTTAGAATATTAACAAATATGTATCTTTTAAACAGTGACTATACTCCATTTTGATAACTATTTAAAAAATTTAATATTATGAGGAGTATTTTCTACATGTCATTAAATATTTTCCTATAATGATATTAAATGTATTCCTGCTGTTACATCATTTGGATGTGTCATGCTTTATTGACCAATTCTTCACTACTGAGTGTTGAAATGTATTCAAAGAAATGTTTGTTAAGACACATAATTTTTGGGTCAAGAAGTTTGTGAAATTTTAAGACCTTTAATATATACTACAGATTGTCTTTTAGAAAATTCCATTGATGTCTATGCTTACCTTGCAATAGTTGCCACTATAAGATTAAGGAAATTTTATTAGTAAGAGGTTATTAAAAATACTTTGGGCCATTTGTATTACTTCTTTTTTGTGTGTTGTCTCCTTAAGGCATTAGAAATGGAATAACAGGACTGGGCACAATGGCCACACCTGTACTCCCAGCACTTTAGGAGGCTGAGGTGGAAGGGTTGCTTGACTGCAGGAGTTCAAGACCAGTCTGCACAATATAGGGAGACCCCCATCCCTACAACAGATAAAGATAAATTATCTGGGCGTGGTGGTGTGTGTGCCTGTGGTGCCAGCTACTTGAAAGGCTGAAGCAAGAGGATCACTTGAATTTGGGAGGTTGAGGCTGCAGTGAGCTCTGATTGTGCCACTGCACTCCAGCCTGGGTGACAGAGCAAGACCCTGTCTCAAGAAAAAAAAAAAAAGAAAAGAAATAGAAAAATAAATTTTCATCTTCATATGTATGCCCCATTTTTCTATGAGAATCTTATTAATTTGTAAGTACTCCTCATATACAAAGAGTATTAATTTTTTATCTTATGTTGCAAATAATTTTCCCATTTTGTCATTTACATTTTATTTTTGTTTATGTTTTGGATATACTGCCATTAAAAAATTTTAAGTAGTCTAGGAGGCTCTTAATTTTTTAACTCTCTACTTTTGTCATGCTTAGAAGTAACTTCATGTTGGGAGAAAATATATGGATATCTATATTATCACCTAGTCTTATATTTCTTTTTAAATATTTAAATCTTTATTTTAGAATATATGTTGTCGGTTAATCTTTCCGTCTTTTCTTGTGCTGATGCATACTTTTAAAGTTATTGTACCTTTGTAATGTGTTGGTATCCACTAAGGCAAGACCTCCCTTCATTATTACAGTTTTGACTAGTCCAGGTCTTTAAGTTTTTGGTCACATTCCAGGAACAAAAAGTTCTCTTGTCTTAAATGGCATATGGTATAATGGAGGAGTAACAAAAGTTCCTTCTCTCAAAACTTTGTAAAACAAACAACAACAAAAAGAACAGTTTATCTCTAATGAAGCAAGGAAATGGTGCCAGCTTCCAAACACAAATTATGAAGGTTTTTTTTTTTTTTTTTTTTGAGTACTGTGAAGTTTGGATGTAGGGGAGGGAGGATCCTGAAGACTGACATGTGTTTCCTTGGATTCTGAGCAGGACAGAGATTTCTGTAAGGATGTCCTATGTAATAAACTTTTTAAAGAACAGTGAAATTGGTGGCCCTGAGTGGGTCTTGGAAAAAGCAGGTATTGTCCCCAAAAAGGCCTAGTTTGACACCAAAAATGACATGGTACATAGAATTGAAAGGGAACCCTTATTGACCAAAAATTGGATTGTCCATTTGTACAAAACAGCCTCCTACAGAGGGAGATTGGTGCAGATGAAATGGGATGAAGGGGTGGGTGGGTGGAAGAGCAACCCTTTCCATAACAAAGAGACTGTAGGTTAGGGGCTCTCTTGAGATCCCTGATGACTTTTGAATGCTGAAAATGAAGAGAAGATAGGACTCCAGAGAAAAGAAAATAACATATTTAGTGATAGGATTAACCAAACACCAAAGCATAGTGGAAGTTAGGGACTACTCTATTCATTTTCTGTCTCGTACCCCATGTCCTCTTTATGCTGCTCTTCAGCTTGAAACAACAAAAATAAGTGCCATGGAATAAGCAATTGGGAACATGCTAGACAAAATATACACCCAACAAGATGAAATGTAAAAAACAAAAATATACAAATGGTGATAGAAAAATGATGACAAAGGAGGCCCAACATATGCATAGTTAATATTTTTGAAAAAGAGAACAGAAAATATTCAACAATATAATTAAGGAAAACTTTTCTCACTCTTTTTTTTCAGGTCATTGTAAATATTGATTCTGTTTTTTTGGTATTGAGTATTACTGAAGAGAAGTCTGTGGTCAATCTGATATTTTCTCTTTTTTTTTTCTCACTTTGACACTATACCTACATGATTTCTTCCTTATTCTGAAGTGTCATATCAGGACATGATATAAACAATTTTTATGTAAATTATTTTTTATTTCTGTGTGTATGTGTGTTTGTGTTTCAGTAACTTTAAAAAATGGGGTCATCAAATATGTAATGTTTTCATTTTTATTTTTGCTATTCTTTTCCTAAGCTCACTTTTTCTGTTGTCTTGAAATGTTTCCTTTAAACTCATATTTCTACCTGAGCTTTTAAAAAGGGAGATCAAGTTGTCCATAATGTATTTTTGACTTTTTTTTGAGTAATTTATTTAGTAATACATGTTCTTTGACTACATTTTGGTTCTGTTTCTTGCTATTTTTAAAAATTTGTGTGCATCAATCTTGTGAACATTCTGTTCTGATGGGTATTCTCTTCTTAATGGGGCTCTGCTCTGTGTGTCTCCCATCCTCCTTGGACCAAGAGACTAACCAGAACATATTTTTTTTCTTGGTAATGATAGAGATACAAAAAACCCAAATGCACATGAGTCTTTTAAGCTTCTGCTTATGTCATTTCTGCTAACATCCCACTGGCCAAAGCAGCTCACACAGCTGAAGCCAAAGTCAGGGAATAGGGAAACATCCTTACCTACTATGAGGCCAGAGGGCAGAGCAAATTATACAGCCTTGTCCGATGTTATTAGGGCAGGGGAGTGTGCTCCACCCATGGAGATTTTCTGTATCTCTGTGTGTTGGAGGAGTGAGTATTTATTTATTTTTTTTAGACGGAGTCTCACTCGGCTGCCCAGCCTGGAGTGCAGTGGCGCAGTCTTGGCTCACTGCAACCTCCGCCTCCTGGGTTCAAGCGATTCTCCTGCCTTAGCCACCCCAGTAGCTGGGATTACAGTTGTGCACCACCACGCGCGGCTAATTTTTGTATTTTTAGTAGAGACGGGGTTTCACCATATTGGCCAGGCTGGTCTGGAACTCCTGACCTTGTGATCTGCCCGCATCGGCCTCCCAAAGTACTGAGATCACAGGCGTGAGCCACTGCACCTGGCCGGGAGTGAGGTTTTTTTTTTTTTTTTTTTTTTTTTTTTTTTTGAGACAGAGTCTTGCTCTGTCTCCCAGGCTGGAGTGCTGTGGCGTGATCTCGGCTCGCTGCAAGCTCTGCCTCCTGGGTTCACTCCATTCTCCTGCCTCAGCCTCCTGAGTAGCTGGGACTACAGGTGCCCGCCACCACGCCCGGCTAATTTTTTTGTATTTTTAGTAGAGACGGGGTTTCACCCTGTTAGCCAGGATGGTCTCAATCTCCTGACGTCGTGATCTGTCCGCCTCGGCCTCCCAAAGTGCTGGGATTACAGGTGTGAGCCACCGCGCCCGGCCAGGAGTGAGTATTTTTGAAAAATAATCTACTCTACTGTTGTGGCAGGCTTTTCTTTAAGGCAGCCTAGTTCCAGAGAGCATGCTTTAATCACTATACTCTCACAACCCTCATAAATGAAATTATGACTTTGGGAGGAGTTGACACAAATCAGGTCTCCCTGATCTGCCACAGCCTTACTTCATGAAATAGTTGTTTATACAACATAGGGGCTGAGCATGGTGGCTCACGCTTGTAATCCCAGCACTTTGGGAGGCCAAGGCGGGCAGATCACCTGAGGTTGGGAGTTCGAGACCAGCCTGGCCAACATGGTGAAATCTCATCTCTACTAAAAATACAAAAATTAGCCAAGCTTGGTGGTGCACGCCTGTAGTCCCAGCTACTTGGGAGGCTGAGGCAGGAGAATTATTTGAACCTGGGAGGCAGAGGTTGCAGTGAGCTGAGATTGCGCCACTGCACTCCAGCCTGGGTGACAGTGAGAGACTCTGTCTCCAAAAAAAAAAAAAAAAAAAAAAAAAGAACAGAAAAAGAAAGATGTTCATAAATTATAGGAAGAAGCTTTGATTCTTTATTTACTATCTCACTCATAATCCTAACTCTAACCCTAGACCAAAGTCTGTAGCAGTAGAAATCCAGAAAATAATTCCTCTTAATCCCCTAAGTCAGTGGTGTTATTTAAATTTTTTGACTGTGACTCACAGGAAGAAATGCATTTTATATTATGACCACACACACACACACATATGCACACGTATGTTTTTCATAATACTTAAACAAAAGTTTTGGGAAACAATACTTAATCCTATTTGTTTTTCTTTTCCATTCTATTTCATTTCATTCTATTCCAATTGATTCCATGAAAAAATGGCTAAGACCTAATCAATTCATTTTATAACCCACTAATGGAATGTATTCACAGTGTGAAAAAATACTGCTCTGGTTAATAGACCCCATTCTCTGTCTACCTGTGTGTGTATTGAGGTTGGTATCTGGTAACTGAGACACTTAGCACAACTGCCTGATTCTGGTCAACTGATGTCTATTGTAACTCTGCTCTCCTGGGATGGTATCTCCTGGGCTAAACCAACTATTGCCAATGGTGTGCAGATACAACTATAATTTCCAGCATGCTTAGTAATTAGCGTTCTTCAGAGCTATCTAGATGTTCATATTCTTTCACTCCTTTGACCTAGTAACATGAGGAAACATAGTAATAGGTTTCTGAATATTGAATCATCCTTGTGTTCCTGGCATTAACTGTACTTGGCCATGATATATTGTTTTTTTTAATATTCAGCTGGATTTGGTTTGCAAATATTTTATTGAAAATTACTACATCTGTATTCATAAGAGATGTTGGTTTGTACTATATTTTTCAGGTTTTTATATCAAGATTTTCAGTAACCTCATAAAATGCATTGGGTACTTTTCATAATTTTCATTTCCTGGGTCTGTTTAAATTGCACAGAAATAACCTGTTTCTTGAAGGTTGGAAAGAACTTGCCAATAAAATAAAGAGGGCACAGAACTTTTTGGGGGCAGCCCTTCTTTGACGTCCTCTTTACTTTTTATACAATTGTTGGTGTGTTCGGGATTTCTCCAGATTCTTTAATCCAATTTGATCAATATAAAATACAAAAAGATAATTTGTATTTTCCTAGAAGCCTTCTGGACAGCAAAGGCAAATATTTTATACTATTTTAAAATATTTTCAAGTTATTTTGCAGTGATATTTTGATTTATTCTCTCTTCAGAGAATGTGGGTTTTATTTAGTCTCATTTTTTGAAATGTTGTAAGGTGCTCAATTTTATGTGTATCCCAAGGATATTTGATAGTTGGACATTTTGTAAATTTTCACAGCTATTTGACAATAAATTATATTCTCTGCATTGAAGAATATTGTTCTGCTGTCCCCGACTCTTCTTTACTAGTTCTCTCCCTCTGCTTTTGCACTCCCATACTAATTCCCCTTTAGCTCTAGTGGGGAGCAATCTAACTCTTTTGTTTTCTTGTCTCCTATTGATCTGTGTCCTTAGGAGCTCTGCCAACAAATGCTTGCCTAGCTGTTTTTGTAAGCAAAGATACTTCTCTCCTTAAGAGGAATAATGGGCCTAGCTGTTGGGTAAGATTAAATTCTGCTTTCCAATTTGCTGATTTTGCCTCTGGGTTGCTTTTTAGTTTTTACAATATTATCAATAAAGGATATTTAACGCCTTTGTGCAACAAGCATTTCTCTTTATTACTAAGTTGTACCATTAGTAGCCTGGGAGAGTGTCTTGCGACCTATACTCACTCGCATTTGATGTCACTAATAAAATGTTAACTCCATAGAATCCTGGGCATTTTAAACCCTGTCACCCTTAAATCCAAATAGAAGTGACCACCCTGGGAATCAGAGTAGAGAATTCTGAGGGTTGGTATAGCTCATTTAGGAGTACATTTTAAGCTATGTTATAAAATGGATACTCTGAGTCTATAGTTTGTGAAAAGAGTGACCCATATATGTTAGAATGCAAAAATAAGGTGTCAGTGAAGCAGGGGTGTAAATCATAAGCAAAGCTTGCTGGTGCTCCAGGGGGTCTGGAAGATAGGACTCAAAGTGTGTTTGGAAAGGAGAAAGCACTATTGACATCTTTTGCTAAGGTGAAGGCAGGGCCTGTGAAGAGGCTCTTCCTGCCTGGATGGGTATTCTCCGTGAAGCTGAGGGATGACTGCCCATTTGCTGGGTGTGCAGATTGTAGATCGTAGCAGAAAGAAGCCAGCCTGAATGTGAGGGACATGCCTGCCCTTCTGGAGGAAAGTTGCCCATTTGTTGGCAGTCATTTGTAATCATTATTCCTCCAGTTGAGAGAGAAGAGAAAAGAGGTGTGGGATGGGCAGATGAAACAAGTCCAACACCCTTTACTGTTCAACCCAAATTCCTTTCAAAGCAAACACTTCACACTTAGAATGCAGAGCCTCGTTTCCAAAGAACAGGGATAGGTGGGACATTTGCAACGTTGCTTCCTTGTGCCATGACTCTCCAAGGGAAACAGACCTTCCCAGAGCCCAGTCAGGCCTTTGCTGGGGGCCTGAGCAGTGGCCTTACTTCTTAGGACAGGCTTTGTGGGTTTGCATCTTGGAGGT
Source organism: Homo sapiens (assembly GCF_000001405.40). Taxonomy (NCBI): domain Eukaryota; kingdom Metazoa; phylum Chordata; class Mammalia; order Primates; family Hominidae; genus Homo; species Homo sapiens. Next base: position 278,687 of record NW_025791797.1, read on the forward strand.
AGACCGGTGGCTTTGAGCTGACCTTGGAGCTCTCCTTCCCGTCCCTGGGAGGTCCAGCATGTGGCAGGCATCATTGTTCACAGCTCCAGAGGTGGAGCACTTATGCTGCACCCTCTGTAAATCCTTTCTGGGATGCATTAGCAGCTTCCATTGTCAGAGCCAGGAAAGCATTTTGGTGCATGGAGCAAAGAAGGAATGCATGGAGTGGCAGGCGGCCATGATCTGGCAGGCGCTGTTCAGGCCCTGTTTGTGAGAGGGCTGTTCACCTAGGTGGTGCCTTCTATGCACCTGGCTGATGTCTGGTGGGTCTTTAGCAGTGCGCTTAGCAACCAGACACTTTAAAAGATAACAGAGCTTTTGGGGAGAGGGAGAGAAACCCAGCCTACACCATGGAATGAACTAGCCACTGTTTATTATAGTGTTAATTGATAAACGAATAGACAGGCACACATACATAATTGTACGACACAGAGCAAGATAGATAATGTACTGATTGCTATCCTCAGTTTTTCCCCAGTAGAGCATTGGTGAGTCCCTAGAGTGTGACAGGCCAAGGTGGTGTCTCAGTCTGTTGGCATCATTGCTGGGTTTTTTTTCTATGCTGTCTGCTGACCCTCTCTCATGCCCTTCCCAGGACACAGAGTGCATTGAGTAAGCCTTGGCTCCCAAGATGCTTCATTGGCCAGCCCTGGGGTAGTGTCCTAGATGTTAACAGTTTTTTTTCCACTCTAGGAATAACCAAGGGAAGTTTGTCCTTCAAAAGACACATGGCACGCAGGACATAGGCATCTTTTTTAAGCTGTCATGTGGAAGTACTCACTGACCTCAGAGCTCTGTTTTGTAACATAGGATTAGCACATAATTCTGAGGTGCAATTAATGAATCCATTGACTGACAATCCCTGATAAGGTCAAGAAAGAAAGCTATCTTAAGAGAAACTAATATGAGACTAGGGTTGGCACCAGAAGTGCAAGTGGAGTCCTCATCTGTATTCAGCATTTAGAATTCATGGCTTCTTCTCTGCTTTCTGTTTGTAAGGTTGTTGTATACTGCGGACTTTTAGCTTCTTTAATATGAAATGTGTGGTTTGTAAATATTTTCTCCCAGTATGTAGCTTGATTCTTTTACCCTCTTATAGGTTTTTATTTTTTATTTTTATGTTTTTTTTTTTTTGGAGAGGAAAAGTTATAAATTTTGGTGAAGTTCTATTTATCAAATTTTTTCACTTATAGATCATGGTTTTTGGTGTCATGGCTAAGAATGCTTTGCCTACCCTAAGTCCTGAAGATTTTCTCCTATGTTTTCTTCTAAATATTTTATAGTTTTATATTTTATATTTAAGTAAATGATCCATTTTGAATTAATTTGTTCATACAGTGTGAGGTTAAGGTCACATCTTACGTTATATGGTGTGAGGTTAAGGTCAAGACTCACTTTTGCCTATGATGTCCAATTGCACCATCGTCATTTCTTGAAAAGACATTCATCCTCCATTACATTACTTTTGCTCCTTTGTCAAAAATTAGTTGAGGGTATTTGTTTGGGTCTATTTTCAGATTCTTCATTTTGTTCCATTGATCTATGTATCTATTTGTCCTACTGTGTCACACTATCTTGATTACTGTAGCTTTACAGTAAGTCTTAGAGTGATTCCTCTTTATTATTCTTTATCAAAATTATTTTAACTCTTCTAGATTCTTTGCATTTCCATGTAAGTTTTGCTTGTCTATATATAAACATATATATACACACATATACATATACACATATATACATATATACACACATATATACATATATACACATATATATACATATATACACACATATATACATATATACACACATATATACATATATACACACATATATACATATATATATATATATATATATAAATCTTGCTGGAATTTTGATAGGAATTGTGTTAAACCTATAGGTCGCTTTTGGGGGAGGATAAACATTTTTACTGTGTTGAGTCTTCCCAATCCATGAATATGGTCTGTCTCTTCATTATGTAGCTGTTTCTTGACTTCTATCATAATGTTTTGTAAAATTCTGAACAATCCTTGTTGGATTTATAATTACATATTCTATATTTTTTTGGAGTGATGGTAAATGGTGGTGGGTTTTTCATTTCATTACCCATCTGTTGGTTGCTAATACACAGAAATACAATTGATTTTTGTGTATTGATCTTGTATCTTGCAACCTTTCTGAAATCATATACTGGTTCTAGGAAGGGTTCTTTTTTAGATTTCTTGGGATTCTCTACATAGACAAAGGGATATAAGACCTAAAATTAACAACCAATACTATGTGCTGCCTTGATATCTGGTGAAACTAGGAGGTCCTTGAATGGCTTAATGTTAAGTTTCTCTCCCTAATCCATTCCCATGGGTAAGGTCCATGGAAGAATTTTTTTTAAATCATGAATAGGTGTTTAATTATGTGAAATGCTCTTTTCCGCATCAGTTTATATGATCACATGATTTATCTTTTTTTCTTTTAATGCTGTTGATTTGATGTATTACATTGATTTTCAGGTATTGAACCAGCCTTGCATCCCTGAAATAAACTCCACTTGGTCATGGCCTATCATTCTTTTTATATATATTGCTGAATTCTATTTACTAATATTTTGTTGAGAATTTTTGCATCTAAATTCATGAGAGATATTCACGTGCTGTTTTCTTTTTTTTTTTTTTTGTCCTGTCATTGTCTGGTTTTAGTACTATCTTCATAAAATGAGTTGGAGAGTGTTCTCTCTTCTGTTTCCTGAAGAGATTGGTGTTCTTTACATGTTTGGTATAATTCTCCAGTGAAACTTGGATATTTCATTTTTGACAGATTTTAAACTGTGAACTCAATTTCCTTAACAGTTATATAGTATTATTCAGGTTATCTATTTTATATTGAGTGAATTTTGGTATTTTTTGTTTTTCAAGGAATGGGTCTATTTCAAATTGTTGAATTTTTCTGTGTAGAATTGTTTGTTGCATTTCCTTGTTATCCTTTTAATGGTTGCAGGATCTGTAGTGATACCCATTTCATTCCTGATATTTGAAGTTTGCATTTTTTCTCTTTTATTCTTTGTAATATTGCTTACTTTTTTCTTTGTCAGCTTATTGTTTTGTTGATCTTTAAAAAGAATTAGGTTTTTGTTTTATACATTTCCTCTGTTGTTTTTCTGTTTTCTATTTCAGTGAATTTTGCTCTTTATTATTTTCTTCCTTCTGGTCACTTTTTTTCTCCCTCTGTTTTCCATTTTCTTGGGGGTAGGATTAGATTATTGATTTGAGATCTTTTCTTTTTTTTCTAATGCAAGCATTTAGTGCTATAAATTTCTCTCTCTGTAACTGAGTTTGCCATACCACAAAATTTGATATGTTTTACTTTCATTTTCATTCTTATTAAACAATATTTTTAAGCTTTCCTTTGTGCTATGTTCTCAATGTTTGTGTCCATCCACCTCCAAATTCATATGTTAAAATCTTACCCTTTGGCCAGGCGTGGTGGCTGACACCTGTAATCCTAGCACTTTGGGAGGCTGAGGTGGGCGGATCATGAGGTCAGGAGATCGAGACCATCCTGGCTAACATGGTGAAACCCCGTCTCTGCTAAAAATACAAAAAATTAGCCGGGCTTGGTGGTGGGCGCCTGTAGTCCCAGCTACTCAGGAGGCTGAGGCAGGAGAATGGCGTGAACCCGGGAAGGGGAGCTTGCAGTGAGCGGAGATTGCACCGCTGCACTCCAGCCTGGGCGACAGAGTAACACTCCATCTCAACAACAACAACAATAACAAAATCCTACCCTCCAAGGTTATGGTATTAGGAAGTGGGAGGTGATCAACTCATGAGGGCAAGCCCTCCTGAATGAGATCAATGCCCTTATAAAATAGGCCAAAAGGCGCTTGTTTGCCCCTTCTTCCACGTGAAAACACAGTGAGAAGACACATCTATGAACCAGAGAGTAGGCCCTCACCAGATACTGGACTTGCTGGAACCATGATCTTGGACCTCCCACTCTCCAGAACTGTGAGAAATACATTTCTGTTTTTTATAAACTACCCAGTTTGTGATATTTTGTTAAAGCATCCCAAATGGACTAAGACATTTTGAGAATTTCTCTTTGACTCATGGATTATTTAGAAACATGTTATTTACTTTCCCAGTGTTTGGAAATTTTCCTGTTACCTTTCTGTTACTGATTTCTAGTTTTATTCCATTGTGGTCAAATAATAGACTCTGTCTGATTTTAATCCTTTTAAATTCACTGAAGTTTGTTTTGTGTCCAATAATATGGTCTGTTTTGGTGAATGTTCCATGGGCACTCTTGAAAAAAATGTGTATTCTGCTGTTGTTGGGTGGAGTGTTCTTTAGATGTCAATTAGATTTTGTTGGTTGATGGCGTTGTTTAGTTCTTCTATAATCTTGCTGATTTTCTATCTAGTTATTCAAAATTGCTGAGAGAGAGATGATGAAATCCTCAAGTATAGTTTCATTGAGTATAATTTTTCTTTCAGTTTTATCAGTTTTTGCTTCAAATATTTTGAAACTTTGTTGTTTGGTGCATACACATTTAGAATTCCTATGTCTTCTTGGTGGTAGAACTTTGCTCTATGTCTCCGATATTTTTCTTTACTCTGAGGTTTACTTTATCTAATATGAATGTAGCCACTTCTTTTAAAAATTACTATGAAATATATTATTAGCATAGTATATGTGTTTTCATCGTTTACTTTGAACCTGCCTACATTATCATATTTGAGGTGAGTTTCTTATAGAGAGCATATGGTTGAGTCATGTTTTTAAAAAATTCATTCTGCCCATCTCTATCTGGTATATCAGTGTATTTGCTGTAATTTGACTATTTACATGAAAAGTAATTATACTAAATAATACTTCAGTTTTCCAGTTTTAAACTTATTTTGTCTTTAGTCTCACTTTTTTTTGTTCTGCTGTTTCCCTTTTCTTGCCTTCCTGTGGGTTACTTGAATTTTTTTTTTAAGATTGGATGTTGATTTTTCTATGGGAGTTTTCATTTTCTCTCTCTCTCTCTCTGTCTCTCTCTATTTCTCTCCCTGCCTCTCCCCTTCCTGCTTTATCTTATTAAAGTCTACTGATACCAACTTTACCACCTCACTTAGTGTAGAAACCTTACCTCTATTTAGGTCCCCTTATTCTTTACCCTTTTGAATATAGCTGTCTTAATATGTCCTCAATATAGTTTGAGCACCACATCAGATGACATAATTTTTGTTTCAACTGTCAAATACGTTTAACAAACTCATAAGGAGAAGGATATTCTATTATCTTCACCCCTATTTTTGCCCATTAATTGTTGTTTCTTCCTTCCAAGAGTTTTGAAGCCATCTTCTGTTATTTTATCCTTTCTTTTTGGAACACTTCTTTTATCTCTTCTTTAATGGTAGGCCTTCTGGTGACAAATTCTTAGTTTTGCTTCATTTGAGAATGTCTTGATTCCAGAAGGATATTTTTGCTGGATATAGAATTATAGGCTAAGAGTTCCCCTCTCTTTTTTAGCACTTGAAACACGTTGTGCTACTGCCTTCTGTCTCTGTGGTTTCAGATGAGAAATTTAATGTTATTCAAATTGTTTTTTTCCTGTAGGTAATGCATTGTTTCTCTCTAGCTGATTTTTAGATTTTTGTTTGTCCTTAGATTTGAAATGTTTAATAGTGATATATCTTCTTGTAGTTCTTTGGGTTTATGCTGTTTAGAATTCAGATTATTGAATCTTTAGTTTTAGTCTTTTCCCCCAAATTGGGAAAATTTTAGCCATTATTTCTTCAAGTGTTATTTTAGGCAATATATATATTGCCTAATATATATATTATATATATATTGTGTATATATATAACATTAATATATATGTATATATAATATATATTTATATAATATAAAATATAAATATATATAAATATATATATAAAATATAAATATATTATGACCATATTATTGGATACAAAACAAACTTCAGTGAATTTAAAAGGAAATATATATTTTATATATATATATTTCTTCTCCTTTTTGTTCTGTGATAGTGAAAGTATCATATCCTTTGTTATTCTCCCATAGGCCTCAGATGTTCTGTTTATTTTATTTTCAGTATATTTTCTTTCTGTTGTTCATATTAAGTAATTTCTCTTGATTTTTGTTGAAGTATACTGATCTGTCATCTCAGTGTGCTAAAAACCTCTATCCAGTGAGGTTTTAAAAATTTTTTAAATTTAAGATATTGCGTTTTCAGTTCTGTAATTTCTATTTGGGTTTTAAAACATATCTTCTATTTCTTTTATGAGATTTTCTATTTTTTGTTTGTTTCAAGAGTGCTCATAATTGCTCATAGAAACATTTTTAAGATGGCTGCTTTAACATCATTGGCAGATAATTTGAACATCTGAGTTCATTTCAGTGTAGGTATCTGTTGATTGTCTTTTCCCATTTAAGTTATTTTCCTAATTCGTAGTATAAAAAGTGATTTTTAAATTATATCCTAAACATTTTGAGTATTATGAGACTCTGGATCTTATTTGATTCAATTTAAATCTATCTTCTATTTCAGCAGACAGTGATCATGTTTAGATCTAGTGTGTAGGTCCCTGCCTCCTTTCGTAGGCCATAATTATAAGAGTTTAATTTTTAGTGCCCTGCAATGCTACTCTGATCTGCTTCATTCACATGCAGTGGTATTCCACACAGTAGTTCAGTTCTCAAACCTTTTGTATTGTTAATTCTGGTCAGTTTCATGTGTGAGTTGGTTAGGGGTCTGCCTAGAGCTTTATGTGAAGTTTTAAGGATTTCCTTTCTCCAGCTCCCTTCTCTCCAAGTTGTGCCTCCCCAGCCCCCACTCTATTTGTGAGGGAGAGGAGCACCGCCTGCCACCACTGGGTAAGGGTGGAAGTCCAGGCTTCTCACTTCATCTCAGCAGATATTGTCCAGCAGTGGTTAAGGGGAGTGTTACTCTGTGTTACCCATTATTACCAGGATTAAGGTGGGAGTCCAAAATCCTGACTTGGTCTTTGCTGACACCATGCCACCATTGGTGGGAGGGTAGCATGTCCCAGAGTGTCCACTACCATTTATTAGGGTGTAGAAATTCAGACTTTTCACTCTTTGCAGGGCAGGAGTTGGGGAAGGCATCCATGGTGTTTGGCTGATGTAAGGGGGTTATTGTCAAAAAGATGTTTGTTGTGCTGGGCTGTCTCCTAGTCCTTTGACTGGAGAGAGCAGGCTTTTATTTCCTTTTTGTCTCTGCTTGTTGGCATTTATGAGTTGCATTGTTCTCTAGCACACAGTCCAGAACATATGGAATGTGAAAGGAAAACCCAGTGAACCCACCACTATATTGTTCCTTAAGTTCTGAGGTTCCTAGCCAGTCTTTTCTCTTCTTTTTACTTTTCAGAGGCTCTTCTTATGATGGTTTGTGTGATTATGTCCAGGGTGTTTAGTTGTATTTGGGTGATGGGCAAGGGGGACATGAGTATACACCATTTTGTCCATAATCCAAGATTCCTTTTTGTAATCTTTGATAATTTCGATACTTTTACTAAGATATGACTAGGTCCTAATTTTTGATTGGCACACCTTAGTTGTTGTTTTTTTTTTTTTTGACTTAGGAATGTTTTCTTCTAGTATGTCTTTAAATATTTTTTCTTCTCTTTTAGTTTTTCTGTTCCCTTCTTTAAGAACATCAATTTTCCATATGTAGATATTGTACTGTTTAATCATCTTTTATAATTTTTGTGTTTTCCTTTTTATCCCTAATTCTCACACTGATCTGCTACTTAACTGACTTAATTTTCTGTAATGTAATTTCTGCTCTGTACCTTTTCTGGTGCTTTAAGACATTATTTCCTTTCATTATTTTTTTATACTAGCTCTTTTTTAAATTTCAAATTATTGTCTTAATAAGATATTGTTCATGGTATTATTCATGTCTTATTTTTCAAAGGTCATGTTTTCTTTAATTTCCTTAAGAGTTCAAAGCAAATGTTATCCAAAATTTAGTTTATTTTCTAGAATAAAAATTTAAAACATTTTCTCTTACAGATTACATTATTATTATTTTAATGCTACAGATTCTCGTAGTTTTCAAGTTGGTTTTATTCCTGTTTACATATTCTTCAATAAGCATTTGCAATAGCCCTATCACTATTTGCAGTATTCCCCAAACTTGGGAGGCACACTTTTCCTTGGATCTGATACCAGCTAGAATAGGCTATATCATGCTTCAGTAACAAATAATCAAAATATTTTAGTGACATAATACAGAAAGGATTTTTTCTTGTTCATTTACATATCTATCACATTTCTCCTCAGTGCTGTTGCCATCTGAAACATTGCAGATTTCCATGTCAGAGGAAAATAGAAAATGTGGCAAATTGGGTGCTTGATCTTAAAGACTTCTGAATAGAGGTGACACGTCATTTATATTTTGTTAGTTAAAATAAGTCATGTGGACATACTTAACTTCAAAGGGATGGGGTCGTGCACTTCTATCATGGACCCAGGAGGAGAACTGAAAATATTTAGTGAGAAGCACTAATGGCTACCATAGATCCACCGTTGTTTGCTTTTGTGCCCTAGAAATTCATCTTTAAGGTGATCAAGAATGGATTCGGGATTAATGTTAGGCAAATATTTGCCAGCCTAGACATATCAATAGTTCTGGTTGACATTTCTCTGATTGGTTAGTGCCTGTGGATTAAATAGTTTGAATAGCACTCTAAAAGGGCTGGCTGTGGAAGCTGGGGTCATGGACAGCCCTAACTACAGACTCACATTGGATGTGGTCGACTTGCTTTCCCAATTTCCCTAACTGCTGTCGGTGCATGGTAAGAGAAAGAGAGAGACCTCAAGTGAAGGTGTTCCCGTCTCCCCTGTGCCCTGTCATGGTCTTCAGCTGCTAACCCTCCATATCAAGGATACTTCTAGAATTTTATTTATTTACTCCCCATAACATTGCTCCTCTTTTCCTAAGAATGGACATTTAAAAATCTGTCCTTAGTGACTTCTTTTTTTATTTGATCCTACCTGTACTTGATCTAGCAAAAACACCTTAAAATTTGTGTTGTATAGTTGGCATTGTTTCCAATTTCAGAACTATTTTTGATATTCTCTTGTTCTGTTTTTCTTCAGTTGTTTTGGACAATTTCTGGCTAGAGACGCTTGGGTATCTTAGTTACCTGAATGCTGGCATCTTGACTCTGTGACCCTGGGAGAGGGCTCTTGGCTGTATGTAGCAGGCTTCTCTGTATTCTCTCTGGCATAATTTATGGTTGGCCAGTTGATTTAGAGACTCAGGGATGGGATAAAGAGAGCATCAGAGATCATGGAGCCTGAGACAGACCTGCCCAAGGTTCACAGGACAAGTGAGGGTCAGAACTAATAGCAGATCTACACCTATAGCTCACCAGATGTCTTGTTCTGGAAAACCTGTGGTATCCAGACCAGAAGGTAGCAGGTAGGGGACTCTACTTGTCACACTACCTTAGATGCATTTACCTTTGCTCTTTCTCTGTCGTATGTCACTCTTTCACCATCCCATTCTTCTATTCCATGTCTTTTTATCCTTTTTCTCTGAGATATGTTAGGTCTTCCAGAAGAGCCTACCAATGTCACTCGTCCTTGCTGTTGGCACAAATGGCTGAGTAGATTGATGACTAGTATATTGGAAGAGGAACTAAGTTGGTGTCTCATGGGAGAACATTGGTGTTAAAGGGTAAGGAGATTCAGTGTTTGTTTATTGTACAAGGAAGCATGATAGTGCCGTAGTCTAAATAATACTAATTGGTGTTTCCCTTGGCTTGGCCTGAATCACACTGTTTTCCTTAAATTTTCCATTAGAGAGCAGATGTCATCTAATGACTTTCCTACAAATGTTTGCTTTCTTAGAAGTGAGCTATGTTTATTTCTTCAGTTACAAAAATGTGTTGTTTATAACTCGTAAAGAAATGTGACTCTATTCTGATTTGCCTCCCATTAACTTTTCTCCCTGGGTGATTACCCAGCCTATTGTCTGGTGGACTAAACTGCCTAGTGGTGAGAAAGACATCCCAGGCAGGCCATCAAAGCTTGCCTGATGTTTTTCAGAGGTTTAAGAGTACAAGGAAATTCACTTGGAAATATTTGGACTTTGGCCACAAATTCAATTTAAGGCATTGGCTCAACAAAACTGGTCATTCCTTTGAGCCAAGATGAAACCAGCATTAGTGGGGAGAATGAAAGATGGTTGATACTTGCTCAGACCTTCTGTGTGCAGCCATGAAGATAGGTATTACTGAGTTTTTACTTTACCCTTGCATGTGGCTTGTTGTTTCCTCCAAATAGTGTGGCCAATTGTGTATTCAGGCTGTAGTCAAACTGAACTTGCACTGCTCCATGCTTTCCTCTTCTTATTTTCCCCTCCTCTCAGTCCTTCCTCCCTGCTCCTCTATTGTTAATCCTAGCTATCCTTCAACACTCAAGACATCCACAAAGTCTTTCCCAATCCTCCCACTGGCATACATCTCCCCGTTTTTGTATCCCATCATGTAATTATTTCTACACATGTCTTTTCTCCTTCGTTGGACTTCCCATTTGACTTTTCTTCCCCATTCCTTGAGGTCTATGTCTATTTTACCTTTGGGCCCCTCACACAATCTAGAGCAGATCCTGGGACATAATGAAGACTCATTTGAGCATATGGTATCTGTCTGGAAGAAGTCCACGTCAAATTGAGGAGGTAAGTAGGCAACAGGACCTAAGTAGCAGAAAACAGTTCCTGGCAGCCTTGTTGCATCTGGAGTCCCTGTCCATCCAGTACTGTACCCGGCGCCTCCTTCACACCCTCAGTCTCTAAGGTCAGTAGCGCTCCATTCCATGGCCCTTTCCACACTTGTCTCATACTTTCAACACCTGAGCTTCTCATATAGGAGCTGCTATTGTTTTCTCATACAGCTGTGTTTTTCCCTAAGACATCTTAAAGATCTGGCTTAGGCTTTGACAGCCTGACACTTAATCATTTTGTTTTTGTTTTCTCATTCTGCTTTTAGTAAAAACATTTATGTTTTCTCCCTTGCATAATAGTATTTTAGGCCATACATATGTCCCCGGCTAAAAACTTCACGTTGGTATTCCAACCTTAGAGCTTCATAGTAGATTTGAAACCTGAAGCAAAGATTACTTGTTTACAACCTATCAAGGATAACATTAATTTATCTTGTCAGCATCCTTGCTTATGTCTCATAGATATTATAAGTTTTTGGAGATTTCTGCTTAGTTTGTTAATAATTAAATGGATTAAATAAATAATACAGACACACACATTTACCACTTCCCAGTTTGCAAAATAAAACTTTGTCAACACAAAACCCTAGCCACATTTTCCTTTTCCTCTCCCTTTTGTCTTCAGAGGAAATGACCATTCTGAATTTTAAGTTTATAATTTCTTTCCTGTTCTTTATACTTTTGCTACATATTTCTAAACAAAATATACATTGTTATTTTGTACTTTTAAAACTTTATATAAATGGCTAGGACTTGAAGTTCCAGCCACTTGGGAGTCTGAGGGAGGAGGATCACTTGAGGCCAGGAGTTTGAGGCTGTAGTGTGCTATAGTTGTGCCTGTGAATAGCCACTGCACTCCAGCCTGGGTAACATAGCAAGACCCCATCTCTAGGGAAAAAAAACAACCAAAAAACCCACTTTATATAAGACAATTATACTGTGAGTATTCTGTAACGTGCTTCAATTACTGGGCATTATGTTAGTGAGATTATTCATGTTGTTAAATATAGTTTTAATTCATTTATTTTCACTGTTGTGTAGTATCTCACTGTATGAAGACATCAGAATTCTTTATTTATTCTCCTGTTGTACATTTAGTTGTTTTCAATTTTGTTTTTTACAAACAATTCTATATATCTTCTTTATATATGTTCATTTTTCTAAGGTCTATACCTAGGAGTGGAATTGCTGGGGGAAATGATACACCCATCTTGAGGTTTACTAGCTTTTGGAAAAATTATTAGGTAAAATATGGCAACAATGTATAGTTTAACTGAACAATTAAGAATCCTAGTTGTACCATATTATCTTCAGTACTTGATATTGTCGGGCTTTTTCTTTTTTGCCAGTTCATGGTTATAAAATGGTATCTCTTCAGTATTATAATTTATATTGCCCTGATTACTAGTGAAATACCCATCTTTTCATGTTTACTGGCGTTTGCCTTTCTACTTCTGCGAATTGCTTATTCTTTTGCCCTTAAGGGTTTTTTTGTTTTTGTTTTTTCCTTCTTTTAGTTTATTTGTACACATCATTTATGTATTCTGGATACAAATTCTTTGTTGGTTATATACCTTTTCTCAGTCTTTGGCCTGTTTTTTTTATCTTTAATGGTGAACAAAAATGTTTATTTGTATTTATTGTAGTTTCTCTCTAGAAATATAAGCTCTTGGACAGCAGGGCTTTTGGTCTCTTTTGTTCAGTGATGTATCCTAGGTGCCTGGGGCAGTGTGTGACAACTGTCAGATGTTCAGAAATATTTGTTGAATCAGTGAATGGAAGGATGATTACTGATCTTGTCTCTTATAGTTTGCCTTTTTGTGTGTCTTTTTAAAGAAATCCCTTCTTACTTTGATGCCACAAAGATTTCCTCTTATATTTTCTTCTAAATGTTTAACTTCATTTGTTTTTCGCCCAAAGGAAAATTATTTTATATCCTGTATGGCTCTGGGAAGAGGAAATGAATGAGTTTTCCAATGGGCTGTGCCACATTCTAACTGTTATATTAGACAGCTCTCTTTACCTCCAGAACCTCATTTCTTTCCCTCTTTCTCAAACGGAGATGATACTAACTTCCTTGTGCAGGGTTGATGTGAGATTAATTTAGATAAACTATGCCAAGCATCTAGTAGATGCCTGGCATGTCATAGTCATTTAATAAGGTAGCTGTTTCTTCTTTCTCTTTTATCTTCCCTGAGGACAGCAAAATGAAAGTGAGGCCCCAGGAATATGAAACTGCCTTTCCCTGTGACTTCCCCCGGTACGTAGAGAAACCCCGCAATGGGCTCTTTCCAGCCTCTTGCTGGCAGCTAGCTCGTCCTCCCTCCTCCTTCTCCTGGTCTGGCCTCTTCTCCACAGCCTGGGTTTCTGCCCTAAGCCAAGTAGCAGACGCCTCTCTTTTACAACCTGTCACAGACCTCTGAGTAGATGCAGGCAAGCAGCTACACCATTTTTCCTTCTGAACACTTAAAGACGCTTTTCATCAAAACTGAGCTGTTTTTAAAGAAGGGTATAGACCGGTTTTCTCACAAGCAACTTTGTGATTCATTTGCATTTCACTTACTCCTGAACACAACCAATCATATCGGTCAGTGTTTTACTGTGGGCAGCGACTTGCTATGGGAGGGGACAAACAGATTTGTGGTAATGATGAGATATCATCCAAGTGTCAGAAATAGATATAGTCACACTTTGAATTATGCTTGAGTTGCAGCTGCTAAAAATGGAAGAAATGGAAGAAACTTCATGTCTTGGATTATGCACAACATTGCAGTTAGAACATTTGTGCTGTTTTATGGCTTCCTGCTCAGGAATCAAATGATTTAGTTGTTCAGTTTCATTGTGGGATTCTTCTATGTGGTGTTCTTGCAGTTAGGTCTTTTCACAGTGGTTTGAGGTTGGTGGCAGAGCTAATAATTGATGTGTGGGTGGGAGCCCTTCTTAGGTATGGAGTCTGCAATGCCACGAGGTCTTGATTATTCCTTTGTGAAGCCCCTTTAGGTATCATCTCCTTAGTCTTGAACCAAAGACTGCATCTTGGTGAGTAAAATGTATTGGAAACACTTGCCTGACTTAAATCAGTGCCTTTCCTTCTCCTCAGAACTTTTAGGGAAGTAAGAACTACTCCAGGATCTTATATAGCAGCACTGTTCCATAAAAATGTAATGCAAGCCACATATATAACTGTACATTTTCTAGTAGCTGTATTAAAATAAGCTAAAAGGGGTGGGTTCAGTGGCTCACACCTGTAATTCCAGTGCTTTGAGGGGCTGAGGTAGGAGGACTACTTGAGTTGAGGAGTTCGAGATGAGTCTGGGCAACACAGCAGGACCCTGTCTCTACAAACAAACAAACAAACAAACAAACAAACAGTTAGCTGGCATAGTGGAGGTCCTGTTGTCCTGGCTACTTAGGAGGCTGAGGTGGGGGAGTCCCTTGAGCCCAGGAGTTTGAAGTTGCAGTGAGCTATGATTGTACCACTGCACTTCAGCCTGGGCCGCAGAGTGAAACTCTATCTCTAAAATAAAATAAAATTAAATTAAGTTGAAAGTATCAAGTGAAAATTAATTTTAGTAACATATTTCATTTAACTTAATATATCCAAATATTATTTCAACATGTAATCAGTATGAAAATCCTAAATGAGATATTTTACATTACTTTTTGTCCTACTAAGTCTTTTGAAATCAAGTACTTATTTTACATTTTCAGCCCATCTCAATTCAGACTAGCTGCATTTAGAATGTATGATAGCCACGTGTGTCTACTGGCTACTCTACTGAACAGTGCAGCTCTTAGGACTTCCTGGGAAAAGGTGGGATCAGTATATCTTGCCCTATCTTGTTCCTTCCATCACTCAGACCACAGCTAGCTGTTACATCCTCTGTCCTCTTTTGCTTGCAAGGAGATAACCAATGTAGAGTTTAATCTTTACATAGCCTACAGCTTCCCCCTCCCCGTTAACATACTGATAAGCTACATATGATTTCAAAATATCCTTCAATATTACTTCTTAGATTGTGTATGTGAAAGAATATGAAAGCAGCACACCTAGGGGGCCTAGCAGCCAGAAGGAGGAATAACAGGCCATATATCCAGAACAGATGGCTCTTATTGAAACAGTACTGATGGCGGGGATGGAGGAAAACTGGAACAGCCACCAACTAAGAGTATGTAAGGAGATTCCACTACAGCCCAACACCAGTTTTTTAAACTAAAAATCAAATGAGATTTTCCAAGCAAAAATTCAGTGGATGAGTTGAAGGAAAGCCAAGTGGAGGAAATACCATCTAACACAGTGGAAAACCACAAAGTGTAAAGCATGAGGGAAAAGCTAAGAGACTTGGAGAACAGTTTTAGAAGCCTTAACGTTCAAACAATAGAAGCAGCAGGAGGAAAGGAATGGATGGAGAAGGGGCAATAATGAAACAACTGTTAGAAAGTTTCCTTGAATGAAGGAAGACTTGTATCTCAAAGGGTGCACTCTCTGGCTTACAGTCAGGACTGATGAGAAAAGACGCATACTGAGACATATACTTAATCTGTAAAATTTCTAACTTCTAAGGAGGAAGATGAAAAGATTTCTGGAGTTGCCACATTATATTATTTAAACTCTCTAGTTTTCAACCAAACGTTATGAGGCACACAATGAAACAGCAAAGTGTGGCCCATAACATGAAAAGAAAGCCGTTAATAAAAACTGTCTTTTAGGAAGCCAGATGTTGGACATATTAGACAGATACTTTAGATCAGCTGTTACAAATATGTTCAAAAACTCCAGATGAAAGAAAAGTAACTCATAATGGGAAAACAATCTGATTGATAACAGACTCTTTTTTTTTTGCAATTCTTAATTCTAGAAAATAGTGAAATTATATTTATTTGTATATTTTTAACCTTTACGTTCTTTTATTCCTATGGAATTGTTTTAGGTGCATTGAGGGAGGATCTGTGTTTACTCATTTTCCTCCTTATTTATCTATTGAGCTGAAGAATTTATTAAATAATTCACCACTTTCTCATTGATACAAAAAAAACTATCTAGTGTTAAGTATACACATGCATATATATACACACACACACACACACACACACACATACACACACACACATGCCTGATTTAAAACAAAATTAATTTTTTTTGAGACAAGGTCTTGCTCTGTCGCCAGGCTAGAGTGTAGTGGCATGATCTTGGCTCACTGCAGCTTCCACCTCCTGGGCTCAGGTGATCCTCCCATCTCAGCCTCCCAGGTAGCTGGGACTACAGGTGTGTGCCACCACAGCAGGCTAATTTTTTTGTTTTTGTTTTTGCATTTTTTGTAGAGACGGAGTTTCACCATGTTGCCCAGGCTGGTCTCGAACTCCTGGGCTCAAGTGATCCACCCGTCTTGGCCTCCCAAGATGTTGGGATTACAGGTGTGAGCCACTGCACCTGGCCTAAAACTTATTTTATTATAAAATGTATATACAAAAGAATTCATATAACGTGATATTTAAAGGAAGATGGCCATATAAATTTGTGTAGTGCCCAACTGCACAATAATACGTAAGATGGCTCAGTAATAATGACATAGTGAACATGTAGGTACCTACCGTGGAGCTTAGGAAATGGAACAGTATCAATACCTGTGAAGCTTCTTGTATGACTTTTCCTTACTCTCTCCTACTCTCTGCTCAGATGTATGCACAGCAAAGGTGAATTTAGTTTTTATACTTCCTTATCTTTATAGTTTACCATTTGAGTATGTATCCCTAAATAATATATCATTTTTTGCTGTCACTGTTTTGGATTTTATACAAATGGAATCATACCTTGCCTTATTCTGCTCAGTATTGTAGTTTTAAATTTCATCTCTGTTGACCTGTGAAGCTGAGCTCACTCATTTTTACTGCTTTATTGTATTCCAGTGTATAAATACACCACGATTTATTGATTCATTCTACTGTTGATGGTTTATTTTTGTAAAATGTTAGATTTATTTTGTCTTTTATTTAGAAATCTGCCTTCATTTTAGAGTGAGACTGATATGTGATTTTTTTCTTTTATTATTCTTATTTGGTTTTGTTTTCAAGAGCATAATAAACTCATAAGATGAATTATTGGGTGTTCCTTTCTTTTACTATTCTTTGAAAGAGTTTTCTTTTTTTTAAAGATGAGAATTATTTATACTTTGAATGTTGTGTAGAGCACACATGTTTTGTAGGGCACACCTGTAAAACCTTGTGGTTGTATTGTTTTCTTTATGGAAAGAATGTAAAAAACGGATTCCATTTCTTTATTGGTTAAAGGACTATTGAGATTTTCCTCTTCTATTTGGAGTCAGTTTTGGTTAATTACATAGTTTGTCTGAAACTTTGCCACTTGTCCCAATATTTCAAATATATTAGGATAATTTTTTCTTGAGTTCTGAGATATGTTATTTTGTTCTGGTTCATTTTCCTCTCAATCCTCATTGCCCCATCATTTGTCTCCTGGAATGTTACAGCGGCCTCACTAGTTTCCCTGCCTTCTGTATCACTTACCCTCCCATCCATTCTTCATAATAATAATTTCACTTCTCTACTTAATATCTCTCCAGTGCTTCCTCAGGATGAACACGGACTTCATGGTCTGCCTTCCAGAGCCCCTTCAGGATCCAGCCCATGCCTACCTCTCCAACTTCTCTTCTCCCAACTTCCCCCACATTCTGAAATCCAGCTCTGCAGAGCTACACACCGTTCATGCAACTTGGACTGTTGCCCCCCGTCTCCTGTCCTTGCCTGTGTTGTTCATTATGCCCCTGTTGTTCTAGAAGATCTGTTCCTCTGTCCTCTCCATTTTTCTGGCTAATTCCTACTTGTTCTTTACATCTCAGCTTTGTGGTCATTGCCTCTGTAATGCCATGTGTGACACTTACGCTCCTGTGCCCCCCTAGCACTCTGTTCTTCCCTGTCTTGGATAGTCCTTGTCACATAGCTTCAGAATTGCCTATTTGCTTGTCTGTTTCTCATTCCACACCCAATCCCAGACAGTGAGTTCCATGGGAGCATGGAGTGTCTTGTTCCGTCTCTCATGGCTAGCACCAGACAAGACGCATGCTTGTACAGTAGTACTAAGGCTTACATTAAAACCTTGCCTTTAGAACTTTGTGATTACAACAATCGTAATATCATACATTTGTACAGCTTCTTACAGTTTAAAGAACACTATCACATACATTATTTTAGGAAACTGAAGCCTTGGGAGCACAAATATGCCTTGTCAAAATATGCAAGCTGCCTCCTCTCACCAGTAGCAGTGGGGTGAAGAAATAAGCTAGGGTTCAATGTTGATTCTTTTATCGTGAGGTTATTCTACATTTTCCTTTTATCACTGAGCTGAGTGTGGCTCTATCTGAGGGCTCTTTGAGTCGGTGAAGGGGCACTGTGCAGTTTTTCTCTCCTGCGCCTCCTTTTGATTTAAGAAAATGCAATGATTCTCATGACAAAGGATACCAGAGTTTTATTTTTTGACTGCTGGGTATTTTTCTCCTCAGGGAACTTTTTTTCTAAATTCACATCAATGGTATTACTTTGGTAATTAAGAAATATACAGTAGAGAGACAAAATTACTGCACCTTCATCCTCCTGCCTGGCTTTCCTTCCGCTGTGGAGAATTTTGGAGTTCATCTAACACATGTTGCCCACCTTTAGCAGTGTGGAGAGTAAGACCTGGAGACCTGAAAGGTCGTGTCAGGAGCCATATGGTCACTTTCTTGCAGAGGTGGGTTGGGCGCTTGGGCTCCCAACTGCAAGCCTGGCTCCCTTTTGAAATTTGAGCAGCCATCACCAATATATTATAACAGATGTCCAGTGTCTCCAAGTTTGTCTAGTTTGTGTGATTTTCCAAATATCTACTACTAATGAGTCCAATGTTTATTCAAACCCAAAACCAAGTTACATTTTCTTTTCTTCGTTTATTTATTTATTTTGAGATGGAGTTTCATTATTGCCTAGGCTGGAGTGCAATGGTGCGATCTTGGCTCATTGCAACCTCCACCTCCCAGGTTCAAGTGATTCTCCTGCCTCAGCCTCCCGAGTAGCTGGGATTACAGGCGCCTGCCACCATGCCCAGCTAATTTTTGTATTTTTAGTAGAGACGGGTTTCACCACGTTGGTCATGCTGGTCTCGAACTCCTGACCTCAAGTGATCTGCCCGCTTTGGCCTCCCAAAGTGCTGGGATTACAGGTGTGAACCACGGCGCCCAGCGTCCAAGTGACATTTTAATGTCAAATAAATATAGAATGGTATGATGATGTTTTAAGCAACCAAAAGAAAAGTATTCATAATTCCATATATTAAGAAATTTAAAGTATACCTTAAAATATGCCAACTTAAAGTCAGAAACCTGTATTGCACCCAACACACTGCTTGGATCATAGACTGTAGTTTGCCTTCTTCTTTTTTTTTTCTTTTAACAAAAGATAGTATGTTTGTAACAGTTTTTTTTTTCCTGCTGATTTATGACTCCAATATGGCTTTGTTACCATTGTATTGCAGGGGTTGATGTTAGCATCTTAATATTATAAAAACATCACCTTTTGTTTTTAAGAAGTCTTTAATATGTTCTGCTAACCCCCAAGGATTTTTTTTTTGTGGTTTATAGAAATGAGAGTGATGCCATTTTATATACATTGAACAAAGACACCCTGACTCTAAATCTCTGTCTTCCTATCGTCTTGCTTGTTTAAGAGTTTTGAGGCTGGGCACGGTGGCTCACACCTATAATCCCAGCACTTTGGGAGGCCGAGGTGGGCGGATCACGAGGTCAGGAGATCGAGACCATCCTGGCTAACACCGTGAAACCCTGTCTCTACTGAAAAATACAAAAAATTAGCTGGGTGTGGCGGCGGGCACCTGTAGCCCCAGCTACTGGGGAGGCTGAGGCAGGAGAATGTCATGAACCTGAGAGGCAGAGTTTGCAGTGAGCTGAGATCGCGCCACTGCACTCCAGCCTGGGCGACAGAGCGAGACTCCATCTCAAAAAAAAAAAAAAAAAAAAAAGAATTTTGAAAGCCATGAGCATCCAAACAGCAAATCTGGCAGCTCCACTGATGTGTTCACACTGAACACTTCCTGCCCTGAAAAGCTTAGAAAAACAAACCAGCTTAAGATGAATATAAACGTTTTTCGGAGTATGTGCAAAAAGCACATTTCTGTCTTTTTCTTCTCTTGGAAGGCTGCATTTTGAAAGCCTGCATGATTTCAGCCACACAGACGAGCTGTTTCCTGAAAGAAATAAAGCTGTAGGGGTGAGAAAGACCTTGAATAAACATGAATGTGTCCCCGACGTGTTTCTGGACTTTGTCAGGTTGGGAGGTGTCTCATTGCCAAATTGGGAAGAGCTGGTAATGCTTTTTTTTTCTTTCTTTCTTCTTTTTTATTTTTTTTGCTACTGAATTAACACAAATGCATGCGTGAGAATATACACAGATTTGTCTGATACTCAGTAATGGTCTCTGAGGTTGGCAACAAGAACGTCATGTCTGCATAATTAATCAGTTGTTGACATGGATGTTTTCTGCATATGTCGGTTGCACTGGTGTTATAAGGTGTGAGCATTGTTGGGCTATGTCTCACTGGGCAGAAGCATGGCCAGGAGAACAGCCAGGGACAGCAGGATGGCAGAGGCCCCCACTGGTCCAGGAGGCAGGAGGTGCTTGGGGAGCAGCCATGCTCGGGCCTGGCCAGGCTGGAGCTGGAGGGCTGTGGAGGCAGAGTACTTGGACCAAGGAGGAAAGGGTCACTCTACTGCCTTGGGTAGAGGCAGATGGACTCCAGCGTCCTGCAGGTCCCAGCCAGGTTCCTAGAGAGTATAGACCCTTTGAAATCTCCAAGGAAGATGGCAAGATCCAACTTGTCAGTTTAGATAATCAGAAAAAAAAAGTGATTCTTTAAGGAACCTAGACCTACTCTGGTCTGCCCTGAACACTCTATTTAAAGCTGCAATTTATACCCCATCTCCCAGCACTTTGGATTTCCTTTTCCCATATGACATAGTATACAATTTACTTCTCTATTATGTTTATTTCTGCTTCCCCAAGTTAGAATATGAGCTCCTTGGGAAAAGTGATTCTTGTCTGTTTTGTTGACTGTTGAACTCTCAGTAGCAAAAATAGTACTTGGCACATAGTAGGTGCTTAATAAACATATGCTGAGTGATTGAATGGGTCCTGTGAACCCCAAGAATTAACCTAACACTCCATTCTTTTGAGATTCTCCCCCCGCAACCATTTGGGTAAAATAAAATATTTATTTGTACTTAATTTAAAAGACAAAGATGCCTTTTCTCTGCCAGAGAGATAATGATGAGTGTTAGTGGTGAAGAGGCTGTGGGAAAATACATGCTTCACTGGAGGATCAAAGTGCAGATTCCACTGCCTAGATGGGGCCCTGAGAGCATGTTCTTCTTCAACACGGAATTCCTGTCAGGGCGTGGAAGCGATTTTTGGGAAAGACCAAGATCCACCAGAAAACACCTCCCTTCTGCACCGCACTTTTTC